>NC_000011.10:44302424-44605454 GCF_000001405.40 Homo sapiens | reverse complement strand
AAGAGGGAGGGAGAGAGGGGCTTACCTTGCCCATGTTGAAGTAGAAGAGGGCCCCGGCCGTCACCTGGGCAATGAGGATCAGGAGCAGGAAAGCAAAGTACTGGGGACACAGAGCAGGCACAAAGTCAGCTGAGGGTCCCCGACCAGGTGCACCCAGCCTGCGTGCCCCGAGAGATGCTCTCCACCCGATGTTACGGCCAGCGCCGCGGTCAGGCTGCACTCGGCTGGATGAGAGGAAATGGGCAGGCAGCTGCGGAGGGATCCGTACTCACCAGCCCCAGCAGGCAGCGGACCTCGTTGACGGCGCCGATGCAGCCCAGGAAGCCCATGAGCATAGTGACTGCCCCCACGCCGATGAAGACATAGGCCCCCATCCTAAGCGAGCTGGAGGAGGTTTCTAGGGGGAAGAAGAAGTACAAAATCAGTGGGCACAGCAGGTATAAACACCTGGCCTAACCGTCCAGGTCTTCTTCCGGATCCCCTCTTTGGAGCCAGGGTGTTGGGGTCAGCTGCATTCCCCTGCTGGCTTCTCACTGCCCAACAGGGAACCAGGTCACCCCCATCCCCACTTGTGTCCCTCCCCCAGTAAAATTGCAATCCACACCCTCATCCAGCCTAAGCCCCTTCCCGGCTTTATTTTTTACTTCGTAAGGCTTCTCAGGATTGAATAGACTACATTTCACTGATTCTTCTTGCTCATTGTCTGCTCTCCCCCTCCACCAAGGACCTGAGGTGCATGAGGGCAGAAGCTTCACTTTATTCCTGGGGAACCCCCAGCTCGAACAGCGCCTCTCGCAGTGAGGTGCTGTGCACAGTGAATATCTGCGGAATTGACAGACAAGAGGCTGGCTGGTTCTCCAGGGGCCACTGACATTAAGATTCCAAGCTGATTTTTAACCCGCCTTCCTTCTTGTCCATATAATAACAAACACCAGCCTTTCTTGCCCACTCACTGTGCCTCATGGGCTTTCCACACGCCGTCTCCAACTCTGACATCACCCTGCCTGGCAGGCACTAGCATGGCCATTTCACAGAAGAAAAAAATGAGGCTCAGAAAGGCGAACAGGCAAGGGCCTGAGCTGGAATTTGAAAATATGCAAATCTCCAGTGCCACACTCTTTCCACTGATGCACGGGGCACATGTATTGCTACAGGTGTGCTGCATGTTCATTCGGCCAAGAAATGTTTACTGGGTGCCCACTTCATGCCAGGCACTGTGCCAGTTGCTGGGGATGCAGAAGAGTGACTAACAAGGTCTGACATTTGGGGGTGGGGAGTGGAGACAAAAAGTACACAATACAGGTTTTCTGGTTGTGTTGGGCGCCATGAAGATACCAAAGCTGGCTAACTGCAGAGAACTGCTGGGCTGGGAGAGGGTCAGAATGGGTCGACGAAGGCCAGCCTGAGCCAGTGACATTTGAGCCAAGACATGAATGAAGAAGTCAGCCAAGCAAAGATCTGTAAGAAAAGCATTCCAGGCAGGGAACACAGCAGGTGCAAAGGCCTGAGGAAGGAGGAGCTTGGTTATTTGAAGATTGGAAAGAAGGTGAGAGAACGGACCAGTGAGAGCAAGAAAGAAGCCCGGGAGGAAATGATGCTTAGGAGGTACAGGAATGGGCCTGATGGCTAAGACCCTCTTTAGAGCTACCTGTGGACAGGCCCATTCCGGGAGGTAGAGGTCAGGAGTCCTGCAGGGGCACTTGGCCAACATTTCCTAAGACACCCAACCCATCACACAGGGTAAAGCTCATGTCATCTCTAACTCACCAGCATGGGTACACTGTACCCCCAGGGCATGGGACGCACCTGGAGGGCGAGGGTGCTGGCGTCTCCAGAAGGCTGGAGAGTAGTGTGGATCAGAGGAGCCTCTTAGGGATGCAGATGCTTGAGTCCGTTACAACCCGACCAAGACGCTCCCAGCAGGAGGCCAAGGACCTGCGTTTTTAATCTGCTCCCCTAAGCACTGAGGCACAGCCAGGACCAACCCCTTTACCATCAGCAGGGAGAATACAGGCCTGGGGCTGGCCACGACTCCCTGGGGATCCTGGAGAGGCCGAGGTCCCCACCTTGGTCCCCAAGGGGCGTTAGTGCCCTTACAGAATAACTATCAAACTGGAGGACGGGAGGGAGTCTGTGGGATTCAGCTCCGCTTCCTGATAACAGACAGAATGTTCTGGAGCTCAGGAAGAGCCCTGGCCAACCCTACTCTCAAGGCTTCCTCCACCCAGTTCCTCACAGGAGCCCCCCACCTTCCTCAGGGTGAGTGCGGGGATCTTCTGGCACTGAGCCCCAGCCATCAGCGTGGGCAGGGAGAGGCTGTCAATTCCACTTTTCCTAAACTTCCTGGGTTGAGGCTTCCAACAATTCCTCCCAGTGATTACTCCCAGAAAAAAGAAACTGACATTGCCCAGACAGCCGCCGTGTGCCAGCCCTGAACAAGGCCCTTTATCCAAAGCATCCTGCCTAATTTCAGCAACCACCCTCTGTGGCTGTACTCACATCCTGATTTGTCTGCAAGGACCCCGAGGCTCAGAAAGGCTAGCAGGCTGCAAGGTGCCTGGCAGGGAAGGATCAGGGCTGAGACCCCAACTCAGATCCTTCCCCTGGGAGACCAGACAAACTGCGAGGTCTCCGTATCTCAGAACATTTAATTGATGCCATTCCCTGTCTCCCCCCAGGATCCCAGGCCTACCCCATATCTGAGCAAGCTGACTTAGGAAGTAGGTGAGGGTATGCTCTGGGGTAGGCCATCCACAGGGCATGGAAAAAAAAATTTTTTTTTCACCTTTTAGTCTTTCTGGGCCTAGAAGGGACCAAAGGAAGCGGCCCAAACAGAAAGGGATGAGGGATAAGAAAAGTAGATTCTAATCCCAGCTCTGCTGCCAACACACTCTGACCCTGGGCAAGCCATTTACTATTTCTTTCTCTGTAAAATGGGTCTAAAGCCTGCTACTTGAAGATGGCAAAAGGATTAAATTGTATTATAAAATTTAGCTAACAATCACTTATGTAGGGTTTTTCACTGGGGGCTGTCCCAAACTCTTTTCAGATAAAAATGAGAGGCCCATTTAATTTCTCACAATAACCACAGTAAGTGCACTCTATTACGATCCTCATTTTATAGGTGAGGAGGCACAGAGAGGTGAAGCAATGTGCTGAGAGTCACACAGCTAGTGGACAGCACCGCCGTGAATCGAACCCCAGCAGTCAGGCTAGAGTCTGCTCTTCATTGCAAAGTGCTTCCTGTTACTAAGGTACTAACCAGTGGCATGTGGCTGCAGAGCCATGTGGTCCAGGGGTTCAAGGCACGGGCTCGGAAGCTAGGCTACCTCATCTGCAGCCAGCTCCCCTACCAGCTTGCTGTGTGCCCTTAAACAAGTTACTACACCTCTCTGTGCTTCAATTTCCTCCTCTGTAAAATGAGGATAGGAATGCCCAGCCCAGTGGACTCAGAGCAGGGATTCAACTCGGTAGGGAAAGAGCTGTCCCCAGTTCTGCCCCTCAGCTGCTCTGTGACTATTAGCAAGTCATTTTTCCCCACCCCCGGCCTCAGTTTACACAAGTGCCTAGTGACCAGGCAAGAGGATCAGTGTTTCTGAACCCTGGCTGCCTGGGGAATCCACCTGGGGAACTTTTTAGAAAACACCAGCACTCAGGCTCCCACCCACACCAACCGAGTCAGGTCCCTTGGGGTGGGTGGGGCTCGGGCCAAAGCATTTGTAAAATGCACCCCCTCCTGCAGATAGTAGACCTTTAAGGTCCGGCCAGCTTGAGATTCTCAGACCCGAACAGGGAGGAGGCCAGAGCCATGCAGGAAGCTCTCCCCACCCAGTGGGCTCACCCCCACTGCGCCAGTTGCAGGGCAGGGCGCAGAGGGCAGAAATGTGGGTGGGCAGGCTGGGCCTCTAGACTTTGCCCTGGGGTGCAGTGCCTGCTGGGTTGGGCCATGACTCAGGAAGTAGAGAGCTGGGCCTAATGGGGCCAAGGAGGGTGTGTCACAGGCCAGGAGAATGTGGGGGGCACGGGTAGCCCACCCACCCTAACCCCAGAATGGAGGGTGAAAGGGGATGAGACTGATAGCCCCGGGGTGCATCAGATGTGGCTAGAGTGTAGATCATCCTTGCTTTCCATCTCCTGGAGGGGAGGCCTAGCCCCTGGGGCCAGGGGGACAGATGTGGCCCCTCCATCATCACATCCTAGCTAGGTTCCGCTTTATGTAAATCAAGCAGCTGTCATGGGCCACATTCCAAACCAGCTGCCTTGGGCAGCTGCTGGGAGAAGTGAGCCAAGGCCAAACTCAGCGAGGGGAGTGGCACGGCTGTCCCCTGGGGGCTTCCGCTGTGCCTCCCTCTCCCACCACAGGGAGCCCCTGAGAAGTCAGCGTGGCAGGCCCTGACGGCTTCCTGGAGGAGGCCGAGCAGGCGCAGAAGGGCTCTTATCCCTGTAAAAATGCCTTAGGCCCCTTTCCTTCTGCCTCTGGTGAAAGAAGGGGTTTCCACACTGTGGCTCACCCTGCCATGTGCTGCATTTAGGACCAAAGCTCTTGGAGTTCGAGTCCCACACCTACCATTTAGAAGCTGTGTGAACTTCAGCAAGGGACTTAACCTCTCTGAGCCTCTGTTTCTTCATTGGTGAGGTGGGAATAGAACAGTATCTACCTCACAGGGCTGTGGTGGGATTAAGACAGTTTATCGGTGCAAACTGCCTGGCACATGAGGAGCCTGATAATTGGTGACTGTGCCTGGAACCTTCCTCATCTGTGCACACACCTGACCCACGTAGGTGCTGCCAGGCTTATAGCGAAGCACCACTCATAGCAGGTGCCTCATCAGCCCCTGACTATCTTTCCTACATCCCTGTGAAATGGGAGGGGCTGTTGCCTACATTCTGCTGGATGGGCAAGTGACGGGACAGAGAATGTAAGAGGCTTTCCTAAGGTCAGGGCCAAGGGAAGGGGCCAGGAAGGGAAAACAAGCCTCCCTCATCCCCAGTGTTCCCCCAGACAACAGCAGCTTTGTTCGGGGAAGAAGAGAAAATTCCTTTTGGAAACCCCTGCAGAGGGAGCCATGGGCAGTGGTGGGCAGCAGGACCTCGCCACATCCCTGAGGTCAGCGGGAAAAGCAACAGGCATTGAAGCCGAAGCACTTATGGGAGCAGCTGTATCTGCGCCCTGGCCCTCCCCTCTTCAGTGGGCCTGGGTCTGGGGAAGCTGAGGGGTCCTTACGCAGGACAGAGATGAAACTGCTCTTGTCGGCCAGGATCCACACCCCGAAGCCCAGGATCACTGCGCCCAGGATCTGGAAGGAGAAGGGAGCAGTTAATGGGGAGCCAAGAGCAGATAGCCCTCCCCCTGCCAGCTGTCCCTGGAACCCAAGTCAGGGTGGGCAGGGCAGGGGGCCACAGAGGGCACCACATCCACCCTTCTCCAGCCCAGAGATGTCCAGATGGCCTCCGGTCCCACATCGCAGCAAGCCAGACACCAGGACCCTGGATAGGGAATCCCTCCTGCCTCCCATCTTGCCCCCCTCCACCATGTGTGATTCAGCCAAGCCTCCTGGTGCAGCCTCCTGCCAGGGGCACCCTTCCTGCCACATCTCCTGGCTCTTTTCTCAGCTCATCCCCCCGACTCCACCCAGTTCAGGGCCTGGGAGCTTCCCAAACAAGAAAGGCTCTGAGGAGGACCCTCCGTGGACTTGAACATCAAAGCCCAACTCATCCCCAGGTCTGAACAACAGGGTCACCTGCCACAGGAGCCTTCTCTGACCCCCTCAGGCAGACTCGGGTGCCCCCATTCTGCAGCAACCACTGTCCCACCCTTCTTAACAGTCATTCCGACTGGGTCTAACTGCTGTGTTGGTTTCTCTGGCTAAACTGTGAGCTCCCTGAGGGCAGGGCTGGCTGGAGGCAGCTCTGCATCCCCAGCAGCTCTACAGCACTGGGTGCTAAGTGGCTGGGGGAATGAATGAGCTGATGAACCAAACTGCAAATGCAGGACTAGAAAGGGAAATGAAGGTCAGGCCCGGTGGTTCATGCCTGTAATCCCAACACTTTGTGAGGCCCAGGCAGGAGGATCACTTGAGCCCAGGAGTTTGAGACCAGCCTGGGCAACACAGTGAGACCTTGACTCTACAAAAAATTTCAAAAATTAGCCAATGTGGTGGTGCATGCCTGTAGTCCCAGCTACTGGGGAAGCTGAGAAGAGAGGATCACTTGGCCCCAGGGAAGTCAAGGCTGCAGTGAACTGTGTTCATGACATGACCTGGGTGACAGGGCAAGACCCCCTCACTCTGCCCCCCACAAAAAGGAAAAAATGAATGAGGTGTTACAAATAAGGATCCCAAGCCCAGGGATTCCCTGCCTCTCTCCCATCTACCAGGGCTGAGCTCATCTCCCCAGGTGGAGTCCCAGCCAAGATCCACCATCCCATAAAGCTGGCAAAGGCTGGGGAAGTGCCTGCCATCTGGGCAAAGATGCAGGTTCCCTTTGGAGGTGGGGGTGGCCCTGTGTCAACCCACAAGGCTGGCCATTAGTGGGGGCCTGGACTGGGCCCACCTGGTGGATGACCCGTCTTGAAACTCCCACCTGTATCACAGCCCTGGGTTCCCACCTCAGCCATCATCCCATAATCTCAGGTTGGAGGCCAGCAGCTGCCATAGAGCCCCGAGCCTGGGGCTGGCCTGGGCACAGGGTCTCCATCAGAATCATTCTATCATTATCAAAGACCAGAGCCAGGACCGGCCCAAGGCACGAGGCACCTGCCTCAGGTGTAACACATGAGGAGGCACCAAAAACTCAGGCGGGTAGATCACCTGAGGTCAGGAGTTTGAGACCAGCCTGGCCAACATGGCAAAACCCCGTCTGCACTAAAAATACAATTAGCTGGGCGTGTTGATGGGGTCCTGTAATCCCAGCTACTCAGGAGGCTGAGGCAGGAGAATCACTTGAACTCAGGAAGCGGCGGTGGCAGTGAGCCAAGGTCACGCCACTGCACTCCAGACTGGACAACAAGAGTGAGACTCCGTCTCAAAAAAAAAAAAAAAAAAAAAAAAAAAAATTAAGGCCAAAAATCCATGATAACTGAACTATTAAACTTTGAAATAAAATGTTGACAGTATCAGTATTATCAATGTTTCCTTTTGCCCCAGGGCCCAGGTGGCTCAGTAGGGGGTTGCCTCTCTCCCTTTACCCTTGTACTTGCTACCTTAAAGACCACTGTGACTGATGACTACAACCACAAAGGCACGGTGACCACCCCACGTCTGCCCCCCAGTGTCTCCCACCAGAATCATCACTGAGGTATTATCTGTCCTCTCCTCTCTCCCAGTGAGACGGGCCTTGTAATTGACCTCATTTTATACACACGGAATTTTATATGAGGCCTTGATTTTATCCATCAGGGACTGGAAGCCAGATGGTGGCAGGTGAGCTATAGGGATATTTTGGATCCATCCTGGGCCTTCACCCAGAAAGCCAGTCTCGGGACAGAAAAGCCCCTGAGACACTGGGGAGGAGAAGAGTCTGCTGGAAGGTGGGTCCACCTTAATTTGCACAGCTGGGGGAAATGGGGGCTTTCCAGGACCTGGGAGTTTGGTTCCCCAAGACCTGCAACCCTACCCAGCCCACAACCACCCCACAGCACAGCGAGGCAGGGGCCAGTGCTCAGGCCCACGTCTGCTCCCTCTGCATCTCAGACCCATGTGGGCAGAGCCCCTGCCCCATTCCCTCCCACATTCACAGGGTGGGACAGGAGGGAGGACAGCCCCTACCAAAAGGGAATGGGAGGCAGGACAGAAAATCCCCTCTTGGCACACATAATCCCAAGTAGATCAAAACCCCACACTACTCAGCTGGCTCCTCAGCTTGCCAAGAGGAACCCAGAGAGCAAAGTCCCCGGGGCTACCCATTCAGTCCCTCTGTAGGTCTGATGACCCCAGCCTGATGGTCAGATGTGGCTGGATTAGCCACGGGGCTGTGGCAGAGCCAGAAAGGAGGCTGGGCAGCCTACCAGAATGGGCAAGGCACCATGGCACCCCCTTTTTCTCTGTGAACCAAGACTGGAGCTGTGGGGCAGGCCCCATGTTAATCACTCCCCCAGCCCTTCCCCAATCCCCAGATGGGACCCATCAGGAGCCAGGACCCTCAGAGCAGTGAGCGTCCTTCCCCAGCATAGCCACAGCACCAGTGCCTCTGCATTCCTTTGGACCTGAGAAAAGTGGCAATGCGCTGGGGAGTCTGGAGTCCAGAGGGAGTACAGGCAAAGACATACAGGTGCACATGCACGCAGGCGCGAGCACACATAGCAGCCACGGGGATTTTTCCAAACCACAAATCCAACCACGAAACCCCTCCCAATGTGCATAAAACAAAGAGGCAGGCTGGCCGGGTCTATGCCTGGGGAGGTGCACTCTGCCTCCACCGGCTGCCCCTGCTGCCAGGATCCCCCTCTCCAAAGCCACACCCAGAACCCCAGGAAGCCTTTGCTGACCTCCATGACCAGGCCAAGAGCCTCATCTGCTTTCCGAAGAGCCTATCTGTTCCTAGTACCCCCAACAACTGCAATTTTTCATGCATTTGAGTAGTTATTTGATGGAAGCCCACTGCTCCCTAGGACACAAGCTCCGGAAGTATAGCAATCAGGGCTCTTCCGCCCTGAACATCTGAAGATGCTGAGGTGTCAGATACACATTTGCTGAGGAGTAAACAAGCCCGTTCTGCCTCCTCCAGCCCTCCTCTTTCACTCTCACCCTCCTGTCATACAAGCTGCCCCTCCCCCCTCCACCATCCTGATGGGTCATCCTAGGCCCCAGTACACAGACAGTTAACACCTGACTCCTGCCAGCCCCTGGAGGAGCCAAAAGGAGGCCAAGCCCTGGCCAGAGAGCAGCTTTTCCAGTCCCTGGTTCCACAGGGCAACTTGCGAGCAGGACAGAAAGGGCCACCCTGGCTGAAACCACCAACCCCACTCCCTTTCTCTATGAGGGTCTCCCCAACCCCCACTGCATGAAGGAAAGTTTCTTTATCACTGAAACCCAAGCTCCGTGATCTCCTAGGCCAGAGCCCAGGCTCCTCTCTCTAGTCCCTAAAGCCCCCAGGGATAGAGCTACAGTGCCCACGCACCCCTTCCCCCGAGTCCTGGCCCATTGGCCTTTATGCTGGGTCTCCGCCCAGACACCAAGTGCTTGCCAGGAAAAGCTTGGCTTTGCCTGCACAGGCAGCTGCTTCCCAAAGTCCTAGGGCAGCCAGGAGAGACCTGACCGCCAAGCTGGGGAAGCCCAAGCCCGGCCTGGGGTGGGTTCCAGGCCCGGCTGCCATGAGCAGAGGGCCAGAGCCACAGTGGGGCCTCACAGGGTCCTCCAGGAGGGAGCTAGGGCCGGGGCCAGGGTGGAAAAAAAGCAAGGCAGGCAGCGCCAGGGCTTCCTGTGTGTGTGCATGCGTGTATGAACACTTGTGTGCGGGTGCCAGGAACACATTGTACATGTCTGTGCATTGGGTTAAAGCTGTGAAGGGGGAATTTTTAAAATTCTTTTTTTTTTTTTTTTTTTTTTTGTAGAGAAACAGGGTCTTGCTATGTTGCCCAAGCTGGTCTAGAACTCCTGGACTCAAACAATCCTCCTGCCTTGGCCTCCCAAAGCACTGGGATTACAGGCAAGACCTACCATGTCTGGCCAGAAGGGGAATTTAGAATGATTCTTGTTTATTTCCCAAACTTCCCATAAACTATGTAACTTGTAATGTAAACCCCCTGTTCCCCAAACAAGTAATTAATATCTACCGTAGAAAATTGGGAAAATACAGAGATGCATAAAGAATAAAATCAAAATTCCCAAGAATCCCAACATTAACATTGAGGTATTTTCTTCTCCTCTCAAAAATACTCACTTTTTAATGAATACGTACATTTAAAACTTTGGATCATAAGAAACATCCTACTGTACAACCTGATTTTTTTTTAACACTATAGGGTTAAACCGTCAACACAGGGAAGCCAGCGCTCCCAACACTACTCTGAGGCTATGAAGTCCTCTCCAGGGCACTGCCCCCCAACAACACACTCTCACTCACACACACACCCCACCATCCCAGCAACTCCAAGGCAAGAGGCAGTCCATGCCAGGCCAGAGAGGAAAACCGAGGCCCCAGGAAAACCAGCAGTCAATGTCCACAGAGCTGACATCCGGATGGCCCATCTGCTGGGGTGGGTCTGGGGAAGGAGGTATGTGCCCTTCACTGGCCCCACGCCTGGCGCCCTCTTGCTCTCCCTATGAGAGCTCAGGGAGATACCTTCCCACGACAGGGACGGGGGTGTGATAGGGGCAACTGGGGCCTGGAACTGTCACAGGTCAATTCTTCACATGGGCAGGGTGGGGGCCAGGACAGGACTAGAGAGATGCTAAGAGGCTTCTTCTAGCAGCTCCTGCTGTTGAGTTAGGGGGATGCCCAGGGGCTCTCCTCTCCTTCCCCATACCCACCGCCAGCCCAGGCTTTGGGTGATCTAGGAGAGGGGAAGGCCGGGTCAGGAATCCAGTGCTTGGTCAAAGGACCAGCTGGGAATGGCAGGGAATCTCCTCACCACCCCAACTAGGTTCCGTTGGAGATAGTTCGTCCTCAGTCCCTACCCACCAAATCCCCCCAATCCCCGGCCCGGTCGGCTCTGGAAAGGCTCAGGCTGGGATGCCCCTGGAAGGAGAATCTTTTCGGAGGTGGTCAGGACGGCATGGGACATACTTACAAAGAAGATCAAGTTGAAGAGGAAGAGAAAGTATTTGGTGACTTTGATACAGGCTGAGCCCATCCCGCCAGTCCTGGAGCTTCCTGGAAGAGAGAAGGCAGGCAGGCCAGTGAGGGGATCAGCTCAGTCTGCCCTTGCAGCAACCCCAGGAGGTGGGTACTAACCCTGTCCCTGCCTTAGAGGATGCAGAGGCCCAGAGAGGTTAGACAACTAGCCCAAAGCCACACAGCTAGGAAATGAGGTCCCACGAGCAGTCTTGTGTGCCAGGCACTTGATGCTTGGCAGTTAGGATCCGGATCAGCCACTGCACTGGGGCTGGGGCTGGGGCTGGGGCTGGTGGGAGCAAAATGACAGAGGGAGACCCTCACCCCTCACCTCCATGACCCAGGCTCTGGAACTTGCACAGATGGACTCTGTTTGAAGTCAGGGGGCCGGGAAGTTAGTGATCCATTGACAGAGACCCAGAGGTGAGACCTGTGCTTGTTCCACAGACTCCCTCTGGGACTAGGGGCTGGGAGTTGTGGGGTCTGCCAAGGCGAGAAGGGGAATTTTGGCTTCTCAGAAAATAGGCTGAGCGTCCCAGCTTCTTATTACAAAGGGAATAAACATGCATTGTAGAACACCCAACAAATACAGAAAAACAGAAATCAAGCAAAATGTATCTCACTCCAGAGATTAAAAACTGTCATCGTTTTAGTAGCTATTATTCGTGTGTGTGTGTGTGTGTGTGTATAACAAATGGTTCTAATCAAAATTGGGCTCATTCTGTATAGTGTTTTCTAGCCTGTTTTTTTCATTCTACAATCTTCACTCTCTATATGTTGATAAAATGCTCTTCATAGTTTCACATGTTGCATAGGATTCCATCCTATTAGTACTTATTAACATTTGGGGGCTCACAGAGTCCCCCAAAAAATTCATGTGTAGTTAGCATTTTGTGATGCTAATAATTTCTGGGAGTTCATGGACCTCTGAAACCCATTCAGGAACCCCAGTGGCCCCAGGTTAAAGTCTCAGATGTGGCCATCCCATAAAAGCATTTAACTGATACTCTAAGATTGGACACACAGGTTGTTTCCAAGTTTTCACAGTCTCCCCGATGACACAAGTTGTGCTTCTGAAATGACACAAACCATGCTTGGGCATGCTGTGCCCCCTCCACTCCAAAAGACCCCAGGTGAGGGGAGGGCCCCGGGAGGAAGAGGGAAGCTGGAAGCTGACTGTTCTCACCCTGACTCAGAGGCCAGAAAATCCAGGAGTGCCAGCCGCCAGCCTTCAGACCCTTTGGGGCAAAGGGAGCCAGCACCGCCGGGCAGCTGGGGCCTGGACAGCTGGCCTGGGACAGCTGCATGGGCAGAGCTGGGCTGGGGGGGTGGAGGGGACGGCACCAGGCCCACTTGTGTTTCCCTGCCTTATGGAGGGGGAAGGGCAGGCCACAGAGCAAAGGGAAAGGAAAGCCGGAGGCCCGGGCTTCACTCCTTCTTCCTCCAGCACCACTTGAAAGTCTTCAATTTCCCCGGCTACACACAGGTTCCCTACTCTTTTCTGGACATGCTAACGATCAACAATCTTCCATCCTCCTTGTCAAGTGGGAGCTCAGCTTCCACTTCACACACCTCCGGTGATGGGGAAGGTGGCTAATGAGGAGGGTTCATGACCTCCCAAGGGGTCCAGTCCAGTTTTCTTTCCTCTAACAGCTTTGTTACAGGAAGTTTTCTTTAAGTGCCTTTTTAAAGGGCAGATTTGGGAGGTATAATATGAAGCAAAGCTGCCCAAGTTAGGAAAAAGCTGCCTGGGTGGTAGTGAGCTTCCCATCACAAGCGGCATGGAAGCAAAGTCTAAAAAAATACTCCTGGGGGATTTAAGTGCTATGTAGGGAGATTAGACTAAATGGCTCTTCCAGTCTAGGGGGCTCCAAGGCCTGGGTCTGAGAATTGCAGAGATGGCAGTGACTCGGGAGCCAGGGCAGTGCAACCTGGGCAACTCCCCAGACCTAGAGAGGAGAAAACATGACTTCCCCGTGCCCAGGAAGCCAGAGATCTTCAATGCCCAAACCCCGTCCTGGCCTAGGAAGGCCTCCTGGGAGTCTGCACTACATCAAGGATAGCTATTGTTTTTCCTCTCTCTCACCTCCCAGCACAGAGCCTGACATACCACAGGCACTTCACAGACTCCAGGAACTAAACAGCAAGAGAAGAGAGATTCTCTCCCAAAGCCAGGCGGCATCTGTTCTTCTTTCCTACCACGGATCTGCTGTGTTTCAGCCTGACCAGGTCTCCTCCCAGTAAACAATACGGGGCATGCCCCAAGAGACCAACCAGGTTCAGCGCCCAAGCAGCAGTAGCTAGGCCACCCCTTCACCAGAAGAACATCCACTAACTGCAGTCCGCCAACAAACTATGCGTCTTGGCAATGGGGCCATTGGCATCCTTGTGAAATTGCAGAAGTGTGGAAAGAGTTCTTTGGCAACCCTGAGTCAGATCCACGGTGTTGCAGTTTCAGAAAGTCCGGGAAAGGGGTTTCTACACTTTCCAGCTCACACATCCTCTGCTCAGCCTCACGGTGGGGCATTCAGCAAAGGGCAGCTTTTAGAAAAGAATAAGTATAGGCCGGGCACGGTATCTCATGCCTGTAATCCCAGCACTTTGGGAGGCCGAGACTGGCAGAAGACCTGAGGTCAGGAGTTCGAGACCAGCCTGGCCAACATGGTGAAACCCCATCTCTACTAAAAATACAAAATTAGCCAGGCGTGGGGGTGGGTGCCTGTAATCCCAGCTACTCAGGAGGCTGAGGCACAAGAATCGCTTGAACCCAGGAGGTGGAGGTTGCAGTGAGCTGAGATTGCGCCACTGCACTCCAGCCTGGGCAACAGAGACTTTGTCTCAAAAAAAATAAAAACAAAAATAAGAGTAAGTATGACGTCTGTAAGGAGAAGGAGTGGCCGCCAGGGAATAGCAACTACTACAAGTGGCCATGTTCAGACATCATCCCCCATCATCCTCACAACCAGCCCAGGAAGTGAGTATTCCTATCCCTGGCAGACCAGAGGCTCAGACAGGTTCAGTAACTTGCCCAAGTCACACAGGTCATAAGTGGCAGTGGTTTTCAGACCCCAAGATCTTTCTTCTGTGAAGTGGTCCCTCCTGGACAGTAGCCAGGATTATAAAGGGATCTTTGGGGACGGCTGGGTTTCCTTTGTCCAGTTAGGTGTGAGGACAAAATGACTGCTCAGAGGAGCTCTGCTCAGAGGGCAAGGAGGAGGCTGGGAAACCTTGTCACCAAGGCAGACGTGGCTGGGCTGGTATTCCCATGATATTCCAGACCCTGGGCAAGCTTGGCTGGTCCCTTGGTCACGCACACAGATTGTATCAGGCACTGGGCTAAGCTCTTCAGCCCTCTACATGCAAACAGAGGCACAGAGGGGAGAAGGAGCCTGCCCAAGGTCTCAAGTAGGAGGACTGGCAAGGACAGGGCCCAGGCTGCCTGGCCCCTTACACCACCCATGGGCTCCATCCCACACAGGAGGCAGCTGGGTGGGTCCAGAGGCTGAAATGAGAGCCAGGCAGCCCAGTCAAGTGGGACAGACCCAGAGGTATCTGGACATCACCCGAGGGAGGAGAAGGTGCTGATAACTGGAACCTGGGATGGGCAGCTCCCAGGCACACTGGCCAAGATCCAGAAGACAAAGTCTTCCTGCCCTGCAAGTGCAGATGCTTCTGCCTCAAACTGACAGGGAGCAGAGGGTGAAGAACATTCTCCACACTCAGCGGGAGATGGGCAATCCCACACAGGCAAGGAAGTCAGCTCAGCCTGAGGCGGGGACACACCCAGGTCACCCACGATGGGCTGTGGCATCAACTTCAAGGAATCCACAACCACCACCAAGCTCCAAGGAGCCCCCGAGGTTGAATTCAGAGTGCCAGGGGTTATGCCCGGCTCTGCCCTCCCATACTGAGAGCTGAGCCTCAGTCTGCCATCCATGAGACAGAAATAAGGGTTGGTGTGGAACCAGGGTTGGTAAACTGCAGCCTGCAGACCAAATCCAGCCCCCTGCCTGTTTTTTATACAGCTTCTGAGCTAAGAACAGATTTCATCTTTTTTTTTTTTTTTTTTTTGAGACAGAATCTCCCTCTGTTGCCCAGGCTGGAGGGCAGAGGCACAATCTTGGCTCACTGCAAGCTCCGCCTCCTGGGTTCACGCCATTCTCCTGCCTCAGCCTCCCAAGTAGCTGGGACTACAGGCGCCCGCCACCATGCCTGAATAATTTTGTTTTTGTATTTTTAGTAGAGACGGGTTTCACTGTGTTAGCCAGGATGGTCTCGATCTCCTGACCTCGTGATCCACCTGCCTCGGCCTCCTAAAGTGCTGGGATTACAGACGTGAGCCACTGTGCCCGGCCCAGATTTCATATTTTTAAATAGTTAAAAGAAAAATAAAAAGATTCTTTAATGCATGAAAATTACATGGAATCTAAATTTCTGCACACAGCCATGCCTACTGGTCTATCTGGCCCTTTACAGAAAAAGCCTGCTGGCCCCTGGTGTAGAGGATCAAATGGCGCACCCACAAGTGTCTGTAAGAGGCAGCAAGGGTCGCCAGGCGCGGTGGCTCACACCTGTAATCCCAGCACTTTGGGAGGCTGAGGCAGGCAGATCACGAGGTGAGGAGATCGAGACCATCCTGACTAATACGGTGAAACCCTGTCTCTACTAAAAATACAAAAAATTAGCCAGGCGTGGTGGCGGGCGCCTGTAGTCCCAGCTACTTGGGAGGCTGAGGCAGGAGAATGGTGTAAACCCAGGAGGTGGAACTTGCAGTGAGCCGAGATCGCGCCACTGCACTCCAGCCTGGGCGACAGAGCGAGACCCCGTCTCAAAAAAAACAAAACGAAGAGGCAGCAAGGGTCACGACTACCCTTAGCACGGGAACTTTGGAGAAAGAAAACAGCCAGCTGGGTGGCAGGAATTGATTGTGACTTAGAGAGAGAAGACACAGGATCCCTGAACAAGGGTTCAAATCCTGGCTTTGCCAATGTGTGGCCACAGAGGAGGGACTTCCTGGGCCTCATTCATCTCCTTGGGGAGTGGAACTCCCAACTGGACTCCCGTCCTAAAGAGGGAGTGAGGTCAGCGCCTGGTACAGTCAGGACTCAATGACCCGGAGCTGGGGCTGGTGTCTGTATCATCATCATCAGTTGGCTCAGTGCTTGCAGAAGCAGCAAGGGATGAGGATTTAATTTACAGATGATCTTAAGCCAAAAGAATGTCCTCCAATGTTATGCTTTCTTGTGTATACTTTTGGTAAACATTGGAGAGTCTGCCCAAGCTTTCCTGTGTTAAAAACACTGACAATTCAAGGGAATGAGATGCAAGCACATCTTAATGGGAAACTTCCAGAACAGTCACAGAGAGCTGTGAGCAGCAGGATGGAGGTACTGATCTTTGTTATGGTGGTGGTGGTTGTTTTGAGGCACTCTTGCTCTTGCTCTGTCACCCAGGCTGGAGTGCAGTGGCACAATCTTGGCTCATGGCAACCTCCGTCTCCTAGGGTCAAGTGATTCTCCTGCTTCAGCCTCCAGAGTAGCTGGGATTACAGGCATGTGCCATCATGCCCGGCTAACTTTTGTGTATTAATAGAGACAGGGTTTTGCCGTGTTGGCCAGGCTGGTCTTGAACTCTTAACCTCAGGTGATACACCTGCCTAGGCCTCCCAAAGTGCTGGGATTATAGGCGTGAGCCACCGTTCCTGGTGAGGTGCTGATCTTATGTTATACTTGACACCAGGTAAATTGACCATTTCTGAGCAACTACAATTTTAATTGACGAAATATATCATTTTATGCCAAATCAGTTTGTATAATAAAATTATTATATTAATATTTTGCCAACTTCTACTTATCATTTAACACTCACCTCCAAAATCACCACCTCCAGGAAACTTCCTACTCCAGCCAGCTTTTTCATCACTACCACTGCCACCCTCTGACCCCCAAGACACATGTTGGTTAGGGGCACTCCCTCTCTCCTTCCTTCCAGTGGCACTGGAGACTAGAGCAGCTCCCTGAACAGGCTCTGGCATCAGGCTGCCTTGGATTTGAATGCAGTTCTAATGCCTCCTAGCTGTGTGACCTTGGACAAGTGACTTAACCTCTCTGAGCCTCACTTTACTCATTGGTGAAATGACAAAGATAAAACTTATTTTGCAGGCTGGGTACGGTGGCTCAAGCCTGTAACCCCAGCACTTTGGGAGGTCGAGGCGGGCGGATCACGAGGTCAGGAGTTCGAGACCAGCCTGGCCAACATGGTGAAACCCCATCTCTATTAAAAATACAAAACTTAGCTGGGCATGGTGGCGGGTGCCTGCAGTCCCGGCTACTTGGGAGGCTGAGGAAGAGGAATTGCTTGAACCCAGGAGGTGGAGGTGGCAGTGAGCCAAGATCGCACCTCTGCACTCCAGCCTGGGTGACAGAGTGAGACTCCACCTAAAAAAAACAAAAAACAAAAAACAAAAAAAAAACCCCAAAATCCTACTTTGCAGATTTGTCCAGACATTAAATTAGGGCAAAATGCCTGCCACATGGTCTGCTGTGGATAGACGGCAGTTCCTATAACGCATGCTGTGCAGTCACTTTCTACTTACCTGTCCCTTTCCCCTGAGGACTGTGATACCTTGACGGGAAGACTGTTATTTACGAGAACAAGGCAGACTCCCAACAAATATTGCTGCATGAAAGACTGGGTGGATGCAGGGATGGAGGGGTAGGTAGGTGGATGGATGGATGGACAGACAGATGGAGGGACTGCCACAAAGAACACCAGGGCTTTCAAGTTCTCGGCCACCTGAAGGCAGTCTGAGTTCCACTGCCCCTGAGTCCGAAGAGACGGTTCTCAGGCCTCTTCTGTCCTTGCCCGCAGGGCAGGTTGGGGGTGTGTCAGGTGCTCAACCCTGGGCCAGCTCTGAATGCCAGGACCTGCTGCCGAGCCTCCCCAGGGACCAGCACTCCAGGACTCTAAATGCTGTAGGAGCCAGAGAAGGGGAAGAAGTGGTCCCTCCACCCACCTGGTGGCTCAGACTGAACACCTGAGGGCCATGCTCGGTCTCCACCTTCCTCGCCTCACAGCCCAAGTGTGTCCCCTCCAACCCACCACTCCTCTCAGCCCAGGACTTACCTTCCACGAAACCAGTGCAGCTGGTCACAGGGCCCACTTCTGCCTGTGCCCACGTGTCGTCCACACAGCAGCAGGGAGGACTCTGAAAAACACGACCCAGATCTCGTCACTCCTGTCTGTGACTCTCCAAAGGCAATGTGGCTGAAGACATACTCACTTTAAATCCAGGCTCCCCGTGTGGCCGGCGGGGCCCCGCCAGGGTTGCCATTCCTCTGTCCTCTTCCCCCCACAGGCTCATGTAGCCTCTTTCCTGTTGTCCTGGTATATCAGGCCCCAGGTCCTTATACCTACCTGAGGGCCTTTGCAAAAGGGTTTCTCTGCCAGAATTACTCTTTTCCCGTATTTTCCCACAAGCCTTGGCTCAGAAGGCTGACATCCCTCCTCCCAAAGGCCCTCCCTAAACACCCAATCTATTCAGAAGGCCTCAACTCCAGCTCCTCATTACAATCAACATAGGCCATGCCCAGGCCCCCTGCCCCAACCAAGTCATCAGGATCTCTAGGGGTAGGGCTGGGCTCCCCAGGAGACTCAAAGAAGCAGCCCGAGTTGACATCTGGGTTGTTACACGGCACCCTCACTGCAGTTAGCCTATTTGTTCACTAGTGTATCTGCATCCGCCACTAGAATATGGGCTCCTCAAGGGGAGGGGCTGCACCTGTGCCACTCACCCTGTTTCCCAGAGCCTAGAACAGTGCCTTGTGTATAAGAAGCTCTCAATGTATGTTTTTAGGAAGCAGGAGAGAAAAGGGAGGTCTAGAGAGATCAGGAAAGATTTCTTAGACCAGAATTGATCCTGCAGCTGGAGGTTTCTGATCCTTAGAATGATATCGCTGGATTGGGGTAGAGATGGGTTGCTTCCTCCTAAGACAGGATTTTTTAAAATGTATATATTTGTTGAGACAGGACCTCACTCTGCTCTGTCACCAAGGCTGGAGTGCAATGGTGTAAACACAGCTCACTGCAGCCTCAACCTCCTGGGCTTAAGTGATCCTCCTGCCTCAGCCTCCCATAGAGTTGGGACCACAGGTACACGCCACGATGCCTGGCTGATTATTTTGTAGAAATGGGGTCTCACTTTATTGCCCAGACTTGTCTCAAATGCCTGGGTTCAAGTAAGGATTTTAATCTCCTTTGGGTCAGAAAAGCTGACAGAAGCTGTGAACTCTCCCTAGAAAGATGCACACAGACGGGCAGGCACATACTTCCTTCCAGTTTCAGGAGGTCACAGGCCCTGGAAAGCCTACCTGAGGGCCAAGGTTTTTTCTGCCATCTCCTAAATGCCCTAGAGTGGTGGTCCCCAGCCTTGGCTGCACACAGGAATTACCCTAGGAGTTCTGAAAGTTGTTGATGCCCGGCCCCCACTGCCAGAGACCCTGATGAGTTGTTCTGGGGTGCAGCCTGGGCATCAGGGTTTCTTCAGTTCTCCAGGGGGTTCCAGTGTATTGAGACCCACTGCCATGGCTCCATCCCTCACACAGGCCAGCCCCTCTGCTCCTCAGTGGGGTGCAGGCAGGCCTGGGGTTTCTGGTACAGCAGCGCCTGGCCAGGGAGAATCTGCCTGGCACTCTGGCATCCGAAAAAGTGTCACATGAAGCTCCCTGCACCATCTTTCAACCTGGACTGCCTCAAGGCTCCCTCTACTCCAGTCTGTTACCCCAGAGCAATATCACTGTGCATGAGAAGAACTTTGAGATCACTGCGTTTTTCAGAGGAGGCAGAGAGAGCAAGAGATGGCAGGTGGCACAGGCAGCTTGGGCTAAGCATGAAGTGGAGAACTTAAGATTCCCAGTCTGGAGCTCCTTTCTCTACCTGTGGCCCTGTCCCTGCACACTGGGGCTCCCACATGGGAGGGATAAGAAGTACTGGACTCAGAATCACAGAGCCGGCCCTTGGCTCCCACCCCTGGCTCTGCCGGGTATCTGCCACATGACCTTGGGAAACACTGCAGAGCTGCTCCCTTATCCACAGATGGGGATGCCAACCCCGCCCACCTACCGCAGGCATGAAGATGAATCGCCATCAGGCTAGTGCATAGTAGGGCACAATCTATGCTGGTGCCTGGCCCTCTCCTCCCACTCTTCCTGCATAAAGATGCCACATCTGCCACACCTTGCCAGCAGTGTAGCCTTGGGTGATCACCTTACCACTGTGCCTCAGCTTTCCCACCTGTAAAATGAACTTAATAATGGGTTGTGGTCAGGCTTAAAGAGTTTGTATCTATAAAGTTCCTGGCACCCAGTAAATGTCAGATAAATGTTACCAACTATGATGATGATGATGATGATCTGGAAAAGTTGTTGCTTTCCTGACCAACAGTCTGAAGCCCTCTGAGGCCTGATCCAGTCTCTAGCCATGTGCCCATCCTGGAGAGGCTCCGTGCCAGAAGATGACCACTGCTGCTCCTGGGTAAGGGGCTGGGGGAGAAGTAGGACCAGGCTGGGCTGCCTAAGGAAGGAGGAGCCTCTGCCTCTAGCCTCCAGGCTGTGCCACTGGGAACTGCTTGAGACTCAGAGGTCCAGCCAGTTTGGTGAGTTGGGCATCCGATCCCGTGGGAGCTCGGTCTGCCCAGTCGGGCAGAAAGTGGAGTGAGAAAGCCTGGCCGGGCTATTGTGCCCTGGATGCCAGCCCATCTGCAGGCACTCCACCTGCAAGCTGGTTCTTGGCCACCAGCTCTCTGGTCCTCTGGACTTTGTCCTGATCACCCACGGGAAGAGGCTGGGCACAGACGGCTGTGTTTGTTTTCATGTTTGACAGGTGATGTGTTTCCTGAAATCCCTGCTGACACCAGGACCAGGGCCTGGCTTTTTGACCTCTCACTATCTTATTTTTCAATCTCTGGTCTTACTCTTATTGTTGATATTAACCCCCACCCACCAGAAAAAAAAAAATAGCTGCTACTCTGGGTGACAGGAGAAGAGTGAGCATAAGCAGGACGAGGGCCTCAGGTTTCCTTTAAGACCTAGGGTTTGGCCCAGGCACAGTGGCTCACACCTGTAATCCCAGCACTTTGGGAGGCCGAGGCGGGCAGATCACCTGAGGTCAGGAGTTAGAGACCAGCCTGGCCAATATGGTGAAACTCCATCTCTGCTAAAAATGCAAAAAATTAGCTGGGCATGGTGGCGGGTGCCTGTAATCTCAGCTACCCAGGAGGCTAAGGCAGGAGAACTGCTTGAACCCGGGAAGCAGAGGTTGCAGTGAGCTGAGATCCTGCCACTGCACTCCAGCCTAGGCAACAAGAACAAAACTCTGTCTC
The DNA here is from genome assembly GCF_000001405.40 of Homo sapiens. NCBI lineage: Eukaryota > Metazoa > Chordata > Mammalia > Primates > Hominidae > Homo > Homo sapiens. The sequence goes on along the minus strand of NC_000011.10, from coordinate 44,584,303 downwards.
AAAACAAAAACAAAAACAGAATCCTAGGCTTCAGTCCCAGCTCTGCTTCCTCCTAGCTGTGTGAGCTTGAGCAAGTGAGTAACTAAACCCCTCTGAGCCCCAACATTCCCACCTCTAACAGCAAGATGCTGGTGGGATCCCCATCTCATGGGATTGTTGGAGGAGCAGAAAATGACATGGAAGGAGCTTTGGGGTCACTGTCAGCTCCTCACCACAAAGTGAGGAGATCCCGCCACTACCACCACCACCAAGGTGGGAAGAAACACATCCAAATCAGACCTTCCCAGGAATCACAGGATTTCAGAGCCCAAAGTGCCTCCCTGTTTGTCTTAGAGATTAAGGAAGAGTCCCCTGTCACAGGATCCCATGAACCAGTGAGACAGGCTCCCTCTCTCCTGAGAGAGCTGGGATTGACAGCTGACACTTGGGGAAAGGAGGCCAGGGGTCCAAGAGCAACACAGGCCAGCAGCCATCCCTGAATATTATGCCATTACCCACTGTATCCCATGCAATCTCCATAACACCCTGGATTATTATTAAACGAGAGATTATTGAGAGATTATTATCCCCATTTAACAGATAGAGGGACTGAGACTCAGAGGTTCAGTGACTTGCCTAAGGCCACACAAGTGGCTAAGCTATGATTAAAATTCAGATCTGATTTTAGAGAGCTGAAAGCTCTTTCATCTTCACCTGCTGCCCAAATGAACAAGGTAAATGCTGCAGCCCACCGTCCCACCCTTCCACACCTCTGCCGCCTGCTGCCTGATCCCCTGACCCTACCCCAGATCCCTGAGGCCTGACTCTCAGCTTCCTTTCAGGAAGGAAAAGAGCAGCTCCACCTAATCCTGACTGGGACATTCCTTCAGTTTGGCTGATGAGACTGACAGATGTGGCCCTTCTCAGGAGGTTTTGCTTTGAAACCCTAGCAATGAGACTGGAGGGCCTTTAGATAAAGAAAGGGGCTTCTCTGACAGGAGGGTGCAGAGTGGGAACCAGCAGATACCTGGAGCCCTCCAGCATTCCTGCCTGGACCCCATGCAGCCAAAGAATCAAGCTGAGGCTGAGCCATAGCCTCTGACCTCTTGCTTTCCACAGCTCCCTTGCTTGACTGTTTTTGGCTTCTTAGCCAGCTGCTTGGGCCCCAGACAGCCCCCACTCCCTCCCAATGCTAGGTGCCAAGACTCACACTCAGATTCACAGTGCCGGAATGGCCTTTGACATCACTAGCTCAGCCCACACTTCTCAGATGAAGACTGATGCCCAGAGAAGAAAATGAACCCCTACCCCCACCCCTTCTGGGGAATGCACAAGTTCATTGTGTATGTTGGGGGATAGGGAGGGGATTGGGTAGGGCAGTCAGTGTTTCCCAGCCTGTTTGGCATCATGATACACGTTGAGAAGTATACCTATTTGTTCAGCACACTGGGATGGACAGATAGAACTACATCTGGCTTGAGGTTACTAGCCTAGGGCTCTGTTCTCAAGGGCTCCAGAGATAACCATCTCAACAGCTCATTGATCGGAAAGCTCTAACCTAGAGGGATATTTAGGAGCTAAAGAGAGGTTGCAAGAAGCCCCAGATTCCAGAGGCCCTGAAAACAGGATTCCCAGGTGGGGTCTCAGGGGTCAGCCACCTTTTGAGGCCCTCTCCCAGTGCCACAACTGGAGATAGAATAATGAAGCAGATGATAGTACGGGCCCTGAGAGAGATCTAAATTCCAAATCTCATTTCTCAGTATCCACATGACCTCTGGCAAGCTGCCTACCTGCATTGAGCCTCAGTGTTCTCATCTGTAAAACAGACTATCTAGGACCCTCCAAGAGGAAACCAGAATCAGCGTGCCAAACCCAAGGCTGTAAGCATGACAGAGGCAGAGGATTCTGGGAATAGGTCCTGTTAGGTCCCAGAGCAAGGAAGTTGCAGAAAGATTGTCCCTTGAGGCATGGGATGGACACAGGGTTCCTGCAGACTGCCCCAGGGAGGTCACCACCACCCAAGAACTTGAAATGAGGTTGGGCAGAGGAAAGACCTAGGAGCAAAAGGAACATTCATGAGAGCATCCACAATGGGAGTGTTGCTTCACTGATCTTATCTCATTCAGCCCCAAACCCCAGGAAGGATCACTGGGATTCAGGAGGGTGGCGGCACTGGCCCTGGTCACACAGGGGGGACAGTGGTGCAGCTGAGCTCTGCCCTCAAGACTCTCTGACTTTGGAGTTCAATATCCTACTGACTTTGTGCCATTACTTCCCACCACCAAGGCAATCTCAAGGCAGAGAGGGTGGTCACTGCAGCCAGGTGTTAAAGGGGCAAAGCCTTGGTCCCAGGACTGTGAAATCAGAGCATCCGGGGGTGGGGCCAGGCACCTGCAGGTTTAGCAAACACACAGCATTTCAGAATTCTCTCCCTCCACCAGCCAGCCATGAAGAAGGTGGACACAGAGGGCCGAGATGGAACAGCAGCACATGGAACCAGGTCTAGCCCTCAGAGGGGACCTCATAGGGAACCGCACCCTCTCCTCTTAGAATACACAGCTCATGATCCAGAGGGCCTGAGGGGCTGCCCTCCCAGGGGCCTCCCAAGTGGCCCTTCTGCGCTCAGTTTCTGTCCTGAGCCACCATCCACTGCAGTTCACCGAATCCCCACTCCAGGTTGGCCCGGAGCTGGAGTGAAACAGGAAACAGATGACTCCAACCCATCCCTGCCCTCAGGGAGCACCCAGTCTGGAGAGGCTCAGACATGAACATGAGCAATTATACAAAGCAGCCTGCTGACTGCATCTCCCTCTGAAGGACAAAAGGGGCTCTCTAGAACACAGACTCAAGTGTTTAACAATGACAAACGCAAACATGTTTGCATGATTACTAGCTAGACATTGTGCCAAGTCCTTCACGTGGCTCAGTTTATCCCTGCAATGATCCTATGAGATAAGCCACTGCTCATCACCCCATTGTACAACTGCAGAAACTGAGACTCAGGGTGGTCAAGGGCCTTGCCCAAGGTCACCTTGCTGGTTGGGCAGAGAGTTGAACCCCAACATCTGACCCTCCCAGAGCCCCTGAGCTTTACTGTCACACCATGCTGCCTGCAGAAACAAAGTTGTAAATGACAGGTAATGAAAATTACCCCACCAAGGCCCAGCCTAGATTAATTGGGTTTTAGGGCCCAGCTTCCAAACCCAACCAACTGAAGACACTCTGGGGTGACATTAGGCACCAGTGACCAGCTTGCACACTGATCCCAGAGCCTAGCCAGCTGGAGTAGGTGGCTAACAAAAGGGTGTGGGCCCTGAGTAGGGTGATTAGAGAGAGGGAGGGGGACTCTAATCAGGGACCCCACATGGCAACAGGCAAACCTTTTGTCACATCATGCCTTCCCCTCCCCAGGCACTGAGCTCAGGAAGGTAGACACAGGGCTGCTGAAATGCCACATCCTCGAGGCAGCCTTTCCAAAACATTCTCCAGCACAGACTTTCAGGCAACACCATATGGCAGCCCTAATTATCTCATCACGAGAATTTAGGATAGACAATCAGACAGACATAGATTCAAACCCTGGTTCTGTTTACTGTTTCTTTTCTTTTTATTGAGACAGAGTCTCACTCTGTCACCCAGGCTGGAGTGCAGTGGCATGATCTTGGCTCACTGCAACCTCTGCCTCCGGGGTTCAAGAGACTCTCCTGCCTCAGCCTCCCATGTAGCCAGGATTACAGGCACACACCACCACGTCTGGCTAATTTTTGTATTTTTAATAGAGACGGGGTTTCACTACATAGACCAGCCTGATCTCAAGTGATCCACCCATCTCAGCCTCCCAAAGTGCTGGGATTACGGCGTGAGCCACCGCGCCTGGCCTGTCTACCCTTTCCTAACTGTCATTTAACTTTTCCGAGCCTCAGTTCCTTCATCTGTCCAATGGGCTAATCCTTCCTGCCTCCCAAGGCTATAGTTCTCAGTACTCTGCAGGCCTTTAGGAGTATTTGATGGGCAGAGAGAGGAGTAAGTGAGACAGAGTGAAGGCAAAGTGATGCACATAGGTACAGGGACTCTGTCTCCATAGATCCTTGGGTGAAAACACAGAGAGATGGGCCGGTGTGGAGGGTAGAAGCAGGTCTCTAACTACAAGAACTTGGGGGTGGGGAGTCTTCTTGGCTGAGAGCTAGCTGAAGGCAGCTCAGCCCAGGTGAGAAGGAGAGGGCAGGGCAGGGCTCTGTGGGGCCTCAGCCCTCTCTGAAGTTCTTCTCCCTCACCTGTCTCTTCCCTTCTGTGAGGGTCCCTATCTCTGTCTGTGGCTCCCTGGAGCCATCCCCTCTTCCTTGTCACTCCCTGTTTCTGTGATCATCCAAGTCTCTCCCTTTAACATCCTGAGAGCCTTGGAATACCCAGAGTGTCTGAGGCAACCTCACCCAGCCCACAGGCCCCAGTCTCCAGCGTACTGAGCCCTCTCCATGACGGGAGCCCAGCTCCTGCAAGGGGTGGCCCTGAGAGACCCACTTCCATGGTCTACTGCGGAGATCTGGGCCTGCCAAGCTGGGAATAAAGGGGCTGTGCTTCCCACAGAGGGCCCCTGGTTCCCAGGCAGGGAAGCGGCCATTTAACCAGCCCAGACACTTGGCAGCTCTGGCAGGAACACTGGTAACAAAAGGAAACCGGGCCTGTCAGGGCTCCCTCCCCAGGGCTCCCTGGGCCTCTCCTCTGAGATTGCTGAGGGGCTTGGGCAGAGCAAGGTACAGAGCGGGGAGTGAGAGAGGCCGGGACAGAGAGACTAAGACACAGATAGACTCAAGGGTGAAGGGAGCCTCTGGTCCCCTGGAGCACCAACCTGCAGACCCTGAGGCCCTGTCAGGTCTCACCAGGAAGTCTAGGGGAGCCTGCGGTGAGGCCGGCCTGGAAGTGCAGGCCCTGCTGACCCAGGAGGATCCCACACCCACCCCTGGAGCCAGGCCAGCTTCCCAGCTCCTGCTCTGGGGCCACCCCAGAGGTTGCCCTGCATGTCCTGCCTCCCCTGTGACCTCCGAAGGAATGGGCCCACCCTCTAGCCTCACCCACCCTGCCCCCTCTCTACCTCCCATTAACAATGACCCTTCCCCAGCACATTTTTCTCAGCCTTGGCCTCCCCCATATTCTAGGAGTGGCGGCACTGTGCCCTGGGAAAAAGCCTGTTACCCCACCAAATGTGATTCCTGAGCAGGCTGCTGGCCAGGTCTTTATGATGAGAAAGGGCACTGCAGTGCTCTGGTCCAGCCATTCTGAGCCCCCTAAGGAAGCTGAGGCAGACAGAAGGGACCTGACCTCAGCTGGCAGCGGCTAAGACAAAATGAACATCTGGGTCCCAAACAGCCCCATCCAATCCCCTCCACTAGAGCAACTCAGGGCCATGGGGAGGAAGAGAGAAGGGGAATGAGCCCAGCCAGCTCTAGGCTGTGATCAATCACTCCCCTTTCCCAAACCTCAGCTTACCTATCTGTGCAGTGGGGACAGTCCCTATGCCAGCTCCTAATGCAGGGTGGAAATCTGGGACCCCATCCCCCCTGGTCCAGTCCTGGACCTAGCCATCCGCCGGCCTCTCCTCTTCCCAGGGCCAACCAACTTTCCATTGCTGATGGATTTAGCCAAGAATTTGACATCCACTGAGAGCTGGGGCAGGCAGAGAGGATAGTGAGTCCAGCTGTGGGCCTTGGGCGAGTTCCCCTCTCTGAGTAGTAACGGTTCATTCCTGTCCTAGAGGGAGGTGTGTGGTTTGAGTAGCAAAACACACAATAAAGGGAAGTGTGGTGATCATTATTGCCGTGAGAAGGCCCTGGGCCACATGGAGCTGGAAGGGGGGTGTATAGATGTACAGACAGAGGTGAGAAGGAAAGGTGCTAGGCGCTATAGGAAGGGGTCTGTCCCCAGGGGCCAGGCATGGGACATGTGGCAACACCATCGTGGTCTCAGACAGAACCAGGCAGGGCCTCACACCTGGGCTGGCTCCCTGGCTCTCTTCCCACAGGAATATAGGAGCTCAGAGAGAGGCTGCCTCCTTCCCTGGGCGACCCAGCAAACCAGGCACTGCACTAAGAGATATGGGCCTGGAGAGCCTCTGGGTGTCCAGAGGAAAAGGGGACTATTTGTTCCCCAGTAGGAAAATTGATATGTAAATAAGCAGCCACTGGCCTGACCCAAGCCTCCTGGGAGGCCGCCCTCAGGTCGCCTGGGCCCCATCCCCTGGTCTCCTGTTTGCCGATCATGTGTGATCCTGAGAACACAGGAGACAGAGTATCTCTTTCTACAGATCTGGAAATTGAGGCTCAGGGGGGTTAGTAACGTGCCCAGGGAGGGTCACAAGTTGGAACTGGCAGAGTCTGATTAAATCAGCTGATTCTGTCCCTGTGCCCAGTCCTTGGCCCATTATCCGCCGAGGACACCCCCTACCTAGAGCTACCTATAGTTCAGGCCTTAGGCCAAGGCCCAACCCGGCGCCCTACTCAAGCGGGTTGGGGTAGGTGGAGGCAGAACATAGCCTGAGCCCACTGCAGGGAAGATGAGGGACTGGCATTTCCTGAGTACCATGAACCCCCAGGCACCAGTGCTAGATGTTTTGCACTTTATCTCCTAAAAGTATCAGAAGCTATCAACGAGGAAAGTAGCTTCCTTACTTTTCGACGAAGGAAACCAGGGTTCAGAGAAGATAAGTGACTTGCTGAAAGTCACAAGCCTGAGAGTTACAGGTCTGAGGCTAACCTTTCCCTAGCATGCATAGACTCAGCTGCATGCCCTGCCAGACCCTGCAGGGGCTTGGACCCACACCAGCCACAGGCCCTGCTCTCATGCCTCACTGGGGAGTTAACCAACCCGGTCAGCCAGTTCACCCACTGCACAGAACCCGAGAGAGTTGAGTCGGCTTGGCCAGAGGAGCAAGTCTTCCCTGAGGGAAGAAGGTGGCTGGAGCCAGGTGTAGAAGAATGAGGAAGACAGGAGGAAGTGATGGCATTCAGGTGAAACTGCAGGGCCCAGGCACCCATGTGTGAGAGTCTGGAAAATTCTGCATGATACATTTTAGAGGACAAGCACAGTTCCCAGGAGAAGCAAGCAGCCGAGCTGGGAGGAAAACCTGGGCTGAACCCCTCCTTCCCCACAGCACCAAGGACCTCACGTGCAAGGCCTGGGCAGGAGTCAGAAACAGAGACAGCCTGGACTACCCTATCTTGCCTCCCCATGGGTTCTTGGCCAACAGCGAAGATCCCAGGCCAGCCCTTCCTGGGATCCTGGGCCCCTTGTACCCAGGACCCACCAGCCCAGCTAAGAGCTCTGGGATCCTTCATCCTAAGGCTGAGAATAGAGAGAAAGAGTTCTCCCGTCTTAGGGGCTGGGCTCAAGATGGGCAGCAAAGACAACCCAGGTTCCAGTCTTAGCTCTTGTACCATCCCTCAACTGCCCACGGGATCCTGGGCAACTCCCTGCCCTGTCATCCTCATCCTCTGTGAAAATGGGCTTAGTAATAATGCCCGCCCTATTTCACAGGGTGCTGGAAGGCTTGAGGGACGGAGAATAAGTACATGAGAAAATGTCCACTGCCAAGAGCTGTAAAGCATAAGGGATCATTATGAGAAAGGAGGACTCAGATGTCCCAAACTGGGCAGTGACTTGCCCCCAGGCCACACAGCCAGGCAGCAGCAGAGCAGGATTTGAAAGGGGTCTCCCGGTGACCAGCCAGTGCCCTCCCACTGCAAGACCCTGAATCCCAAGAGAGCTTTGACCCTTGGGCTGACCGTCTCTGCGTGGATGGCGGGTGGGGCAGAGGCTGCTTACTCCACATCCCGGCTCCCTCCAGAACAGGACCTGCTGCCATCCCAGACCAGACCCCAGCCTTGAGTTTGAAATCAAAAGCCCAGCTCTGCCCCTTTCAGTTCTGTGAACTTGGGTAAGTTGTTTTACCTCCTGGACCCTCAGTTTCCTCATCTGTACAATGGGACCTGATGTTAACCCCTACCTGGGGTGGCTGACCTGACATTATGGCTGCAAAGTGTCCAGGACAGGGCCTGGTACACATTAGATGCTCAACAACTGAGGCTTTTCTCTTTTCCCTCTGTTGTGCCTGCCAGACGAAGCCCAGGCTTGACAGGAGAAAGTTCCTGGCTTCCTAGAAAACCTGCCCAGAACAATAACTGGGAACATAAACTGCTGGAGAACACTAGACCTTGGAAGAAGATCACGTTACTGAAGTGTCAGTCAGGGGATAAGAAGTGGAGCAAGATCCTAGCGCAGAGATGGTGTGGAGGAATCTGCCTCCCCAGGCCTCTCACTTGGGGCCGGTGCAGTGTTCAGGGAAGGCATCTCTGCTTCCGCACCAGACCTGCACTGGAGAAGTCAAGGTGGGGAACGTGACAGCGCCAGGGTTCCAGTACTAGCCCTCCTACTTTCAACATCCTTAGACACAGCATGTCACTTGTCAGAGACTCAATTTTCTTTTCCGTAAAACGGGGATGCTGATAATCCTCTTGTCCTCCTGCACAGAAAGTTCCCAATATATACAAAGGACACATGGGAGAAGGGGTGGTGAGGTGGGGGTAGGAGGGGAAGGTGAGTTCAGGCCTCACAAGATGAGCCTTTATTAAACAGGACAAGGTTCCTACTGTCAGCAACACCAGGAGCTGAAACTCACCACAGAACCCCACCCTGCCCCATCCCACTACTTTACTGGTACCCAAAGTGTGGTCCAGGGCCAGCAGATGCAGCGTCCCCTGGGAACGTGTTAGCAATGCACATTCTCAGGCAGTACCCCAGACCCACAGAATCAGAAACCTGGGGGTGGGGCCAAGCAATCTGTGCTTTCATAAGCCATCCAAGGGACTGATGCATGTCAGAGTTTGAGAACCACTGCAACACCCACCACCTACTCTGGAGAAACTTTCCCCCACTGACTCATCTTCCCACCTCCTCCTTTCCAGGAGACTGTTGGGGAGGAAGGAGTCACTGTGGGGAGAGGTCATTAAATAGTAAAGAGAGCCCATGATTAGTTAATGACACCACAGGCTCCCAGAGAGGAGAGGGTCAAAATCAGACTGTAATTGAAGAGAAAACACTCCCCTATATCTATCTGCCTTTCTCCATCTCCTTCTCTTTCACAGATACACATACCCTAAAAGCCTGCTCCTCCTCCTCCTGTGGGTAGGCCAACTAGCACCAGGGACAGACAGAACGCTCCCCCACCAGTAGGGCTGAAGCGAAACTGGGAGACTGGTTATGGTGGGAGATTCTGGTCCTCTGACCTTGAGTTTAAAAACCATCTGAGCTGGAAAGCCACTTCTAGAAATTCATTCCATGGAGCTCATTAGAGTTGAGTACAAAATATACATAGGGACAAGGCGATCATTATAGCAATGTGGATACTAATGAAAAATTCAAAGGGCCTAAATGTGCAATGGCTGGGGAATGCTTAACCAGGTCACAGAAGATTCCTATGGTGCAATACTACAGAGCTGGGAAACTTGCTGGAGAAGAATGCTCAATCACATGGGAAAACCCTCCCTATACAGCACTCAGTCAAAAGTGGCAGTGCAGGAAGTGGTTTGTGTGGTACAATCCCAATCTTGTATGTGTGTGTCTTTAAGGCCAAAACACCAAACTGCTCACGGCAGTTATCTCTGAGCAGTTATTTCCTCCTGCAGGTCTGTTCTTTACCGCCTGAATTTTTCCACACACACAAAAAAAACCCTCTTTCTTCAATAATCAGAAAGTTTGGGGGGTTTTTTGGGGTAGCCATTTGGTTTAGATAAAGTTTTTAAAAGAAAAATCTCCTTCCTATGTCAGAATCGCTGGCCTGGGGTCTTCTGCTACAAGATTTGGTCCCACCAGGGTGTTTCCACATTGTGTGTAATTCCAACAAGCAAGATCAGGATCAAAATGGGGAAGCCAAGGGTGGGTGGGTTTGCTCAGATTCTATCCCCTATTTTCTAAGAGTCAGTTCTTTCCAGAAATAAAAAATCATGAGCTTTCCAAGCCTTGAGGTGTGCGAGCAAAGGCTGGATGTGGTCCATGGGATCAGACTGGGCAGGTAGGTTGACTGGATGGACCACAGAGCTTCTCACAACACCAAGATCCTGTGACTCTAGACGTAAGCCCTCAACTTTGCCCTCAACTCTATGCCAAGAGCACCCAGCTCAAGGCTGGGTTCAGATAGTCTGGGGACCAAGACTACAGAGAATCTAAGTCTTCTGCTGACCCCCCAGCAGAGCTTCAAGCAACCCCGGAAAGCTCCCTCACTCCAGATCAGGGACCTCAGCCTTCGGACAGGAAGACTCCCTATCATTTCCCCAGAAGTAATGACAGGAGCAGCCTTTGCTCATCATCACCACCCTTAACCTCTGGCTTCATTGAGGGTGCACTCTTCCCTGGGCCTGCCACGAAGCATTTTACCAGCATTATCTCATTTAATCCTCATAAAAACCAAGACTCTGAGAGGCCAAGAAACTTGCCCAGAGGTGAACAGACACTGTGCCCATAGCTAGGCCTGGCTGACATCAATGCCTGAGAAGCTAGAACCCCAAGCTGTAGGCACAGCCCCAGTGTTTCCCTGACTGCAACTTGCAGGGATGGTTAGGGATTCCTGATAGGCACACATTTTGAGAACCACAGTGCCATGCCATACCGTCTCCTGGCAAACAAGGAGACTTGCTCAACCATGCCAGGAGAGGGTGTGGGGCAGAGAAAGCAGATAAGAGGGGCTTTCGGATGGAAAATAAGTGACTAGTTCAGAGTAGAGGACACATCCTCCCTGCCTCAGTTACTCCACTGCTGTGTGTTCAGAAAGGCCAGGGGTCAGGGAGGTGGGCTATCTACATGTCCAAAGGTGACTCAAGGCCTAGACACCCACTTGCTCCATGACCTCAGATAAATCAAACCTCCCCTGCCAAGTTTCTATTTCCTCTATATACGATGATGTCTCATAGGTCCCACTGCAAAAGCATTCTTATATTCCACCTTTTAAGACAGTGAGTGGGAGGTGGTTTTCCAACTGTACTAGTATAATTTACCAATTGTTATTATCAGCAACAACAAACATTTATTGAGTGCTTACGTCATACCAGGTATCATTCAAAACGGTTTATGTGTACACGTGGGAACACATACTCCCCTCTCCGTTTGTTTCCCAGTGGAGGGACCTCTGCCAGGGAAACACCTCAGGCCTCGCTCTGCGCTCCCCTACCAAATCCCCGCTTCACGCCACGCCCTGGGAGGCTTATGATTGGTTCGTCTTAGAGACACATAGGGCAGACTCAGTGGGGCCCCGCCCCTCGCAGAGCCAAATTGCCCGCAGGGAGAGTTCTGTCTGGGCTGTTCTCTGCTCCTGCTACCTGGTCCTGCAGGAGGCTGCCTCCTGTCCAGCACGTCCTGTGGCGGGACGGGTAACTCTGCCAGGTCCAGGACAGGCCAGTCAGCAAGCCCTCTGGACCCCAGATGTAAAGCCACCTTCTTCCACCGGCTTCCATTTAGAGCTCCATATTCAATATGTGTTTAGCTCATTTAACCCTCACAGCAGCCCATCCCTATTTCACAGATGAGGAAACTGAGGCTCAGAATGGTCATTAAGGAACTTGATCTCAACTACTGTTCAAAAGCTTTCTACACACCACCCAACGCTCAGGGTGTGCCCACCGCATGGGAAGGCGGATTACACTCCTATTCATATCTAACTCTTGTCTCCCAGCCTGGGCGGCTGCGGACAATGGACGCTCCTACCATAGGCACTCCCTCCAAGTCTTCTGAGGCTTGTCAAATTGATATTCACTTCAAACCAACATCCCATCCCTCCTTCGAAAAAAATATGATTTATTCACAAAAAGAACTTCAATATGATCCCAAGTTCATATAATACATTTTTGTTCAAATATGTGTGGTATGTTTTTTATAGCTTCATTGTATGAATGGGTTTTTTCTTGAGCATAAAAAAATATGGGCTCACTGTAGATTTGGAAAATAGGGGAAAGTAAAAAGATAATAAAGGTCTGTAATCTAATCTATATAATTGTATTTCGTAACGGGTACGTTACATGTAGTTGCCTGTATTTTGGCCTGATAGAGTAGAGTTGTAGGGGAGCAGCTCTGCCATTCAGTCTCTGCAATGCTTTAGGGCAGCAGCTGGGACCTGCCCACACTACAGCCTTCCTTCCTTCCTAGGCTGCAGGAGAATAAGCCAGGCCCCCAGGAGTCCTTCCCCTGAATAAAACCCTGCAGCCGTCCACTGTGGCATCACATGTGCCTCACTTACAAAAGCCAAGTGCAGCAAATGCAAGATAATATAGTTTTGTAGCCCAAGAAGGGCTATAACTTACCCAAGATAACACAGCAAGTAAAAGATGAGCTGGGAACGGAGCCCAGGTCCCCTGATCTCCAGACTCAAGCTCTTCAAAGACTTACATCCTGCTTCCTATTAACAGCACTACCAAAAACACCGAGCACAGTAGATCATGCCTGTAATCCCTTTGGGAGGCCAAGGCTGGAGGATCACTTGAGGCCAGGAGTTTGAGAGCAGCCTGATCAATATGGTGAAATCCTATCTCTACTAAAAATACAAAAATTAGCCTGGTGTGGTGGTGCATGCCTGAAATTCCAGCTACTCAGGAGGCTGAGACACGAGAATCACTTGAACCCGGGAGGTGGAGGTTGCAGTGAGCCAAGATTGCACCACTGCACTCCAGCCTCAGCAATACAGTGAGACTCTGTCTCAAAAAAAAATAAAAATAAAAATAAAACACTACCAAAAGCAGCAGGAACATATATAGCACTAACTATGTGCCAGGCGCTGTCTTAAATGCTTCATATGCATTAGCTCATATATCATTCTCAAACAACCCTATGAGATGAGTACTATTATTGTCTCCATTTTATAGATGCTGAAACTGATGCACAGAGCGGTAAGACACAAAGTCACGCCTAGCTGGTAAGTAGCAGAGGCGGGAATCATCCTTAGGCAATTTGATTCCAGAGTCTGTGATCTTGCCCAGGCTTTCTTCCCCACTCCCCCAGGCCCAAGCCCAGCTGGGACTCAGGAAGGCTTCTGGAACACTTGCTGCCTAAAAGGAAGAAAACCTGCCTAGAAGTCACCTCTCTGGCCAAGGTCATGCTGTAGCTCCATGGCAGAGCCAGGATTTGAACCCGGGCTTCCTAATGCCCAACTACCAGGGCATTGTTCACTTCTCCACATTGACACTGAGAGCCAAGGCCCAGAACTCTGAACAACTCCCACACCAGATCACCCTTCCACACAGCAGGGAAAGTCAAGTTGCGGGGTGGGGCGGCGGAGAAGAGGCAAAAGCTTCTGCTGCAGGGTAGGAGGTCAGAGGGGAGAGTGGGGCTTCCCAGAGCTGCCCACCTGGGGGTCTGCATGGATGATGTCCAGGATGGGCTTCCTGGAGGCCACCGTCCCATTTCTCCAGGCCCCAGCTTGAGTCCCCACAGGATAGCAGCACCTTCCACAAACAATTGTTGACTCCAAGATGCTCTTTCTGGCTGAGTCAGAGTTCACTAAAGGCCAGAGTGGCCCCTTCCTGGGTTAGGACTGAAGGAAGTCATGCTGTTCCCCTCTCAGGAGGGTAATAAAGGCCAGGCATCGGAAGAGAAGCAGAAGCTCTGCTGAAAGCAATTCCAGGACAGACGGTGCATTCCCATCTCCCTGGATCCAGGTTGCAGAAGTGCGGCCCACAGGCCTGAAGCACCAGGCAGTGGCATCCAGGTCCTGCTTCCCGGCTCCACTTTGCCAAGGAGTCACCTGGTATGTGGTACCAAGCTAGGTACTGCTGATACCCCCGGCCTCACCCAAGAGAACCACTAACCTATTCATTCAGTCATCGATCCCCAAGTGCCTGCTGTATGCCAGGAATCAGAGATACAGACAGGACAGGGCAGTGCCTGCCCAGGAGAGCTCATGGAAACACATCATACACCACAAAGTGGCAGGATCAAAGAGGAGGGTACACAGTGTAGACAAGCACAGAGGAGAAGGTGAAGGGCAATGAGGGGCTTGGGAAAGGCAGCCAAGCACAGAGGAGAAGGTGAAGGGCAATGAGGGGCTTGGGAAAGGCAGCCAGAGATGTTCAGACCTACTGCCCCTCAGGAAGCTGAGCGTCACAGTGAGGAGACCCAGCCACCCCCAGGAAGAGCCAGAGAGCCCCACATAGCCAGACATGACTGGCGTCTTGGGGCACACACATATTGGAGAGGCACAGAGGCCCTGTGCAGAAGGAAGGTGTTCTGGGAGTGTCCCTGGGGGCCTGAGAAGGAGCCTGGCACCAGCCTTGAAAGACCAACCAGATACAGCAAACAACAATGGCTCTCCTTTATTGAGCATTTACTATGTGCTAGGTATAACAATACTAAGCATTTCATGTGCACTTTTTTGTCTTCTCCTCATGACCTATGAAGTCATGACCATTATTATCCCCATTTGCAGGTTCAAAAACTGAGGCTCAGAAAGAGTCACGTAGCCAGAAATTGGCAGGGCCGAGATCTCAACTCTAAAGTCCAGTGCTTTACCGCCATGCTGTACCATCATCTCCCTAATCTGTTAACAGGCAGAAAGAAGATAAAGGTGCTTCAGGTGGGGGAAACAAGGTAAAAATAGGGAGGTAGGATCAAGTGCTCTTTGAGGGGAGCTGCCCAGCTCCTCTGTGTTGGGGTTGTATTTGTGTGTGTGCGCATGCCTGAGTATGGGTGGGTGTTCACAGACATGCCCTACTTTGCAAAGGATAGATCCCAGGTCCCAGAACTCCCCGAGAGCCAAGGAAAGAATGGGGCATCAGCAAGTCAGGGAAGGAATCCCAGAGAGAAGGAACTTATCTAAGGTCACACAACATACACACAGCAGAGCAGCAGCCAACTCCAAGGACCAGAACACAGGTCTCTTTCCTCCATCAGCTGCCTGTCCATGTCAGCACAGTGAATCAGCTGCTGACAGGAAAACCACAGTGGAAGGGGAAGCCCGGGGGTGAGTCAGGAACCAGCCAGCCTCCGAGAGACACCAGCTGGGCCTGTTGCAGAGGCCCCGGGTCTGTGGTTGTCTGCCTCTTCTTAGGGCAGCATCAGGGGCGAGGGGAGCAACACATCCCACACCACTCACTCCATGTTTACCTCTGGGCTTCCCCTCCCAGCTCCTCAGACCCCGGCTTAGTGGAGGGGAAGCGGGTGGGTAGGGCAGTTCCTGCTGAGATTAAACGGGTCCTGTCCCACAGAGGGGCCCAGGCCAAACAGTCCAGGCTCTTCCCTCCCTTCCCACCTCTCACAGAGCCAGCTCCTGGCCGTTTGATGTTCTTGATTAAGTCATAACCGCCCCCTGTGAGCTTCCCATGGGGCAGAGGAAGTGGGTATAACGGTTTGGAGCAGAAGGCCAAGGCCAAGGTCAAGCCAGAATCAGGGGTGCCAGCTGGCCCCAGATGCTCCGAATCTGAAACAACACTCAGAACTTGGGGCTGCTCAGCCATGGGTTGAGGGAGGACTGTCTGGTCCTTAGGGGAACAGGTTTGGGTCCCCAGGGTGGAAGGGGATGGCCGGTGGGAGCTTCCAGGCTGTGGCTCTAAAGCGTGAGGCCTCAAGACAGAGGGGGCCGCCCCCACATAGCGGAAACTTCAGAGGAGCCCAGGGAAGCCAAAATCCTGCCCCAGTCCCCCTACTGTGGGAAACTTGTGCCCTGACTGCTCACCCACTGCCAGAGATAGCACATGGCTGACCTCTCACCCCTATCCTCCCTGGGCTGGGATGGGAGGGAGGGATCAGCAGGCACTTCTTCTAACCATCCCGCCCCCGACCCCCAAACTTACTGCTGGCTGGCACAGGCTCCCACCTTTCGGCCCAGATGCCTCCCCTTCATGGGCAAACCCCTCTGTAGCATTCATCACCCTCCCAGCAACCCCGCCACTCACCCAATCCAGCCACCTTCCTGAGACCCTGCTATGTACCAGACAGGATAGGGAGGAGAAAGAAGTGCAAATGTGCTGGAACAGTCCCCTCCCACCCCTCCAATGGTGCCTTTGCTCTCCCTGTGGCTGGTGTCTCTTCCTTCACTCCCAGTTGCAGACATCCCCAAAGCCACCCAGACCCCTTCTTCCCAGTCACTGCAGCCATTGGTTCATTATCCCTTGACCGCTGGATCCTCCACCCCAGCACATCTGGTACAGACTGACTTTCCTAAAGTGCTGCTCTGTTGTGTCACTCCTCTCCTCAGAAACCTTCAGTGGCTCCCACTTTCTGCAAATCAGATCCAAAGTTCTTATCCTGTCATTCAAGGCCCTCCGTAAGCTGATCCCACCTACTATTCCCACTGCATATCCCCACACGTTCCCAAACTTCAGCCAGAATGAGCAACCTAGAGGTTTCTCGAGAATTCTCAGGACAGGTTGACCTCCCTGCCTCTGCCTAGGCATTTTCCTCTCCTCAAGACACTATCTTCATTCTGGCTGCCGAAATCTTCCCAGTCTGTAAGGCCCTGAAGATCCCTCTAATCCTTTTTTCATTTATCTTCCATCAGAGTCCCTGGTATTCTTGTGTAAGCCCCTTCCCGGATGGTAAGCAACCTGAGGGTGCAGGCCTTATGTGGTCGCTTGTCATTCATCGAGCAGGAAGTGGGGGTGGTGGTGGGGAGGGCTTTCCATTAAGGCTCACTAGGTAGGCTCTGTTGAAATGAACGTCTCCTCCTCCCCACCTCAGGCACCACCTACCAGACCCTCTCCCTCCCCACCATACCAAACTCCAATTTATGCCACTTCAGTGCTTGAAGAGACTGTGGTCCCATGTTGATCCAAGCCAAACCAGGACCAGGAGCCCAGAGAGAAAGTCCTATTCAAGTCTCACCCCCTCCAGGAAGCCTCCTTACCCCCACCCCCTGCCCTGGCTTCTCAAGTGTCTCACTCTTCTGAACACCTCCCCCTGCCCTACATACACACACAGTCTCCTGCACACAGCGCAGCCGCCAGTCCGTCTCTGTCCCACAGCACTTTCCAGTTTGTTCCATACTGTACAGCTTATCTCCCAGAAGATGCAGGGAGCCAATATAATGCAGCACCTTCAGCGTCCTTCAGTGTCCAACCCTGCTTAGATATCGGGTGCCCACATTGCCCCTCGCCCCCATCCCAAGCCAAGTGTGCAATGGTATAGCTGGATTCCAGCCACCAGGGCAGAACAGACCCATGAAATCTCATCTGGTTATAAGCCCTGGGTGTGACTGATCCTCTCTACAGGGACATGGTAGGGATGGGGGAGCCCTCATTGTCAGCAACTCAGGCCTGGCTAGTTCACCTCTGTATCCTCTAGCTCTCTCTAGCATATAGTAGGTGCTCAGTAAACATTTTTAGACTTATTTAACTCAACACTTACCAACCTCAAGCAACATTACAGAAAACTCAGCCACTCTTTGTTCCAGATGACACAGTCCTCATCCCTCAAATAGAGTGATGTTGGTGGCAGGTGGCAATTTCTGGCTTTCACAAGGTCAGGAGGGGCTGTAGCCAACCCCATCTCTCCAAGAAAAAAAAAAGGCTCATTCCCCATAGGAAGCAAGCCCATCACCTGCCCACCCGCATCAAAGCAGCTGTCACAGAGGGAGGTCTCACTGGTTTCCTGGCACCTTGCTAAGTAGTGTATACACATTATTCTATTTAGTGCTTGCTCCTGCTATTGGATATTGTCATTATCCCCATTTTACAGGTGAGGAAACTGAAGTTTGGAGGGGGAATGGAATCCAAATCAGTTTGATCCCAAAGCCCAAGCCTTGACCACAGAACTATGCTGCCCCGCTACTGGGGCCCAGCACAGAGCACCCACCACCTCCAGGAACAGAACCCGTCAGCCAAGAAATTAACCCCGGGTATGCTTCAAGGGCCCCTGGGGCCCTGGGCTTGACCCTGGGCCCAAGGATTGGTGGGGTTTTCCCTTCTCTTCCCCACTCACCAGTGTAAGAACTGTTCCCCAGTTTCCAACCTCCTGCTCAGGCCAGCTCACCTGGAAAAGCCCCACTGAGTTTCCAACTTGAAGTCTTAGGGGGTCCGGCTCAGTTGAACTGTTAGAATTGGTGGGAAGCAGGTGAGGCGGGAAATGGAACCTCCCTGCTTTGGCCTCCTCTTCCCCAGGGTTGGTGGGTTCGAGCCCCAACCGAGGAAACAGTGCACTCTTTAAAGCAATTCGCTTCTCTCAGTCCCATTTTGCAGGGAGAGAAACTGCAGAGGGCAACGCGATGGGAACACCTGTGGCGACCTGCAGCCTGCTCTCACCTGCCAGCTCTCACCTTCCGGCGTTTTAAGTGAGAAAGGGCAACGGGAGCGTGGAATTCACCTGGTTCACTTCCTCCTGCTGGAACCCGGGAGGTCCAGAGCCAGGTAGAGGGACGGACCCAGGATCACGCAGCTGTGCACGGCCGAGTGTGAGAACTGGGGGTTCAGGACTGGTGGCTAAAGCTCCTTTTCACCCACCAGCTGCCCCGACCTGTCACTAGTTCCGAGGAAAGTTGTCCGAGCCGGACCGCAGAAGCGGGGGCTAAAACTAACTTTGCCTATGGTTGTCCGGCAGGCTACCCCGGCCCGCTGCCCCCTTGCTCACCTGCGGGTTCTGCTTTCTGCTCCGCGCTGCAGGCCCAGCGTCACCCGCTCGTGCCTCAGTCGGCGTCGGACTGCACAGCCCGGGGCTCAGTCACTCCTCGGCCCCCTCCCGGCTGCAGCCGGGGAACGCCGCGGACTCGGCAGGCCCCGCCCCCAGAAGACACGCCCCCTCCGCCGGCCCCGCCCCCGAGCCCTTTGGGAAGGCGGTGCGCTCCCGCCGGCCAGGCCCCGCCCACTATGGCCGTACCCCAACCAGCCTCGCCCCCGGGCCCAGCTGGAGCTGAGGCCCCGCCCCGCTACGGAGTCTCTCCTCTATCCCGGCAGCCCCGCCCCCAGGTTACACTGGGGATTAAGCCCGCCCCGCTCCAGCCCTGTCCACTCACGGCGCTGCCTAACGGTCCCGCCCAGCTCCCGCCTACCTCGTCCTCCCGGTCTCCTCCCGGGCCCTCCCAGCGCCCCCGCCTCCTTCACTTTCTCCTTCGAGCCCACCCCATCCCCCGGCCCTAGTAGGGTGAGGCCACGCCCCTCCCCGCACCAGCCTGGGCTCAGCGCCTTCCTAATCCTGCCCTGCCCTGCCCCTCTCATCTCGGGCGGGTAGCCCTGGGGCCCCCACGCTGGCATTCCAGGGCGGGTGTATCCGGGTGCCGCCGGGGAACGGCGTGGGAGCGGTTTGTGTCCTAAGTCGGGGCCTCTATCAGGAGGCGGCCTGGGCCCAGGAACTTTTTGAAAATACTGACTACCATTGATTGAATCCTTGCCAGGGGCCAGGCTCTATGCCAAGCGCTGAATACAGTTCTAGCCCTTGAATTCCCACAACTCATGGGTACTCTCGTTGCGCCTATTTTACTAATGCGCAGTTTAAGGCTCAGAGAAGGGAAGTCGAGGGCTCTGAATCTCATGGAGGCGGGCGTGAGCGGGATCCAGCCTCAGGTCCTGAGTCACAGGCTTGAGCTGCCCCAGCTTGCCTGGACTGGCCCCTGGGGAAGTAGCCCAGAACAACCAGTGCTGGGGCAGTGCCCAGCAGCTGCCTGAGGTGAGGGAGGAGGTGTGGGTTGATGAGAATAGTGGCAGGAGGGGCTGTGGGCCTAAGCCCTCAAAGCTGGCTTTCTCCCTGAAGAAAAAGTGGCCCAAAATTGAGGTGGGCTGCAAGAGCTCTCTAGGTGGCTGCGGTGCCCACCCTGCGTCCCAGCCCTCTGCCCTCCCAGGCTCCAGAGGACTAGCCTCAGGCAGATTACCTGGTTAATGACCAGGGGCATTCACCTGTGCAGCTGACAAAGCTCTTTCACTTCCATTATCACAATGTCCTCTCACAACACACCGTTGTGGGAGGGTATGATTATGAGCGCTTTGTACGAGTGGAGTAAGGGCGGGAGCTGGATCCCAGCCCAGCACTGTAGTTCTCACAGCGTGGTCCTTGAACCAGGAGCAACATCATCTGGGAACTTGTTAGGAGTGCGTATTTTGAAGCCCCATCCCAACTTACTGAATGGAAAACTGTGGGACAATTGGTTTTAATAAGGCCTCCAGGTGATTCTGAATCACATTCAAGCATGAACCACTGTTGAGCAAACTGTAAAGAAGTCAGGGTGGTCTGAGAATCACACAGACCTAGGTAGCTTCCTGGTTGCGTTTTAAACCCAGGACAAGGCAAGATACTTAACCTCTGGGATGAGCCCTTAAACAGGGAATAATAATAAAATGAGCCATAACAATCATACCGATCTTGATGGTAGCTGTTGAAGATTACATGTGACAGCATTCATAAAGTATTTGGCCCACCGCTTGAATGCCGTACATGCTCAGAAAATGTTCTCTTTTCAGCAAAAAGTCTCCTTCATAGCATTCCCACACCAAGTCAGAAAAGTGAGGCTGGAGAATCCTTTAAACCCAGCAGTGTGTCATACCCGCAGAGAGACACCCTCTATCCTGCAAGTGGTTAAGATCCTAACAAGCTCCTAGATGATGTGGATGCTGGTCCGGGGACCACACTTTGAGAACCACTGTGCCATTCTGTCTTGGGCTGGGTTTCAGATCCCTACCCTACCCAGCCCATGCAAAATGGGCATAAAATTCCTCCTATTCCACCCTACTCCACACCCCGCTCCCTCCGAGCTGGGGGTGTTTGTGATGGTGTATGGCAGATGCTCCTGACAGCAATAACTTGACTTAAGCATACCCTGAGAATGGTCCTGTATGGCAGATGCACCCCAATGTGTGTTTGGAGTTTTGAGCTAAGGAATCCGGGAATGACCAACCTGGAGATTCATTCCTTATCTGTGAGGAACATTTGAACCCCGGCCCATCCTGTGGAATGCAGGGTGTACAGGGGTTCAAAGCTCTTTGTTTGGGGCCAAATGAAGGTTATCAGGTGGGGGTTGTTAGGGGGAGGGTGCTAAGTGAGAGTGATGTATAAACTGCATGCTTTTTGTAAGCGGTTGTGGCTCTCCTGCCCAGCCTGCCATGGGACTGTACAGTTCTCCTGTCCAGCCCACTGCCACCGGCCGTCCCTGTGTGTAAGTTTCCCAATAAAACCCCATGTCCCAGTTGCTGGCTCTGGTCTCTCCTTCAGCCTCTTGAACCTAGTACCATCCCTACTGAAGTTAATAGGGCTCCAGCAGACAGATGGGAACTGGCCATTGGCAAAACAGCTGGATCCCCTCACTGTCCCCTCCCCCCATGAAGACATTCTCTCATATTAGTCCCATCTGCTATCCCTTGCTGCCCTGCCACTCCTGATTAGAGATAGAGGCAGCTGTGGTGACATTGAGAGCAGTCTTCAGGCAGCTTCTAGAATCTCTGCCATACTCCCTGTCATTGTCTGAGTCCCACAGAAGAGTGTCTCCCTGTAGGAGTGCAGGGCCTGGGCACTGGTCCTGTTATGCTGACCTGCCCGAACATGGAGAGCCCAAGTTAAGAGTGCAAATCAAGGACCAGATACCTTGTATCTAAACATTTAACTGACTGTGAAATAAAATGTGTATTCTCCTGCCTTGACAAATGTTCTTTCTAATGACCAGGAAGACCATGTTCAAATTTAGCATTCTTGGACTCTTTAGAATTTTATGCAAGAACATGGCAGTGCGGGAGGATAGCCTGGCCCTAGCCCTCAGCCCACCCACTCCACTTCTCTTCACACTCCATCTCTGTCTTGTGTCACAAGTGGCCTAGGACTCAGGCATGTGGATACTCCAGCCCACACACCCAAACTTTGCCCACACGCCTTGCCTACAGCCACCTCTTCGTCACCTCTCTATGAATGCACATTCCAGGGACAGGATGTACCCTCAGGAGGATGGACCTGGGCAGGCAGCTTTGTAAACCTTAAAACTGGCTGGGGGGCTGAGCACAGTGGCTCACACCTGAAATCCCAGCCCTTTGGGAGGCTGAGGCAGGAGGATTAAAGAGCTCAGGGGCTCAAGACCAGCCTGGGCAACAGGATGAAACCCTGTCTCTACAAAAACTACAAAAATTAGCTGGGTGTGGTGGCGTGTGCCTGTGGTCCCAGCTACTCGGGAGGCTGAGGTGGGAGGATCGCTTGAGCCAGGGAGGCGGAGGTTGCGGTAAGCTGAGATTGCACCACTGCACTCCAGCTGGGCAACAGAGCAAGACCCTGTCTCAAAAAACAAAACAAAACAAAACAAAACAAAACAAAACAAAACAAAAAAACTGGCTTGGGCTGGATAGGCAGTCTAGGTTTTTAAACACCCAAAGCATGATCAAGGTCAGGTGTGGGCTCTGGGTGGCCACAGGTGCCCTCTTGTCCAGGTCTATGGTGACATTGCCATTTGGCCTTGTCTCCCCAGCTTCTAGCACATGCCTGGAAGCTTAAGGGACAGTTGTTGAGTAGATGTGCATCTGAGTCTAACTTAGTCCATTTTCTGTTGCTATAACACAATACCATAGGCTGGGTAATCGATAAAAGAATTTTATTTTGTATAGTTCTGCAGCCTGGGAATTCCAAGGTTGAGAGGCTACATCTGGTGAAAGCCTTCTTACTGACTCATCACATGGTGAGAGGGCAAGGGCATGCCACCGCAGGTCTCTCTTCATCCTATTATAAAGCTACCAGTCCTCATCATGAGGGCCCCATCCTGATGACCTTATCTAATCCTCCCAAAGGCCCTACCCCCAAATACCATCAACATATGAATTTGGGGATTCAGTTTCCAATACATTCAAACCATAGCAGAGTCATTCACTGAAATATCACATTGGGTTGGCTCCCTCAGCATTGTCCCTATCCCCTCTCTTCCAGCAGAAGGCAAGCTTTGTCATGACTCACCTTGGGCATTTTGCCAGGCAGAAAGCGCAGACACTTCTAGTGAGACTCTACCTCTAGTCCATTCTAGAGGTGGAGCCAGGAGTTCTGGAGGTGGGAAAAGGGGTGAGAAGAACCACCCTAGAAAGCCTTGAGAGAAGATATCCATGGCCAACTTGGAGATGGGGAAGACGGTGGTGTGGCAAGACCTCAGAGAGGTATGGCTATAGGATTGCCAGGCTCTCAGAAGATTCCCCCACCCCAAAGGTGGAAGATGAACAGCTGAGCAGGAGACTTCAAAGAACTTGTAGGCAAGAACATGGGGGCCAGTTCCCTGTTAGTGTCTGGGCCTAGGTTAAGGCCCCAAGACTTTTGCACATCTCTGGTGGAGGAAGGTAAAGAGAATGAGTGCGGGTATCTGTTTCCTACTGTTATGTAACAAACCATCCCACTCATTTATTTTGCCCATAAATCTGCAGTTTGGGGTGGGCTCAGCAGCAACGGCTTATCTCTGCTCTACGCAATGTCAGGTGGTTCAATTGGAGGTTGGGGATCCATTTTCAAGATGGTGTACTCACACACCTAGCAAGTTGGCACTTGCTGCCAGCTGGGAGGTCAGCCAGAGCTGTGGAGGCCTTTGGTCCTCTCCATGAGGCTGCTCCACAGGTTGCTTGAGCTTCTTCATAATTTGGCTGCCGGTTTTGAAGAACAAAGACTCACTTAGAAGTGCATGGCATTTTGTGACCTAGCCTTAGAAGTCATATAGGATCACTTCCTTTGCATCCTATTAGTAGAAGCAGTCACCAAGGCCCTGGTTCAAGAGCAGGGTACATAGTCTCTTTCTTAACCAGGGGGTAACAAAATTCTAGAAGAGTTTTCAAGAAAGGAGATATTGTTGCAGCCATCTGTGAAAAATACAATCTGCCCCAAGCGAGTCCTCAGAATGACTGGAGGAGGGTTTCTCTGATGGGAGCTGAGAGTTCAAACTCAATTGATTGTTTTAAAAAATGGTATACAGTATGTATCACACAAGCATTTGTGCACAAATGAATAAGAAGTTCAGCAGTGGACAACTGGTCTTGAGTAGCTGGATGTCTTTTTTTTGTTTTTTTTTTAGATGGAGTCTCACTCTGTTGCTCAGGCTGGAGTGTGGTCGTGCGACCTCGGCTCACTGCAACCTCTGCCTCCCAGGTTCAAGTGATTCTCCTGCCTCAGCCTTGTGAGTAGCTGGAACTACAGGTGTGTGCCACCACGCCCAGCTAATTTTTTTGTGTTTTTAGTAAAGACTGGGTTTCACCATGTTAGCCAGGATGACCTCGATCTCCTGACCTCGTGATCCACCCACCTCGGCCTCCCATAATCCTGGGATTACAGGCGTGAGCCACCGCGCCTGGCCTAGTAAGTGGATGTCTTAAGATCTTTCTTCAAGAGTCCTCAGAATAGAGTTAGCACTTCCCTCCCTAAACCTGCACTGTTTCCTTAAAGTTACAAACTTAAAAATTGCACTCATTTAATCCTGATAGCAACAACCCAGTGAGGCACATACTATTATGAGGCCCATTCCCAAGATGTGGAAATGGAGCACTCAGATGCTAAAGTCATACAACTAACAAGTGATGGAGGAAAGTGAAGTTGCAGCTTATATATAGCTAACCCAATTTTCAGTTCCTGAAATTGAGCCCTAGGGGAAAGGCCCAAGTTGGGACCCAGTGAGCGCCCAACACTGAATCGCAAAAGCTCGCACTGGATCAAGGAGGTTCCCCAGGGCCTTGAAGGGACCCTGCTTCCTGCTTAC
Source organism: Homo sapiens (assembly GCF_000001405.40). Taxonomy (NCBI): domain Eukaryota; kingdom Metazoa; phylum Chordata; class Mammalia; order Primates; family Hominidae; genus Homo; species Homo sapiens. The sequence continues at coordinate 44,559,684 of NC_000011.10, read as the reverse complement.
AGAAAGAAGGCTGGCCCCAGAAAGCTGGGCTCCAGCACTTGCTTGGCATAACCCCGCCCTATCCTCTGTCCTCTTGCCGAGTCTCAGGCCAGGAAGTGGTTAATAGCACTTTCCCACACTTTCTGTTTCCATTTCTCTATTCCTGAACACAGTCATTCCTGCATTTGAATGGGCTCAGCAGGACCACCGACCTTTATTTTTTTCTCCAAAGCACTTAAAGGGGATTGGAACTCTAAGCCCATTATAGCTGGGTTGTAGCTGAGGACAGGGGCTGAGTTCCCACAGAAGACACTGAGCCATTGATTTGTTCCTGTCTCAGTCATTTCAGAAAGATCAGTGAGGCCCCTGCTCAAATCCTGCCCTGCCGCCTACTACATCTGAAGGTCCAGGGGTTACTCTTCAGGGGGCTTTTAGCCCCTGTACATTGCCATGTTGCCATAGCAACTACGACACTAATAATGGCAGCCACCGTTTTAAAAGTAAGCTGTAAAATAACTAATTTAAATATATTTAACTAATTTGATAACTAGCATTTGCGTAGCACTTTACATATTCTAAAGCTTATTTATATTTATCTTACAACTGTGGCACTTGGGTAAGTCTTTGAAACTATTAAATCATGTCCCCCCCTCCCCAAATTCCCTGTTCTACCCGTTTATTTTTCTTTTTAGGCATCAGCTTAAACCCATGGTAGGGTTATATACATCCCAATATATGTCATTTGTTTATAATAGATATGTATGTACTATTTTATTAGCCATTTTGCATAATATGAACTATGCACAAAGACAAATATTTTATTTTATTTATTATTATTATTATTATTATTATTTTTGAGACAGATTCTCACTCTGTCGCCCAGGCTGGAGTGCAGTGGTACAATCTTGGCTCATTGCAACCTCTGCCTCCTGGGTTGGAGCAATTCTCCTGCCTCAGCCTCCCAAGTAACTGGGATTACAGGTGTGTTTCACTCACGCCCAGCTAATTTTTTTGTATTTTTAGTAGAGACGGGGTTTCACCATGCTGGCCAGGCTGGTCTTGAATTCCTGACCTCAGGCAATCCACCCACCTCGGCCTCCCATAATGCTGGGATCACAGGTGTGAGTCACTGCGCCTGGCCAAAAAACAAAAATTTTAAATGATAATTATTTAAAATATTGTATATATATATCTATAAAATAAACAGAAAGCAGTCCTATTATTTTCTCCTTGAACCCCAGCGGATCACATTGGAGACCATCGGCCACGCCTTTAGGGAGGGATTTTTGGAAGAGCAAAGCAGAAGAAAGGGGACTACTCTGGGCAGCGCTTTTTCAGTCTCCAGATAGAAGCACACCTTGGAGCTGTTGCAGGTTCCTTTCCCAACCACCACACTGAAGCGAATATTGCAATAAAGTGAGACACACAAATTTTTTTGGTTTCCTAATGCATGTAAAAGTTATGTTTACCCTCCACCATAGTCTATTAAGTATGCAATAGCATGTCTAAAAAATGTGCATACCTTACTTAAAAACTGTTGATCCTGGCCAGGTGTGGAGGCTCATGCCTGTAATCCCAGCACTTTGGGAGGCCGAGGTGGATGGATTACCTGAGGTGTGGAGTATGAGACTAGCCTGGCCAACATGATGAAACTCTGTCTCTACTAAAAATACAAAAATTAGCTGGGTATGGTGGCGGGCGCCTGTAATCCCAACTACTCAGGAGGCTGAGGCACGAGAATTGGTTGAACCCAGGAGATAGAGGTTGCAGTGAACCGAGATCACACCACTGCACTCTGGGAAACAGGGCGAGAGATTCAGTCTCAAAAAAAAAAAAAATTGATCCAAAATTCTGACAAAAAGTGAGTGCATACTGTTGGAAAAATGGCACGGACAAATTTGCTCAGTTCAGTTGCCACAAACCTTCAATTTGTAAAAAACACGTTATCTGTAAAGCGTAATAAAAAGCAATGTATGCCTGCACTCATAAGCCCCTGAGATGGATGAGGAGGTGCTGCAGAAAGGGGAACTCTCACAGCTGTTCTTCGGTGGAGCTGCACTATATCAGTGGGGAGATCTTTCCCTGAATCAGGCCTGAGATCTAAAAGAACACACCTGTGGCCCAAGAAGCTGATGGTGTAGACGTTCTCTCCCTTATACAGTTGAGAAGGCCAAGGCTTAGTTGAGTTGAAAAAGTTTTGAATTTGTGGCCAGCATTTAAAAATTGGGGAATTTTATGTTGATTTTTAGATGTATAGGGATAGGGACATCTGAGCCTCCTGCTGTGCCTTCCAACGGGGCCACAGCGGATGGACCTGAGTTGTGGCTGACCTCTTTATTTGCGACATATGACCTCCAGCTGGCTACAGTCCCCACTGTGCCTATGGCTCATCTAGCCTGCTTCCCTCATTTTTGTGACCTGCCTGGTTCCCATGGGGAACTGAGTTTGCAATCCGGGGAGCAATACTGGCTGAATTCATGTTCATATTGAGAGCATTCTGAGTAGCTGGCAGGGCCACACAGACCTTAGCGGGAAGACAGGGACACCACTTTCCAGGATGATCCCTGTGAAAACTGCCATGTTTGCACTGCCCTCCTCTGTGAGACATGGTTTAGCTCAAGTCCTTGCTCTGGTAACTTTCCAACATGTGACTTTGGGCACATGTGACCTTCACCTCTCTGGGTTTGTTTCCTCACTGCTTACGCTGCAGGCAATGCACATACAATATTTGCTACTTTAGGGCTATGAGATGCACTAGTTAGTTGTGTCCAAGTCATTCCTTTTACCAACAGAAATGAAGAGAAAGAGGAGAAAAAAATAAATAAAACCAAAAACCTCATCACTCTTTTCTCCAAAATGAGCATTTATCGCCCTCTGGTGTCCACCACAGCGCTCAGTGCAGCCAATTAAGAGCGGCTTGAAGGCCGGGCGCAATGGCTCATGCCTGTAACCCCAGCATTTTGCGAGGTTGAGGCGGGCAGATCACCTGAGGTCAGGAGTTCAAGACCAGCCTGGGCAACATGGTGAAACCCTGTCTGTACTAAAAATACAAAAATTAGCCGGGTGTGGTGGCATGAGCCTGTAATCCCAGCTACTCGGGAGGCTGAGGCAGGAGAATTGCTTGAACCCAGGAGGTGGAGGTTGCAGTGAGCCGAGATCACCCCACTGCGCTCCAGCCCAAGAGACAGAGCAAAACTCCGTCTCAAAAAAAAAAAAAAAAAAAAATCAGCTGGCACGGTGCCTCACGCCCATAATCACAATCCCAGCACTTCGGGAGGCTGAGGAGGGCAGATCACCTGAAGTCAGGAGTTCAAGACCAGCCTGGCCAACATGGTGAAACGCCGTCCTTAGTGAAAATACAAAAATTAGCTTGGCGTGGTCATAGGTGCCTGTAATCTCAGCTACTTGGGAGGCTGAGGCAGGAGAATCGCTTGAATCTTGCAGACAGAGGTTTCAGTGAGCCGAGATCATACCACTGCACTCCAGCCTGGGTGACAGAGTGAGACTCTGTCTCAGAAAAAAAAAAAAAAAAAAAGTTGGGGGCTTGGAGATGAAAGACTTGGAGGCAGGGGAATAGGGGCTGCCCCATTCCTCATGGTCTCAGTTTAATCCCCCTGGCTGCAGGGCCAGGTGAGGGCAGACATGGAATTAGGTCTCTACGCCAAGTTTCAACTGCAGACACCCACCCAGCTCAGATAAGGACACTTTTGAGGCGTGGGATTTACAAGCCAATGAGACAGCTGGCCTAAAGTCACCGCATTTAATAATCATGATGAAATAACATTAAACACAGTAGGTATTAGTTATAAGCATGGCAAGTGAAATCTAGTTGTTTTTGCAGAAAAATTTTATTTAATGGCTCTTGCAAAGTCCCCTGAATTGTTGAGCATGGGGCTGGGGTTGGCTGGAGAGTCACAGCTTCTGTGAGGTTATACTGCAGTAACAAAGAACTCCCCAAATCTCATTGATTTATATCAACAAAGGCCCTATTCCCCACTTATGTTACATGGCCGCTAAAGATTGCTGTGGGTCACGTGAGACTCTGCTTCATGTGTCTTTGTTATTCCCAGATCCAAGATGGAAAATCCGTCCCTATTTAGGGTCTTCTCATGGGACAGAAAAGAAGAAGCAGTGGTCAAGCCGCTTGGTGGCTCTCAAAGCTCCTGCTTAGATGTGGTATCTGTCATTCTGCCTACATGCCATTTGTTAAGGCAAGTTATGAAGCTGAGCTCCATATCATGGGCAGAGAAGTGTCCTCCCAGAGGGAGTTGTTGCCAGTCACATGACAATGGGCGGGGCTGTCTAATCTTACAGGGATGGGAAGGGACTCATTGGAGAAAAGGAAAACCCATACCAGTTCCTCTAGCACTGATAGCTGGATTCTGGGGAGCAGAGCTACCAGGTACATCAGTTACAAAGACACTGAATGCCACAAATCATGCTTCATAGTAGCTCTCATTCAACTGTATTTCACTTCTGCATTTCACAAATTATTTATTGAGTGCCTCCTGTGTCCTGGATGATATTCTAGCACTGAGGATATAGCAGTCAATGCCTTTGCCCTCTTGAATATATATTTGGATACCTATTATATATAATATTTATAACATATTATATATAACTTATATGTAAATAAAAATATGTACATATTTGCCATCATGATTTGAAAAAATATTTACCCAAAATTTACTTTTAGTGTGTTCAAGTAGCTGTAACAAAATACTTTAGACTGGGCAATTTATTAACAGTAGAAATTTATTTCTCATGGTTCTGGAGTGTGGGAAGTCCAAGACTGAGGTACCAGCAGATTGGCATCTGGTGAGGGCCCACTCTTTGCTTCCAAGATGGCACCTTCTAGCTACATCCTCACATGACTGAAAGGGCTAACAAGCTCCTTGGGCCTCTTTTAAAAGGGTGCTGCTCCCATGCACAGAGGTGAAACCTTCATGACCAAATTATCTCCCAAAAGCCCTATCTCTTAATACCATTGCATTGGGGAGTAGGTTTCAACATATGAATTTCAGGGGACACAAACATTCAGACCATAGCACTGACTCATGAACAGAAAGCCTGCTCTAATGATTTCACACAAAAATGGAGGCTAGACCATTTGGGCTGTGGGTGGATACTGCAAGAAGACACGTGACTCTAAGTTGTATCTCAGTAGTTCTTCCGGGAGGTCTGCATCCAATGTTCACGGTGTAGTGTGTAACCACCACTATAGGCTCATTCTCTTTTCTCTTTTTTTTTTTTTTTTTTGAGACAGTCTCACTCTGTTGCCCAGGCTAGAGTGCAATGACACAATCTTGACTCACTGCAACCTCCACCTCTGGGGTTCAAGCTATTCTCCTGCCTCAGCCTCCTGAGTAGCTGGGATTACAGGTACCCATCACCACACCCGGCTAATTTTTGTATTTTTAGTAGAGACGGGGTTTCACCATGTTGGCCAGGCTGGTCTCAAACTCCTGACCTCAAGTGATCCGCCTGCCTCGGCCTTCCAAAATGCTGGGGTTACAGGCGTGAGCCACTGTGCCTGGCCTACCATAGGCTCATTCTCATTATTAGGTGTAACTGTTGCCTAAGAAAGAGGAAGAGCCTGTGGAGGAAGCAGATGAGCCAGGAGACCTGGGAAATTTAAGCACTCATAGAAATATTCAGCAATGAAAGAAATGCACTCGTGAGCCTCCATTTGGCCCTTGTGTGACTCTGCATACTGTGCATATTTTTTTCATGAATAAGAAAGTAAAGAATGGTTATAAAAGTGTTGTTGGTTCTGGAATACACCACCACATTTCCTGAGCACAACAGGTGTTTTCTAAAAACCTAGAGAAACAGATTAAGTGGTAGACAAAAAACCATCATCCACCAAAGAGTTCCTAAGCCGGCAGACACACAAACCCACTAATGACTCCATTGAGGGTTGGGTAATTAGGCGATTGGTGTTTCAGATGCTCTCTATTATGCAGAAGTCCTCAGTGGATTGTAATACTGTGTATGTTTGTATGATATTGGATAAATCGATTGGGATGTTTGGATAGGTTAGTATTATGTCCTAAATGCTTATGTCCCCTCTAATATTCACATATTAAAACTCTAACCTTTAGTGTGGCTGTTTTTGGAGATGGGGCCTCTAAGGAAGGAACTAATGTTAAGTGAGGTGGTAAAGATGGGGACCTGATCTGATAGGATTCGTGTGTTCATAAGAAAAGACACTGGAGCTCTTCCTCTCTCTCCACCATGTGAGGAAAAAAGAGAAAAGTCAGAATCAGAGGATTACCTAAGGCTGTAAAACAGTTTGTGCTAGAGCCAAAGTTAGAAAATGTCTTTGTGATTCCTTGTTCCATTGTCTTAACGAGGTGACTTAGTCCACTTGTACTGCTATAGCAAAATACCTGGGACTGCATAATTTCTAAATAATATAAATAGATTTCTCATGGTTCTAGAGGCTGGGAAGTCCAAAACCAAGCCCTGGTGGATTCAGTGTCTGGCAAAGACCTGCTCCTCATAGATGGTGCCATTTAGGTGCCCTCACATGGCAGAAGGGATGGAAGTGCAAGAAGGGCTAAGCTGGTTCCCTCCAGTCCTTTTATAAGGTACTAATCCATGCATGAGGATGGAGCCCTCATGATTTAGTCACTTTTCAAAAAGAAGTGATTACTACCTCTTACTACCACCACAGTGGGGATTAAGTTTCAACATGAATCTTACAGGGGATGCACGTCCAAACCATAGCACTAGTATTTCAAACAGTGACATCACATGTTAATATTGGCCCACTAGGAATGTGTTTTAAGAAGCAGACCCAACATTTGCTATCTGCCAAGATCTCTCCCTTCCATTCTGCTAGAAGGCTTTCCTATCCCTTATTAGGGCCCCAAGTCTATGGTGCCAGTCCCAGATCCCAGTGTGGCCCTTTTATCACCAGCCCAGTCAGGAAGCCTGCAGGCTGTTTCTGGAGCCCAAGCACTTTGCTGGCAGTGAAGGAAGAAGAAATGAAGAAAGAGCTAGAAAAAAGAAAACGTTCTAGTTCACCAGGAGAGCTCACCTTTATCCTGGGTCTAAGAGGAATTTGCTTGCTGGGGTCCTTAGGTATCAGGTCACTGGGCCATATGATAAACTTTATCCATGACTGCAGTATTTAAAAGAAAGTTTTATCTGAGCTCTATTTCAATAATTTCCAGGTTATGCCCTTAAAAGGACAAGAGGTTCAGGTGATGGGTTCATCAAACTCTCACAAGTCATCACTAAATAACTTACTCATGTAAGTTACAAATACCACTTGTTCCCCCCAAACCTATGGAAATAAAAAATTTAAAAAAAACACACACAAAACCCATGAAAATATAGCTAGAATGAAAAAAAAAAAAAAAGAACAAGAGGCTGCCTTTTGCTCCCCCCCTCCCTGTCTTCTCTGAATTCCCACTGGCTAGAATGGAGATGTGATGGTTAGAGTTGAAGCAGCCATATTAGACCTCAAGGTAGCAGCCAAATATTGAGGAGAACGAGCAACAAAGACAGGAGACAGGATTTCAACTGCATTCTCAGCTGGGCCCACCAAACTAAATATTAACATAAGACAGAAGTTAACTTTGGCAGCATCATCACTATCACCACCACCACCACCATTGTCACCATCATCAATGTCACCATCAATGTCATCAGCGTCACCACCAACACCATCATCATTCTCACCACTACCATTACAATCCACTATCACCACCTTCACAATCACCAAGACCATCTCTATTGTGTTTGTCATCATCACCATCATCATCATCATCCCCATCATCACTGCATTAACCAAAGTCATCATGAATGACATCATCGACATCATCACTGCCATCTTCATCATCGTCATCACAATTATTATCAGCATCTTCATTACCAACAACAGTAGCTTTGCCATCACTATTCCCACCCATGGAATGACTCTCAGTCCATGGACTGTCAGGTCAGAATCCCAAGAGGAAATGATGCCCTCTAAGAAATATTGTTGCTGCTGCTCCTGCTACAGTTCTAATCACCACCACTGCTGTTATTACTGTTGCTGCTACTACTACTGTTATTGTTGCTGACAGTCAGCCCTCTATCCATATCTGTGGGTTCTGCATTCATGGATTCAACCAACCACACAATAAAAATATTTGGAGACATAAATTCCACAAAATTGGCTGGGCACGGTGGCCCATGACTATAATCCCAGCACTTTGGGAGGCCAAGGTGGGCAGATCACTTGAGGTCAGGAGTTTGAGACCAGCCTGGCAAACATGGTGAAACCCTGTCTCTACTAAAAAATACAAAAATTAGCTGGGCATAGTGGCACATGCCTGTAGTCCCAGCTACTCGGAAGGCTGAAGTGGGAGAATTGCTTGAACCTGGGAGATGAAGGTTGCAGTGAGCCAATATCACGCCATTGAACTCCAGCCTGGATGACAGAGACCCTGTCAAAAAAAGAAAAAGAAAATTCCACAAAGTCCCAAAAAGCAAAACTTGAATTTGCCAAGTGCTGAGTACTACCTTCAACCCATGTGAATGAAGTGCTGTGTAGGCATTGTATTAGGTATTATAAGTAATCTAGAGATTATTTGAAGTATATGGGGGAATATGCATAGGTTATATATTGGTTAGGCTTCTCTTAGAGGGACAGAACTAATAGTATATATATAGACAGAGGTGTGTGTGTGTGTATATATATTATATATATATTATATATTGTGTGTATATATATTATATATATATTATATATTATATGTATTATATATTATATATCATATATCAATCCTATATAATATATATAATATATATTATATATACTATAAATATATATATTTATGTTATATATAATATATATTATATATATTTATATAATATATATTATATATATTTATATAATATATAATATATATATTATATATAAATATATAATATATATATTATATATAAATATATAATATATATATTATATATAAATATATAATATATATATTATATATAAATATATAATATATATTATATATAAATATATAATATAATATATTATATATAAATATATTATATACATAATATATAAAGGGGAGTTTATTAAGTATTAACTTACCCAATCACAAGGTCATGCAATAGGCCATCTACAAGCTGAGGAGCAAGTAGAGGCAGTCCAAGTCCCAAAACTGAAGAACTTGGAGTCCAATGTTAAAGGGCAGGAAGCATCCAGCATGGGAGAAAGATGCAGGCTGGGAGACTAGACCAGTGTCATCGCTTCACGTTTTTTTGCCTGCTTTATATTCTATGGAGGCTGCTTAGATGGTGCCCATCTGATTAAGTGTGAGTCTGCCTTCAACAGCTCACTGACTCAAATGTTAATCTCCTTTGGCAACACGCTCACAGACACACCCAGGATCAATATCACATCCTTCAATCCAATCAAGTTGACACTCGGTATTAACCGTCACAAGTTCACCCCTTATCAACTTGAATGCATACACATCTTCTGAGGTCATACATAATCTCCAAATAAAGACAATAACGAAGTCATAATTACACCTGACATAATACAGCTATCCTTCATACAACCAGAAACGCGCCAATCCCCAACCCAAATACTATTACATAAGTTAACAATATTTAAATGCTGATATGATTAAGTCAATAAATCTTATGTCACATGATGAAGGAAAAGGAAATAAAATGAAGATATTTTCTTAGTACAAGTGTATACATGCACAAACATGTTTTTAACAAAAGAAGGAGGAAATACTGATAACAATTACAGTCCTCGTTTCTGCAGCTGGTCATGTGGTCGTAACTGGTATTGATGACTACCTTCTTCTACTACCCATTCTGTATTCCCTTTGCCTTCAGCGAGCACCTCAGCAGGTTGTGTTTTTTTTTTTCCTGGTGGAGTGACCCAAACCTTCATTCCTGAAGGGCCTGGGTCATTTGTAGTCCTGTCTGGATTGGGCTGTTGTAGTTTCCCATTGACCTTAATCACAGGGCATGGTAATACTAAGAGAGGCCCTAATGGATCTTCTGTGTGCCATGCATACTCTTCCTTATCTCCGTTGTGGAATAGTAGACTGATTTCATCTTGATTATCTGGGTCAATCACCCCAGCCAACAACACTAACTTCCTTCTTAGCCTGTTGACTTAAAGGTACGAGGAGCCCAAAGTGTCCAGGTGGCAAGCTTAACTTCCAGTTTAATGAAATCATTGTTGTGTCTCCTAGTGACAGCATTCCTCTCTCTGGAACTAAGACCTCTAGGCCAGCAGAACGTAATGTCATGGGAACAGGGAGCAAAAATTTTGCTAGTGGGATCACTAGGGCTGATGGTAAGTGGTGCCATTTCCACTTCCACCCCTTGATTCCTGGACCCGTGAATCCTGGCTACAGGAGAAACAGTACCATATATTGGATGCTGATTCAGAGCATACATGGTCTTCTGGAGACCTTTGCCCCAGCCCTGCAAAGTACTGTCACCTAGTTGGTGCTGTAATTGTGACTTCAAAAGTCCACTCCACCATTCCATCAATCCAGCTGCTTCAAGATGAAAGGGAACCTGGTAAAACCAGTGAATTCCATGAGCATGAGCCCACTGCTGTATTTCTTTAGTCATAAAGTGAGTGCCTTGGTCAGAGGCAATGCTGTGTGGAATACCATGATGGTGGATAGGGCATTCCGTGAGTCCATGGATGGTAGTCTTGGCAGAAGCACTGCATTCAGGATAGGCAAACCCATATCCAGAGTAAGTGTCTATTCCAGTGAGGACAAACCTCTGCCTTTTCCATGATGGAAGAGGTCCAATATAATCAAACCTGCCACCAGGTAGCTGGCTGATCACCCCAAGGAATGGTGCCATATCGAGGGCTCAGTGTTGGTCTCTGCTGCTGGCAAATTGGACACTCAGCAGTGGCCATAGCCAGGCAGGTCAGCCTTGGTGAGTGGAAGTCCGTGTTGCTGAGCCCATGCGTAACCTCCAGCCCTGCCACCATGGCCACTTTGTTCATGGGCCCATTGGGCTATGACAGGGGTGGCTGGGAAAAGAGGCTGAGTGGTGTCCACAGAATGGGTCATCCCATCCACTTGATTATTAAAATCCTCTTCCACTGAGGTCACTTGTTGCTGAGCATGCACATGGGATACAAATATCTTCACAGTTTTTGACCACTCAGAGAGGTCCATCTGCATACCTCTTCCTGAAATTTCTTTGTCATCAATTTTCCAATCATGCTTCTTCCAAGTCCCTGACAATCCAGCCAAACCATTGGCTACAGCCCATGAATCAGTATATAATCGCACATCTGGCTATTTCTCCTTCCATGCAAAGTGTGGAACCAGGTGTGCTGCTCAAAGTTCTGCCCACTGGGAAGGTCTCCCTTCACTGCTGTCCTTCAGGGATGTCCTAGAAAAGGGCCGCAGTGTTGCAGCTGTCCACTTTTGGGTGGGGCCTGCATATCGCGCAGAACCATCTGTGAGCCAGGCCCTAGTCTTTTCTTCCTCTGTCAACTGACCATAGGGAACTCCCCATGAGGCCATCAGTTCAGGCTTGGGGAGAGAAGGCAGGGTGACAGGAGTGGAGACCATGGGCATTTAAGCAACTTCCTCATGTAACTTACTTGTGTCTTCAGGACCTGCTTGAGCTAGATTATGTATATACCACTTCCATTTGATGATGGAATGCTGCTGTGCACGACCCACTTTATGGCTAGATGGGTCAGAAAGCACCCAGTTCATGATAGGCAGTTCACATCACATAGTGACTTGATGACCCATAGTCAAAGTTTCAGTTTCCATCAAAGCCCAGTAACAGGCCAAGAGCTGTCTCTCAAAAGGAGAGTAGTTATCTGTAGAAGATGGCAGGGCCTTGCTCTAAAATCCTAGAGGCATCCACTGTGGTTCACCTATGTGAGCCTGCCAAAGGCTCCAAACAACACCCCAATCTGCCACTGACACCTCAAGCACCATTGGATCTGCTGGGTCATATGGCCCAAGTGTCAGAGCAGCTTGCACCACAGCCTGGACCTGTTGCAGAGCCTTCTCCTGTTCTGGACTCCACTCAAAACTGGTAGCCTTTTGGGTCATTTGATAAAGGGCCAGAGTAACACACCCAAATGAGAAATGTGTTGCCGCCAAAATCGAAATAAGCCTACTAGGCATTGTGCCTCTTTCTTGGTTGTAGGAGGGGCCAAATGCAGCAACTTATCCTTTATCTTAGAAGGAATATCTCAACAGGCCCTACTCCACTGGAACCCTAGAAATTTTACTGAGGTAGAAAGTCCCTGAATTTTAGTCGGATTTATTTCCCATCCTCTGGCATGCAAATGTCTCACCAATAAGTCCAGTGTGTTTGCTACCTCTTGCTCACTGGACCCAATTAGCATAATGTCATTAATGTAATGGACCAGTGTGATATCTTGCAGAAGTAAAAAGTGATCGAGGTCTCTCCGAATAAGGTTATGACACAAAGCCAAAGAGTTGATATACCCCTGAGGTAGGACAGTGAAGGTATATTGCTGGCCTTGCCAGTTGAAGGCAAATTGCTTCTGGTGGGCCTTATGGACAGGAATAGAGAAAAAGGGGTTTGCCAAGTCAGTAGCTGCATCCCAGGTACCAGGAGATGTGTTAATTTGCTCAAGCAATGAAACCACATCTGGTATAGCAGCTGCAACTGGAGTCACCACTTGGTTAAGTTTACGATAACCCACTGTCATTCTCCAAGATCCGTCTGTCTTCTGCACAGGCCAAATGGGAGAGTTGAATGGGGATGTGGTGGGAATCACCACCCCTGCATCTTTCAGATCCTTGATGGTGGCACTAATCTCCACAATCCCTCCAGGGATGTGATATTGTTTTTTATTTACTATTTTTCTAGGTAGAGGCAGCTCTAAGGGCTTCCATTTGGCCTTTACCACCATAATAGCCCTTACCCTACCAGTCAGGGAGTCAATGTGGGGGTACTGCCAGCTGCTAAGTATGTCTATGCCAATTATGCATGCTGGCACTGGGGAAATGACCACAGGATGAGTCCGGGGACCCACTGGACCCACTGTAAATCAGATGTGAGCTAAAACTCCATGAATTACCTGACCTCCAGAAGCCCCTACTCTAACTGGAGGACCATAATGACGTTTTCAGTCCCCTCAAATCAATGTCAGCTCAGAGCCAGTGTCCAGTAGTCCCCAAAATGTCTGATCATTTCCCTTTCCCCAGTGCACAGTTACCCTGGTAAAAGGCCGGAGGTCTCCTTGGGGAAGGATGGGAGAAAGATTCAATGCATAAATTGTGGGTAATGTAGTGGGGTCCTTCCTCAAGAGGACCCGGCCTCCCCTTCATTCAAAGGGTTCTGGGTCTGTAAACTGGCTGGGTCTGTAAATCAAGTTGGGAAATTGATTGAGGGGCCATGATTCTCTGTTTTTATAATTCAAATTAGCCTTTTGTCCGTTTGACCTAGAAGTTTTCTGCTTGTATAATTTAAGTAGAAATGCAGTAGGCTTCCTATCAATTTCACCTCTAGGAACACCATGATTAATTAGCCTATGCCAGAGCTCTAAAAGAGTCAGACTATTCTGATTGCTGCTTTGCCTCTGCTGTCCATTACAGTAGCTATGCCCACCTCGCCTTTGGAAGTTGAGTGCTGCCACTTGGCCCCTGCCACCTCAGGATCCACTTATTCTCATTGCATTTAAATTTTATAGTTGAGTGACTGCAGTTCCCACCATTAGATCTGAAATACAGAGAAGAGCAATTACAGGGCTCTCCAGAGATGCAGGTGCTGCCCTTACAAATCTACTTCACAAGGCATTGGTCAAGGGTATATCTTCTAGACCTTCCCAGCTGGGATGAGTAGGTCTGAAGTGACTAAACCACTCCACCATCCCCGTCTCCCCAAGCCTTTGGATCCCTTCCTCTACATTAAGCCAAGGGAGATAGGCATTTCCAGCTCACTCACAGTGGGCCATCTTTTAATCCATAGTTCAGCTAACCAAGAAAATAGACTATTAGAACCTTTTTGAGCTTCCCAAGCTGCAACATTAAATTCAGAGTTCCCTACTTAGTGGGCTCAAGTCAATAAATTCAGCCTGATCCAACTCTATGTTCCTTCCACCATTATCCCATACCCTTAATATCCATTCCCATGCCTGTTCTCCAGATTGTGGATTATATAAACTAGAGAACACAAACAGTTTTTTTTGAGTGTAGTGCACCTCCGGTCACATGGGTCAACCTCACCTCTAGGGGCCTGCCAGGACTTTAGTCTAGTTATAGGTCTAGAAGCAAACAGAGGTGTTGGAGGTGGCTTCTGAGGAGAATCAACATTATCTTGCCTGGCAACTGCCTCAGTGGAGGCCATCACTGTTGCCTCGGGCAGTGCAGGGTTTATTTCCTCAGACAAAGGTGGAAAGGCTGATGGCAGCATAGGTCAGGGAGGGTATGTTGTCACTACGGGGAATGGTGAAGCTGTTCCTTCTGGCAAAAAAATATTCATCAGAGTTTACCAACTCAGTGTCCCCAGCTTCATCAGGTTCCCCCCACATGTCCCCATTCCAAGTTGCAGGGCCCCATTCTTTTCCAATCAATGCCCTCACTTTAACAGCAAACACCTGGTGGGGCTGTGCATGCATCTTCCCTTGCAGCTCAGCCACTTGCATGATAAGAGCTTGTGTCTGTTTTTTTTACAATTTCAGCTCTTTCTCTACAGGAGATAAGACTCTCACTCAATGCAATCTTAGCAGATTTGAGGCTCAGTGTCTGCTTCTGAAGCCAGGAGACAGAATCCCTGAGTTCATAATTTTGTTTCATCACTTTGTCCACTGAACAACCAACCAGCTTCATTATGTTCCTTGGTTCTTCACATATGGTCAAAAGTATTAAGTATAGAGTCATTAAACTCCTAGCCTTTCATGAGCAGTGAATCAGGAGTGTCAAATGCATGTATTTCACATAACTCTCTAAACAGTTTCCGCCAAGGACTATCAGTATTCTACATACTATTAGAAATACAGTCCTTAGCATTTTTGGGTCTAATCATATTAAGCAGCCAACTCTAGAAACCTCAAAACCAATGAACAAACTCCATCCTTAATATTCTGTTCCTCTAGAACCACTCCTGGTACCAAAATCTGTATTCGTCAAGGGTTCTCTTAGAGGGAACCCTATATATAATAGGATATATATATAAATAATAGAATATATATATATCTAATAGATATATATATAAATAATAGAATATATATATATATATATATCTAATAGGATACATATATATAAAGGGAGTTTATTAAGTATTAACTTATATGATCACAAGGCCCCACAATAGGCTGTCTGCAGCTAAGGAGTAAGGAGAGGCAGTCCAAGTCCCAAAACTGAAGAACCATCAAGCACAGGAGAAAGACGTAAGCTGGGGGGCTAGGCCTGTATCATTGCTTCACATTTTTCTGCCTGCTTTATATTTGCTGGCGGCTGATTAGATGGTGCCCACCTGATTAAGGGTGGGTCTGCCTTCCCCAGCCCACTGACTCAAATGTTAATCTCCTTTGACAACACCCTCACAGACACACCCAGGATCAATATTGCATCTTTTAATCCAATCAAGTTGACACTCAGTATTAACCATCACAGGTTATATGCAAATACTATACCATTTAATATAAGGGTCTTCAACATCAGCAGACTTTGGTATCTGAGGGGGGTTCTGGAAGTGTTCCCCCATGAAAACCAAGGGATAATGGTATTTAATATTTTTTCAGCATTTCCTGTGTGTCAGGCATTCTGCTAAGATCTTATCCTTAAAGACTCCATTTTACAGATTAAAAAAACAGAAGCATAGAGAAATATAAAGGGTTTCAGTCCCTTGCTCATGCTCAAACAGTTGAGAAGTGGTAGGAGTAGCATTTGAACTTGGGCAATTTGACTCCAGAGTGCTATCAACTTTGACAATGAACAGACATTTGTTGCCAGCCTGCTGCCTCCCCCAGAAAAGAGTGTGCATGCTAGGCCAACCACCTTGCAGCAGGTAGCTTGGAGACACTGGGCCTAACCGTTTTTAGTAGCCCTTTTCTTATATGTAAAATGAAGGCAATAAAAAGAGTAGTTTTTTCTGTGTCACAAGATTGGAAGTGGTATGTGTGCAGTCCTTGTTATAAAATTTAGCATGTAGTAGTTATCCAATAAACATCACATTATATTAATATAATAATTAGAAATAATGGAATACAAACTCTTATCTTGATGGGCAGAACACCCTCTTTCTGGCCAAGGGTGTGAGCAGAAGTGATGTCTGCAGCTTCTGAGTCACACACTTTAAGGAGATAAAGGAGATAAAGGAGATGGGGAGATGGAGAGAGCCCTTCTCTTCCCTTTACTCCATTTCCATTGCTTGGAAAGCAGACCCAAAAGACAAACTGGTCATCTTTCTTTAACTGCATGAAACTGCATGTTGGTGATGATGGAGAAACATGATAGGATGTCTGGGTCCTTGCCAACATTGAGCAGCCATGCCAGAGAGAGAGATTTCCATTTCGCTGAAGTCACTGAATTTGAGGTCTTTTGTTAACAGCAGACTAATCTATATCCTTGCAGTTTCTCTTGGTTTCATTAGGTTTACATGGATTCAGAGAGCGACCTTTTTCCTAAACTCATCTTCAAAGTCTAGGGATCCTTGACTCTAATCCTCATTGCCCCAACCAAAACCTCCACGTTTTACTCCACTGCTATTTCTCAGCAAGGTACCTCCTCCTCTTTGAGCCCCGCCTCGACTTGTAAAGTAGGAAAAGTGAACTCAGCAACAGTGAGGAAAAGTGCAGATGAGTGTTCACAGGTCAAGAGCTTTCAGCTTTACAAGAATAATAACATTTAATAACAGATAATGAGGAGGAGGATGGTAATAGAAATGGTAATGCAATGGTAGCTGTAATGGAGATAGAGATCTGCTGTTTCTGATGGTGATGGAGTTGGTGATGGAGGAAATGGTGATAGATAGTTGTTAGAGTTGTTATGAGAATGAAAATGGTGGTGTTACTAGTGACACTGATGGTGGGAGAGGTGGTGATAACATTGATGGCAATGATAACAATGCTGATGATGGTATCTGATGAGAATTATGTGGTTGCTATGGTGATGAGGATGGTAATGGTGTTTGCTATGGTGGTGATGATGGAGATGGTTGCTATGGTGATGACGATGGAGGTGGCGGTTGCTATAGCGATGATGATGCAGATGCTGGTTGCTACAGTGATGATGGGAGTGATGACTGTAGTGATGAGAAGAATGGTGAAGTGTGATGGTGAGGTAATGAGAGGTCATTATGGTGATGATAATGATGGTGGTGGTGGTGATAGTGATGATTGTGTTGCTGATGATGGTGGTGATCCTGATGACAACAATGGTAATGCAAGAATGGCATTGACATTGGTGGTGTTAATAGCGATATCGATGGGAGCTCTTTTTATGGCTGGATATAGAATTGTGAATCACTTCTCCCTGGTCATGGATCACCTTTTCTTCATGAGATGACAGCTAGATTTATAATTCCAGATCTGATCTGTTCAACAGTTCCTGGACTCATATATGCATTTTTATGTCTCATCTCTTCTCATGCAACCACATGTGGAACTCTTCTTCCCTTTAGCATCTGCCCCACACCTGTTCCTCCTGTCATCCTCATCTAAGTAAGTCACAGCACCATTCATCCACGGTGCAAATTCTAGGACATACCCTTGGTTCCTTCCTTTGACATATCTTCCCCATCCACCCCGATTTCCAGCCCTTCAGTAAGCCCAGCCACCTCTACCTTCCAATGCTTTTGATCTGCCTCCTTCCACCCTTTTGTTCCAAGTCACCGTCATCGCCCTCCTGGCTTAATGCAATCATCTCCTAACTGGACAACTCAACTCCCTGGTTTCAGTCTTTTTTATTTTTATTTTTTATTTTTGGAGATAAGGTCTCACTCTGTTGTCTGGGCAGGAGTACAGTGGTGTGATCACGGCTTACCGCAGCCAGCCTCCAACTCCTGGGCTCAAGTGATCCTCCCACCTCAGCCTCCTGAGTAGCTGGAACTACAAACGTGCCACCACACCCAGATAATTTTTTTTTTTTTTTTTTAGAGACAGGGTCTTGCTATGTTGCCCAGGATGGTCTCCTGGCCTTGAGTGATCTTCTCACCTGGATCTGCCAAAATGCTGGGATTATGGGCGTGAGCCACCACACTTAGCCTGGCTTTCACTCTTGCCACCCTACAATCCTTCTCCTCTCAGCAGTCAGAGTGATACTTTACAAATGCAAATCAGACCTTATCATGTTTCTGCCCCAAACTTTCCTACAGTGTTTTATTGCCCTGGACAAAAATCAAAGCTTTTTTTTTTTTCTCTAGGCATGTGCTCTAACCCCCGCCTAGTTGTCTGACCTCCTCTCCTCTCATGCTTCAGTCACACTTTCTGTTTCTCTAATGCCCCAAGCACCTTCCCACCTCGGGGCCTTTGCATCTGCCATTCCCTCTGCCAGAAACACTCAGTTCCTAGATCTGCACAGCCAGTGGCAGCGTAAGAATTCAAACCAGCTGGGTTGGCCTCTCTCAGCACATTGCTTTGCTTTATCTGCCCTATGATATTTATCACCATCTTCATCTTATTTACTTATTAGGTCATTATTAGACCCCCTCCCACAACAAGAGTGTAAGCCTCATAAAAGCAGGACCTATGTCCTTGTTTCCCACTGTGTCCCCAGCATTGAGAACAGTGAATAGTAGATGTTCTACAAATGGCTGTGAATAAATTGATTGGCTCAAGAGACAAATTAGACACATACCTCACTCCAAGTAAGTTAAAAATCAAGCTTATGACCACGTGATCTCCTCAGTGAACACAGATCATCCTTCCTCCTCTGCTCTTGTGCCCTCTACTCCCTCCCCAGTTCACCTCCCAAATCTGATCACAGCTTCTGGTTTGAGTTCCTTGCTCCACCCCTAGAGTAACCATTGCAACACATAAATCTATTTTCTTCTGCTCCTCCACCTTCCCAAGATGCCAAGAGGAAAGAAGCGCAGGGGGAAGAAAGTGGCCCCGGCCCCTGCTGTCATGGAGAAGCAGGAGACCAAGAAAGTGGTGAATCCCCTCTGTTAAGAAAAGGCCTAAGAATTTTGGCACTGGACATCCAGCCCAAAAGTGACCTCAGCCGCTTTGTGAAATGGCCCTGCTATATCAGGTTGCAGCGGCAGAGAGCCATCCTCTATAAGTGGCTGAAAGTGCCCCCTGTGATTAACCAGTTCACCCAGGACCTGGACCACCAGCTACTCAGCTGCCTAAGCTGACCCACAAATACAGACCAGAGACAAAGCAAGAGTAGAAGCAGAGGCTGTTGGCCCAGGCTGAGAAGAAAGCTGACAGCAAAGGGGACATCCTCACTAAGAGACTACCTGTCCTTCAAGCAGGAGTCAACACCGTTACCCCTTGGTGGAGAACAAGAAGGCTCAGCCAGTGATGACTGCATGTGAACAGACGTTTGGTTGCCAGCCTGCTGCTTCCCGCAGAGAAGAGTGTGCATGCTAGGCCGATCACCTCTCAGCAGGTAGCTTGGAGACAATGGGCCTAACCATTTTGAGTAGCACTTGACATGACGAGGATCCCATCGAGCTTGTTGTCTTCCTGCCTGCCCTGCATTGTAAAATGTGGGTCTCTGATTGCATTATCAAGGGGAAGGCAAGACTGGAACGTCCAGTCCACAGGAAGACCTGCACCACTGTTGCCTTCACACAGGTTAACTCAGAAGACAAAGGAGTTTTGATGAAGCTGGTGGAAGCTGTCAGGACTAATTACAACGACAGATATGATGATATCCGTCGTCACTGGGGAGGCAATATCCTGGGTCCCAAATCTATGGCTTGCATTGCCAAGTTGGAAAAGGCAAAGGTTAAAGAACTTGCCACTTAACTGGGTTAAATGTACACTTTCATTTTCTGTACATAAAAATCATTAAAATGATACAAATTCTCCTTCAAAAAGAATTTTCCCTCTTCCCTGCTTAAGACCTATCGATGTCATGCATGCACTGATTTCCACACTGGGGTCGGCAGCTTTTGATGGTTCCTTAGGAATCCAGAGGAGGTGGGGGATGGGCAGAGCAAGTGTGGTTCCTAACTTCACATCCCCCCAACCCCTACTGCCAGAGAAGCCTTACTTGTACCAGGTGTACAGAGAGGCAGTCCCATAACCTTGAGATGAAGGTCAAGGCTTCAAAGCCAGGCGGCCTGCATTCAAAACCTGACTCTGCATCTTTCAAGCTTCATGACCCTGGCCAGGTTACTCGCATTCTTTGATCATTAGTCTCCTCATCTGTAAAGCGAAGCTAATGTTGTACCTGCCTCCTAAGGGTTGTTGGGAGGAATAAATGAGTTCATTCAAATAAGGCGCTCAGGACCATGCCTAGCACACAGTAAGTGCTCGCTAAGTGTTGGCTACTATTGTCAATTACTTTTTTTGATTTTGCTTTTGGTTTTCTTGGTGACAGGGTCTCACTCTGTCACCCAGGCTGGGGTGCAGTGGCGCAATCTCAGCTCACTGCAGCTTTGACCTCCAAGGCTCAAACAATCCTCCCACCTCAGCCTCTGGAGTAGCTGGGACCATAAGTGCATGCCACCACACTCCGCCAACTTTTGTATTTTTGGTCGAGACGCAGTTTCGCTGTGTTGCCAGGCTGGTCTCAAACTCCTGAGCTCCAGCAATCCTTCTGCCTTGGCCTCCCAAAGTGTCGGGATTACAGGTGTGAGTCACTGCACCTGGCCTATTAACTACATTTTCACACAGGAATTTATTTCCACTGATTAAAAGCGGGGAAAAAGTGAAAACCATTGGTTTTCATACTTTACATTGCAATTATTGCTATGCACCTTCTATATTTGGCTGGGAATCTCTTGTGGGGTAAAGACCAGGTTTCATTCAGTGTCTCTGACACCTTGGAGATGCTGCATCTAGCAGGCCTTCAATAAACACCCATCAAGGGAGAAAGGAAGCCAGGCAGTGAATGCGCCCCTGGCCTTAGCATGTCGTGCTCACTTATCTCCAGCAGGTGTCGCCCTTGTCTCTGAAACGGCCGTCTGGGCCCTGCTCACTGCTGTCCAGGCCCACTGACGGTCCGATGAGACCTGAGGACGCCGTGGGACCAGCAGATCCGAGTTGTTCTGCGTCGGGGAGGAAGGAGGCCCTGGGAGAGGTGCGAAAAACCTCACCAGAGCAGGCCACAGGCTGCTTGGAGCCTCCAGGCTTGAGTTCTACTCCCAGCGGGGGACACCAGGAGCGCCCATTTCCTCTCTGAGCCTTGGTTTCCTCCCCTCCAAAGCGGGGGCAATCCTGCTACGACGGGACATCGGGATGTTGTCAGGCCACACCTGACAGTTGATAGGCGTTGGATTTGCGGTTTTGTTTCTTTGTTTTTAAGTTGCACCTCCCAGGGAAGTCCAGGGGCATCTCCAGACTTCCCCAACACACGGATTCTGCCTCTCTGAGGGACGGCGAAATGAAAAACTCAGCAGCCTGGAATTCTGAGAAGGGAGAAACCAGGAGTGAAGAACACATGGAGCTGCGTAGGTTCCTACGGAAGATGCCAGGAGAGCCAGTGGTCCAGGGAGACCACACCTTGGACACACTCTTCTGCGCTGGCATGAGCACATCCGGGTAGGCTGCAGGTCTCTTTTCCTCAGAGGCAGACGCGCTGGAGTTACATGGATAGGGAGATGGAGGTGGCGCTCCTCTGTCACCGCAGTCCCCTCAGCCTCCTTGGCTGTGGCTCAAGCAAGTCCCTTCCCCTCTCTGGGCCTTTCTCTCTGTCAAATGGGGCTGGCCTGAGTCGGGCATTTTCAGGCTTAGCAGTAGAGGCCTGACTCTGCCACACCCAGTGGGGAAGACAGACACGGAGGCAGACAAAGAAAGCCGTTGGAGCCTAGGATGACAGGACAAGGACCTCACTCCCTTGGCCACCCCTCCACTGTGGTGATCCTAAGTGGCTCAAACCATGGGCTAGCTCTCCAAGGCTCTTTTTTTGAGAGGGAGTCTCACTCGGTCACCCAGGCTGGAGTGCAGTAGCGTGATCTCGGCTTACTGCAACCTCCGCCTCCTGAGTTCAAGCAATTCTCCTGCCTCAGCCTCCTGAGTAGCTGGGACTACAGGGATGCGCCACCACACCCGGCTATGGATTTTTTGTATTTTTAGTGGAGATGGGGTTTCTCCATGTTGGTCAGGCTGGTCTCGAACTCCTGACCTGGTGATCCACCCGCCTTGGCCTCCCAAAGTGCTGGGATTATAGGCGTGAGCCACCGCACCCGGACCTACAAGGCTCTTTCTAAGCACAAGTCTTCATGACACTGCAGTCCTCTTCCCGGTTCACCTCAGCTGTCCTCCCACAGGCCTCGCCCCACATCCCTAGGCCTCCAGGGATGTCCTATCTCCCTGACCTCTCCCCACACTCACAGGCCCAGGGAATGTGAGGTTTGGAAGGGGGCCCACGGAGGGGGCTGCCGGCTTCATCTATCACCGGGATGGATGGGGAAACTGGTCCAAGGTCCCATAACTCCCAGGGCAGAGCTAGGTCCTCCCTGACAATCTGCACCCCACCTCTGACCCTCAGACAGAGCCTCTCTCCAGGCCTGCATGAAAGCGGGCCAGATGTTCGTGGGTGCTGGGCTTAGTGTCAGGGCCAGCGGGAGGCTGGCCCGCCCCACAAGGTCGCCGCCCTTGCACTTCCCCTCCCAGCAGCTAATTAGCTCCAGGCCAGGTCCACCAGAGCTCCCAGGATGCTCCTGAGCTGGGACCTCACCCCGCCTGCTGAGGTCACAGCCCCCCCTGCCCGCCCTTGCTTCTCTTCCAGGCTCATCTCTCGCCCCTCAGACACCCTCCTCCTTCGCTCCCCTTTCATTCCACAGAAGAGGGGCAAGAAGCTCCGAGTCGAGATCACACAGCAACACAGAGGCAGAGCCCGGAGGAGACCTGCCCCAGTTCTCAGCCCAGCGCACCCACCCTTCCCACCCGCGGATGGTAACCCGCAGGGTGGGTGACGGTTCTACTCCTGTCTCCACCACCTCCCAGCTGCGTGACCTTGAGAAAATTACTTCCCCTTTGTGACCCTCAGTCTCTTCATCCCTAACAGGGATAATAACAGTCGTTGATGATAGGAATATAATCATCAACAATATTAAATGTCCTCAACACGTGAATATTAAATGAGATAAAATGTATAAGCACCCAGCACCTTACATACATATTGCTAGATCCTTTCTTTTCTCTCTCTATCTCTTTTTTTTTTTTTTTTTTTTGAGACGGAGTCTTGCTCTTGTTGCCCAGGCTGGAGTGCAGTGGCATGACCTCGGCTCACTGCAACTTCTGCCTCTCGGGCTCAAGCAATTCTCCTGCCTCAGCCTCCTGAGTAGCTGGGACTACAGGCACCCGCCACCATGCCTGGCTAATTTTGTGCGTTTTTGGTAGAGACGGGGTTTCACCATGTTGGCCAGGCTGGTTTCGAACTCCTGACCTCAAGTGATCTGCCTACCTTGGTCTCCCAAAGTGCTGGGATTACAGGTCATCCCGGAGCTTTCCTGAGTCCTTGTGGGCTGCCCCTCCTCCCTCTTCTGCATCATAACATTCTCTGGCTGAGCTTTTCCTGCAGGCCTCATCACTTGCTCCCTGTGTCCAGCTCGGGGCCAGACACAGGTGGTGTCCATCTCCCACTCCCATCTCTGCCTGTCCTCACTACATCATGTCCCTCCTGAACCAAACTCCTTCTCCAACTCACTGGCCAAGGAAAATAATAATAATGACCACAACAGCATTTATTATGAAAGCTAACATGTATTGAGGACTGACAATCCAGTCCCTATTCTAAGCACTTTTTTGTATTAGCTCATTTAATCTGTCCCCATTTTACAGATGGGGAAACCGAGGCACAGAAAGATTTAAGCAGTTAGCCCAAGGTCATACAGTTGGGACACAGTAAAGCCAGCCTTCAGCCCCAGCCCAGGCCAGTTCCAGTGCCTGGCCTTTTAGGAAGCCCTTTTGCTATAGGCAGGGGTCCACGTTAGACATAGCTTAGCTCCCCCTTCCTGGACAGCACCACGAGGCAACCCAAAACTCGGGACCCCAGGCAAGGCTGAGCATTGCACAACCCCAGCAGGTACCATTTCATGGAAGGCAACACAAGGAGCGCCCCCAGGAGTTGTACCACCCATTGGCCTAGCCCGGGGTGAGCGTTGAGGGTCCTCCTGCCCTGCCCAGACTTCTGCCGGCTTCTCCTGTCCTCACTGGAATTCTGCCATCTCGCAGCTGCCTTGGGAATTAGCTGTGCCCAATCGGCTTGCAGGCTATTTAGTTACCTTCCTACATACCCACCAGGCCTGGCCTCTGAACGGGACAGCAAGGTTTCAGTACGGCTAAAACCCAGCCCCGCCCTCGAGGCGCCCAGATCCTCCAGTTGTCCATGCATAGGAGCAGAGGCAGGTCCATTCCAAACGTCTATCAACCCTCCCTCCAACTGGATGCCTGATCAGACCCTCCCTCTGTCCCATCTGCACCGACTCCAGCCCCCACCAGGGACCATCTCACCTGGCTGGGGCAGGAAGCAAGGCAAGACAAAGTGCAGATGTATGGAATGAAAAGGGGGAGGTAAGGGAAAGGGATCCCTCTGGGGTATTTACAGACCACTTAGATCACGTCTTGAGCTGCTTTAGATGCCTCTGTGTTCAGCTTGGAAACAGAGCAGGAAAGAAACCTAGAAAGCCCCAAAGTGTGCTCCAGGGAAGGTCAATATTCACATCCCGGAGTTCCGCAGGCTGACTTCAGAGAGCTATAAAGACCCGGCACTACTTAGCATAGGGTCACCAAGCCAGAGAGTTGTTGAGAGTTGTCGCTTTACTCTTTTCCTTTCTTCTGATTAAACCAATGAGGAAGTTTCTATTTGCTGCCCCTCCAACCTGAACCTTTCTCAAGGCTCTAAACCTTCCCTGCTAACAGCAGTTTCCCTGGCAATGGGTGGCACCAGACAGCTAAAGTTTCCTTTCAAATAGAAATAAAGCAGAGGCATGGTCATTTTAATGAACACCTACTATGCATCAGGCACACAGCAACCTTATTCTACAGGCTCAGAGAGGTTAAGTTACTTGCCCAAGGTCACATGGCTAACGAAAGAGGTCCAGGTTCCTACGTGGGCTTATCAGACTCCCAGTTCATCTTTATCTTGTTTCTCTTCCTCCCTCACCTCAGCTCCTGTTAGCTCTTTGATCTCAGCTCCTGTTCATTCCTCAGATCTGCTGGCAGTCCTGCCTCAGGGCCTTTGCACTTGCTGTTTTCTCCACCTGGAATGCTGTTTTCAGATGCCCAGACATCTCACTCCCTTGCATCCTTCCTCGATTTACTCAAACTCACATCCAGACCATCCCCGACCATCCTGGGTAAGGTAGTGACCCCTCCCCTGCTCGCTTTTCTTGGTCAGTGCCTCTACTACATGTTATTTTACTTATTTTCTCTCTGCCTCCACTAGTGTGTGAGCTCCACAAAAGCAGTGACTTTGTCTATTTCTTGTTAACTGCTTTATCTCCAGCACCAGCACAGCACCTGGCTCATGGGAGGAGCTCAGTGAAGGTTTGTTAGATGAATGAACTGAAAGAGAGAGCAGAGCATGGGATCCTGGGCTCTGGCACAGTGCAGTTTCCAGTAAAGCCAATAACACTGTTTTGTTTTCATCATACTTCTTTTCTGGTTACCTTTTATTTCTTTATTATTTTTATTTTTTATTTTTGAGATGGAGTCTCATTATGTCGCCCAGGCTGGAGTGCAGTGGCGCGATCTCGGCTCACTGCAAGCTCCGCCTCCTGGGTTCATGCCGTTTTCCTGCCTCAGCCTCCCAAGTAGCTGGGACTACAGGCGCCCGCCACCATGCCTGGCTAATTTTTTTGTATTTTTAGTAGAGACGGGGTTTCACTGTGTTAGCCAGGATGGTCTCCATCTCCTGACCTCATGATCCGCCCACCTCAGCCTCCCAAAGTGCTGGGATTACAGGCGTAAGCCACCATGCTCGGCCCCTTTTATTTCTTATGGCAAATGATACTGATTATTTTTTTCATTTGTAGGAGTGATATAATCTTTTTTTTGAAATAGGGTCTCACTTTGTCCCCCAGGCTGGAGTGCAGGGGTGAAATCACTACTCACTACAGCCTCAACCTTCCTGGGATCAGGTAATCCTCCCAGCTCAGCCTCCAAAGTAGCTGGGACTACAGGTGAGCACCACCATGCCCAGCTAATTTTTGTATTTTTTTTTTTTTTTTTTAGAGGCAGGATCTCACCATGTTGCCCAGGCTGGTCTTGAACTCCTGGGCTCAAGCAGTCTGCCCACCTCAGCCTCTCAAGGTGCTGGGATTATAGGCATCAGCCACAGTGCCCAGCAATATAAATTTACCTTTTAAAATAAATGTATTTAATTGGAAAAGGTACATTTATTTAAAGAATAATATTTAATAAAAAGAGTTACAGGTGGGCATGGCAACAATCGGGAAGGTGGGACAGGAATAACCATGGCTGCATGATTGCTGGAGCCAAGGCCTTCTGTTTGTTAGATGGGGACGCTGAGGCCAGAGGGCACATGATTTGTTCAAGGTCACACAGCACGCTAATGGCAAGTGAGCATTTGCATGCTGGTCTTGTGGTTCCAGATGTGGCTTTTCTATTTTCCTTCTCAATTCTCTGTTCCATCCATCCGTGGACACTTAGGGGAGGAGACTGCCTAGGGGCCAGCCTGTGCTGAAGACAGTAGGACTGAGGATATAGTTTTTTTGTTTTTGTTTTTTTTGAATGGCTTTGTCTCCATCACCAGAGCAATGCCTGGCATGAGATAGGAGATCCACAGACCCTTATTAGGTGCAGGAATAGAAGAGAGAACAGAAGACTTGGAACCCCAAATCCCACCCTGAGGAGCCCCCAGTGAGCTGAGGAGTCAAGACAAGGCCTGTGGCAACAAAGTCAGGCTATGGAGGTCACATCTCCAATCTCCCTCTCACATCCAATCCAGGGAGTGGGTGCCCCTGTGCAGAGGAGCAGGGGTTGTGGTGGGTGCTGGAAATGGGGAGGTGCGCATGCCTTTTAGGACCTGGGGAGAGGCATGGGCCTCATGGGGCTGACTGGGTTACAGAAAGCAGCCAAGATGGTGGAGGGTTCCTTCTTCCTGGGGGCTCCCATGCCTTGGGCGGCACAGAGCGGTAGTGAAGGCTCAGGCCTCCGAATCTGACAGCTCTGACTTTGAGCCCAGCATCTGCCACTCACCAACATCATCTTCTTTATCTTCCTCATCATCTTCCTCTGTCTCCGAAGGGCTGATGTCAGGACTAAATACTTACTGCACCATCTGGTTGGAAGACAGAGCTAGGAAAATGCTAATGGCTGGTATTTTAGGGTAGGGGTCAGGTTCAAGGATGGGTTAAGGGCACCGGGATGTCTGCTCTGCATATTTCTTGACAACAGCTCTCTAAGGGTGTCCATTTCCATTTTCAAGAAGAGTCAGTGACATTCAAAAGCCCTATATACTCCTTTGGAGTTGGGACTGGGGAGGTGGGAGGCTGGGAGGCTGAATCGGGGCCTGGAGAGATCCCAGAAGTAAAGGGGTGGTAGAAACAGAGGCTCCAAGGGGTCAACCCTGTAGCCATGACTACACAACTGATTGGGGGCAGAGCTGGGACTGGAGGCCAAGCATGTGGGTCCCCTGCCCCACGCTCTGTCCATAGCTCCTAGCTGCTTCTAGACTCAAGAATTAGAAATTCACTTGAATTGGTCGGGCCTTCGAGACATGACAGCTCTTCCTGGCATTGTGGCTGAGTCGGCCCTGAATGACTCTGAACTTGAACCTGAGCCTTGGTATGCCCTTCTGCAGAATGGGGAGAATGGTACTGCCCAGCTCGTCTCACTCAGCGTCCTGAAAGTCAAATAATGAAATCATTCTCATTTCCTTTTTCTTCTTCTTCGAATTATCCTGACTATTCTGATTGCTTAGCTGCCTGGTTCAGCCTCTGAAGGTCCAGGGGACACCTGAAGACAGGGCTGACGTCTTGTCCACCTGGAGACTTGGAAAATGGGGTCTTAGACGCCGGGGCTTGGGGCTCTGCAGAAGCATGAGTAGCGCTTTCCCAGGGCCCCGCCTGAGAAGGATTTAGGGTTTGGCTTGCAATGTGGTGAACTGCTAAATATGCAGATTATGGGTACAAATCCGGGGGTGGCAGGAAAGGCAGCCAGGCAGGGTGGGGGGCGTGCTGGAGGTCTGGCTGCTCGACCATGTGTGTGGGTGGGGCCCGCTGTTCCAGATGGAGTTGCAGCTGTGCCTGCTGCGAGGTTTGGGTGGGGCTGTAGCATGTGGCCTCTCCTCCACCTCCTCAGCCTCCTCCAGGCCTCCAGGCCAGGCTGGCTCTCCTTATCAGGGAGCAGCCACTGAAACCCACAATTCTGGCTCCTTTCAGTGTCTGGAGAGGCGGGTGGTAGAGATGAGGGACACCGTCATTGTTCAGATGGGGAAATTGAGACGCAAAGACACGGAGTTATGTATCCCTGGCCAATGGCAACTTAGAGGGCAGGCTTGAAACCAAAGGCTGATCTCTTGACCCTGTGCACTGGGCATGGCTGGGCAGGAGGTGGCCCAGGTTCTATTCCAAACAGCCCAGGGAACAAGGAGCGGCCATTGTCCTCAGAGACGCTAAGACGCCCCTGCCCCGGGTTGCTGGCTCCAATGTGGTGGGGTTGTCAGAGACATTTGAACTAGAGCTACTCCATCTTGAATAGGGGCTGGGTGAAATGAGGCCAAGACCCGCTGGGCTGCATTCCTAGGAGGTTGGGCATTCTAAGTCACAGGATGAGACAGGAGGTCAGCACAAGATACAGGTCACAAAGACCCTGCTATTACAACAGGATACAGTAAAGAAGCCGGCCAAAATCCACCAAAACCAAGATGGTAATGAAAGTGACCTCTGGGCATCCTCACTGCTCATTATATGCTAATTATAATACATTAGCATGCTAAAAGTCACTCCCTCCAGCACTGTGACAGTTTACAGACGCCATGGCAATGTCAGGAAGTTACCCTATATAGTCTAAAAAGGGCAAGAGTCCTCAGTTCCTGGAAATCTCTGCCCTTTACCCAGAAAACTCATGAGTAATACACCCCTTGTTTGGCATATAGTCAAGAACTATAAGTATACTCATTCGAGTAGCCCGTACTGCTGCTCTGCCTTTGGAGGAGCCATTCTTTCATTCCTCTACTTTATTAATAAACTTGCTTTCACTTTACCCTATGGACTTGCCCCCAATTTTTTCTTGTGAGAGATCCAAGAACCCTCTCTTGGGGTCTGGATCGAGACCCCTTTCCGGTAGCAGACCTGTGACTTGACCCCACATCTGAGCTTCACCACACGAACCCTGTTACCTCTTCAACAGCCCTGGGAAGGGACGCCTTAGGGAGGAAGAGACCTCTGCAATGAACACATGAACACATGGGTGGGGAGGCATTTCTTAGATTAGCTGGAAGTTTTATAGAAAACAAAGTCTGGTTGCCTGAGAGGAGAGGAATCAGGATGTTGTCATATTTTAGAGGAAGGATGAGGATGATGGAGCAAGAGGGGAGGCTGAGGTTCCAAAGGGGCCTAAAGAGACTGAGCCTTCCTCTTTTTCAGGTAGGAGAAACAGGGCACAGAGAGGGGTAGCAATTCGTACAGCACAGCAGTTGAGAGCACAGCAGTCGAGAGCCAACAAACTCAGTATCTCGGGTTCCTTCCTATACTGCCTGGGGTGAAGGAAGGGGTGCTGAGCACTGAGACCTGAAGCCATCTTATCCTTTTTTTTTTTTTTTTTTTTTTTGAGATGGAGTCTCATTCTGTCACCCAGGCTGGAGTGCAGTGGTGCGATCTCGGCTCACTGCAACCTCCACCTCCCAGGTTCAGTGATTCTCTTGCCTCAGCCTCCCGAGTAGCTGGCCACCATGCTCAGCTAATTTTTTTGTATTTTTAATAGAGATGGTGTTTCACCATGTTGGCCAGCCTGGTCTCGAACTCCTGACCTCAAGTGATCTGCCCACCTTGGCCTCCCAAAGTGCTGGGATTATAGGCGTGAGCCCCCGCGCCTGGCCTGAAGTCATCTTATTAGCTAAAGTGTAGCTTTGGGTACGGCGTCTCCTTCCTGCCCCAGCCCAGGGCTTCTTCACCTAACCCCTCAACTGGTCCTGAGAATTAAGCAAATTGGCAGTCACCCGGGCTCTCAGAGGGCCCACCCTTCCTCCTGATCCTGCCAGTTCTCATGCCCCCACATACAATACAGAGAAAAATCCGCCAGTGAACGCAGCTCTCCCCAGCTTCCTGTTTCTGGGTCCTGGACCCCCCATCCTGTTGGCCTAAAGGGGACCAAGATGGCCTCTGAGAAGCGGGACTATCGAGGCTCAGAGTGGCACACAGTCAAGGTGTAAGGACAAATCCACCAAAAGAAACTAAAAGATAGAACCAGAAACACTGGGCCCTGGGAAAAGAATCCCACTCAGGCATCTGTGTGTGAAAAAGATGTTTTCTCCTTAGAGGAAAATGGCACTTCCCAGAGCACGACTGCTCCAGGTGAAGGCAGTCCCCCACTGCGTTCAGCCAAGGTCACCAGAAGGAGGGCAAGAGTGGTGGGGCCTCGGCCCTGACCCTTCCCTCCTTCACAGCAGGGCCGGCTTGCGGATTTCAGTAGCAGGGGCTTCCCGTGCCCCACCCACCCATGGGGATCCACATTCCACCCTTTGAGATTCATTGCTTTGCCAAGGGCGAAGAAAACTAAGCATGAACTGGGAGTCTGATAAGCCCAGGTAGGAACCTGGACCTCTTTCATTAGCTGTGTGACCTTGGGCAAGTAACTTAACCTCTCTGAGTCTGTAGAATAGGGTTGCTGTGTGCCTGATGCATAGTAGGTGTTCATTAAAATGACCATCCCTGTCCTTTGTTTCTACTTGAAAAGAAGTTTTTGCTGCCTGGTGCCATCCATTGCCAAAATCCATGGGCTCCTTCTTTCCCTAGCAATAACAGACTTTAGGAAAGTGAACAAGTAGCATCAGTAGCCACCAGGCACTGTGCTGGGTGTTTCCATCACTGCAGAGGAAACTGAGCACAGAGAGAGACGAAGTCAGTTGCTCAACATCACACAGCAACTAAGAGACTAAGGAGACTCAAGTCTAGATCTGTGTAATTCCAAGACCTTGGTCTCTGCAGTCCACCGTGCCATCTGCCTCTTCTTATGATTCACAGACTTCAGACTCAAAAGATCAGAGGCATTCCGACAGGAGAGTAAGAAAGTGGCAGTGGCAGGGAAGAGGCTTTGGGGCCTCAAGAATGAGGGCTCAGGCTGGTGAGGCCTGGTGGAGCAGAGGAGGGGAACTCACGGTGGAGAGGGCACCAAGGTCAAAGTTTGTCTCCTCATAGCTTTGCAGAGGGAGGTCCCGCACCATGCTCCCGGGTGACTCACATGAAGTGCGTTACCGGGGGAGGATCAGGCTGGGGCTGGTAGGGAGCTGAGCTATCCAGGAGGAGCCAGGAATGGACCCACACCTCGGACATTCATCTGCCTGGCCCTTTGCTCCCTGGAGGGCAAGGATTTCTCCTTTGCCTTTGGGGGAAACTGGGCACCAACTGTCAAGCTCTAGAATTAGAGGAGTCTTCTCTGAGCCTCAGAAAGCTTGGTCCCCTACCCCCTCCAGGCTGGCCACAAAAGGAGGGCTTCCATCCTGGGAAAGGACCCCTTCCCCCATGCCACTTGATTGAATTCAGCAGAGCCTTTTATTTCTAATTCAGGAAGTGTCCTGACAATAAAGACATCATCAATATATTAACTCACCTCTTCAAAATTTCAAGCACATTCTAGGGAGAGATTTTCCAAACGGAAAACAAAACTGCAATAAAGTGAACAATGTGGTCCCAGCTGTCGTTGCTTTTATGATCGGGCTTTGAGAGGACGGCACCAGGGGAGATGAGAAAAAAACTCGCAAAACAACCCGGAAGGGTGAACTCCCACTGTCAAGACGTTCATTCCAAAATCGGCCTCCACGCCTGGGCATTGCTTCATTTCCATCTGCCTTTGCAAAGAAATTGCCAAGAAGCAATGGCTATTTGCTATTTGTTCACAGTGGCCGTGCTTTTAACCCTATTGACAACCTTGTGGAAAGGCATTCCAGTGCATTCTGGTATCTGTGAGGTTGCTGGTATCTGTGAGGCCTGTTTTGTTGCACACAGGAGCTGTACTAGGATTTATTTGTGGGACCTGGTTCAATTCAGGGCTCACAGTACGCTGTGGAGGAGACAGGTCTCTCCCCATGACATAGGTGAGGAAAGCTAAGGTTTGAAGAGGGACTGGCTTGTCCAATGTCACACAGCTAGAAGGCAGCAGGGTTGGGATGGGGTCCCAAGGGCTCTGACCCGAACCCCCTTGCTGAGAGGAAGCCAGAGGGAGGCGATGACAGAGGAGCGAGGCCCCTGAGGCTCTGGTTTTGGTGGAACTATCAGGGCCCCTCCAGCCCCACACCTTCCTTCACCTTCTGAGTCAAAGTGGAACCAATTTCTCCTTAGTGGGAATTCACGAATTCACACATTCACTCAACAGATATTTACAGAGAATCTTCTAGAAGCCAAGGCTTGTGCTAGTGCAGGGATGGCATCATAAATAAAACACCAAGTGTGGAAAGGTAGCAGGCAGGCCCCCGGCCTTACTGAATTTCAGGGGTCAGGCCCCTCCCACCTGTCGCCCCCAGGGCCCTTCTTGAGGATCTGCCTCAGGTTCTTCTCCACGCAGGAGGAGCAGCCCTCAGACAGGGGTGGGCCGAGGCTGCTGGGGGAGCCTTTGCTGGCTCCCCTTATTGCTCCCCACACCCCACCCGACGTCTACCCCAGATCCTTATGGTTTCAGCTCTGTCTGGGATAGGCCTGGGGCAAGGGAGCCCCCAGAGAGCCTGGGTCAGCTCGGATGAGGGGGCGGGGAGGAAAGCGGGTCGAGCAGAGGTGTGTTTTGAAATCTGCTTCCTTTTGGCCACGCTTGAACTTCCAAGCGGCAGGGTTTGACTGACAGGCGGGGAGAGGGAGAGCCTGCTCCCCACGGAGCCCGGGGCAGAGATGGAGGGGCTCTGCAGGGGCTCAGGCCCGGGGGGCTGCATCCTCTGCCCTTCCTCCCCCTACTCTCAGCAGGGCCTGGAGAAGGGGGTGGGTCTGGGCTCCCTGAGCCCAAAAAGGCCAGGGTTGGGGTGAGGATCTTGGGGTCAGAGACAGAAAAATCTCAGAATCACAGCAGGTCTGAGCCCCTTGGAACGCGTCTGACCACAAAAACAAAAGCACCATCAACAAGGACGGGTATCATTTACTGAACTCCTGCTGCTCATTCGTCAAAAGCTCAGAACATTGCCCTGTGTGCCTCGTAAATGCTGTAGGCATTTGTGAACCAGTAAATAAGGGGAGCCCTGGGACTGCCATTTGTCCTTCCCTCTCAGAAAGCGAACGGATGGATCCTCTACTTTTCCCTGGCCCTCCCCTGTGTCTCGGGGCTGACTCCTGCCAACTGTTGATATATTTCCCAGGCTCCTTTGCCCGCCGGCTTCCTGTTAGTCTTGGCCAATGGGAAGAACTGGATGGAGATCAGCGGGCGGGGCGGAAGGGAGGAGCCAGGGTCTTCCTCCTCATTTCTCTCTGCTTTAGTGGCAACTTGGGAAGTGGTTGGGTCACCGCCAGGGTTCCAGCTCCCATGGGCAGCCCCCTGCCTGACTGTGGTTCCGGTGTCCCACACCTAGTCTGGTTCCCAGGCTTTGGGTATCGGCACTTCCTCCCCGGTCTCTGGAGTCCCAGGTTGTCACAGCTGCCTGCCGCTGCTTGTCGGTGGGTGGCTCACCATCCCCGGTCAGGCCTTTCAGCTCCTCCAACACCTTCCGAACTAGCTCCCTATATCACATGCCCTCTGTTGAAATACCTGACTTGAGTTCTGGTTTCCTAGCTGGATCTTGACTAAGAGAAGCCCCTACTATGTGCCAGGCTGGGATCCCTGCCTTCAAGGAGCTTACAATCTAGTGCGGAAAGGGACGTTTGTCAAATCATCCCATGAATATGCATAAAAGTTCAGACAGCACCCAGTGCTGTGAAGGCCACTGTCGGTGAGGGAAGACCCTAGAGAGGAGGCTTGATCTCACTTGGGGCCTGGCAGGCACCTCGAGGAAGGGATGTATCTAAGAGGTAGTGTGTCTGATGCTCTGTGTACACCATTTCTCAACCTTGGGGCAATCCTGCAAGATCAGGGTCACTGTCCCCATTTTGTAGATGAGGACATGGAGGCCCAGCGAGGAGCACCCTCTGTTGCAGCCTCAGGATCCCGGGGAGACTGGCTGTGACTGGGACTCGGGTCTACCCACTCTTTGCTGCCTACTGTCTGGGACTGACATTTTGCAGAAGAGGGAATCAGCCTAGAGAAGCACAGTGACTCCTCCAGGGCCACCAAGCCAGGGGAAACCAGGTCACCTCGTCCTGGTGTAGATCCTGAAGGCTGCCTCTGCCCTGTGAGATTTCCCATGTCACTGCTCATTTGCACACTCAGCGCTTCCTCCTCCTCCTCCCAAGCTTCCTTCCAATTGGCGGCTGAGGCAGCATCAGAAACCACAGTGCTGGGCCCAGTGCCAGAGCCTCCCCCTCAGTGACCCCCTTCCCACGTCCTGAGTTTCTGAGACTAGCTCTGTCCAGGGGGAAGCTTTTCCAGCCCTTTCGAGCCCACGTGCACTCGAGAGTATGTGTGAAAACGTGCACTTACCTGGAGCATGTCTTCCCTGTGGTGTGCAGCGAGGGGCAAATAGGGCCCTCTCTAAGATTAGCCCCCAACCCCCGCCCCCGACACACACACACACTAATTTCCACAAGTATGGGCAGGACTTTCTGCTGAAGTCATCACAGATGGGTGGAGTTCGGGGGTGCTTGGTATCCTGGGGGTTTTCAGGGCAGTGTAGCCCCTGCACCAGGCGCTGCGTGCCTGGGGAGACACCAACAGCTTGCTGGCTAGGTGGTGGCCAGGCAGGGACAGAGAGCAGGCCCAGAGGGAGCCGGGGAGGCAGGACTCCAGGACATCTGGGCTGGGGGAAGGTGGAAAGTGCAAAATATCCGTGCAGGAGGTGAAGGCCTGGATGTGTAAGGCCCTGAGGTCTCTGACAGGAAGTGAAAACCTCAGGGAACTGGAAGCTTGGCTGGGAACAGGCCGTGAGAGGGAAACTCGGCCACACGGAGAAGCCGGCCGAGGCCTCCTTGAGCAGATGGGGATACTGAGGCTGAGGCAACTGCTTTGCTCAAGGGACTGGGAGTCTTTTTTATTTTCCACCCCACCGTTCCTAGATTAAAGCCAGCTGAGAATATTGCTTCTGTGACAGCCCGATTACCTTGGCCTAAATTTTCTAGTGGGTGAGGAGAGGCAGCACTGTGCTAACATAGCCAGCTTTTTTTTTTTTTTTTTTTAACTTTTTTAGTGACAGGGTCTTACTCTATCACCCGGGCTGGAGTGCAGTGACACAATCAATGACTTGCTGCAGCCTTGAACTCCTGGTTTCAAGCAAACCTCCTACTTCAGCCTCCTGAGTAGCTGGGACCACAGGCATATGCCACCACACCTGGCTAATTTTCCAATTTTTTGTACAGACAGGATCTCATGTTATTTAGGCTTGTCTGGGACTCCTGGCCTCAAGCAATCCTCCTGCCTCGGCCTACCGAAGTGCTGGGATTACAGGCATGAGCCACTGCACCCGGCCACCAGCATTTGTTAAAGTCTCACCACGGATCAGGCTCTCATCTAAAAAACTTGAAGTTGTCATTCTGTGTCCTTACAGTAACCCCTCAAGGTAGGTGTCACTCTCATCTCCATTTTACAAATGAGAAAAGAGGCTAACTAAGGGAAGTTAAAGAGCTTGCCGAAGATCACATAGCCAGAATTTTAATCCGAGGATCTGGAGCCTCTTTTGCGGTGCCATCAAAGGCTTGCTGGCTCCCCCTGGTGTGCCCTCAAGGCAGCTGCCTGTGACTGTCCTGTAGGGGAAGCTTTGCAGATAGGGGACCTTTGTAGATCGTCGATATCCTGGGCTCTGCGCATGCTGTGGTTCCTCTGCCTGAAATGCTCTTCCTGCCTCTTCTTCTTCTTCTTCTTCTTCTTCTTCTTCTTCTCCTTCTCCTTCTCCTTCTCCTTCTCCTTCTCCTTCTCCTTCTCCTTCTCCTTCTCCTTCTCCTTCTTCTTCTTCTTCTTCTTCTTCTTCTTTCTTCTTCTTCTTTTTTTTTTTTTTTTTGATACGGAGTCTTCCTCTATTGCCCAGGCTGGAGTGCAGTGGCTCAATCTTGGCTCACTGCAACCTTCGCCTCCTGGGTTCAAGAAATTCTCCTGCCTCAGCCTCCCGAGTAGCTAGGACTACAGGCGCACACCATCATGCCTGGCTAGTTTTTTTGTATTTTTAGTAGAGACGGGGTTTCACCATATTGGCCAGGCTGGTCTTGAACTCCTGACCTCGTGATCTGCCTACCTTGGACTACCAAAGTGCTGGGATTACTGACGTGAGCCACCGCGCCCAGACTTCCTGCCTCTTTTCTAGTGTCCTGGCCTGCTTTGGAGCTCAGTCTGAAGTTAGCTCCTGCTTTGGGGGTTACCTCCCCCTGAACTCCAGGCTAGGCTGGGTTTCCCTGTTTTTCCTCCCAGAGCACCTGTATATCTTCTTTGTAGCATTCATTCATTCATTCATGTTTCATTCAGTAAGTATCTACTCAGAGCACATGGTAAGTCAGGTGCTGGAGACAGAGCACAAAGGGGTCACAACTCCCACCCTCGTGGTGTGCACTGTCTAGTGGGGAAGACAGGAAAACAAAGAAATGCATAACCTTGTACCAAATACTCATACTCCTACTTTTTGAAAAATCAGGAAAGGGGATGGAGATTGATGGGGTGGTATTTTAGACATGGGGGTCCGGAAAGGTCACTCAGAAGAGGTGACATTTGAGCAGAGATGTGAGCAAAGTGATTTGTCATAGCATGCCTTAATTATTCTCTGAACTTCTGTCTCATGCCTGTCTTTTCTACTGGGCTATAGCTGAAGACAAAATATTTGCCAGTCTTGTTCATGAAGGTATTCCAATGCCTAGAACATTGCTTTTGCACATAGTAGGTGCTCAACAAACGGGCCTTGCACACAGTAGGTGAGTAAATGAGTGAGTGAATAAATGAATGAATGAATGAATGATGGAGGCAGAAAAATCTTTGCAGGCTCAAGTGCTAACTCTAGTCCTGTGCTCCACAACAGTTGCAGACATGTCAATCTCCTCCTCAAAGCCTCCCTTTCCTCCTAAATAGGGAATTAATGGGGAGCTTGACCGATCCTTTGGGACAGGTGTTAAGAATCTCAACTGGTTAAAAAATCTGGACCCAAAATAGATGATTAAGAGACCCAGAAGGCAGTGGGGCTGTGAGGACGTGGAGGGCAAAAAGGCATCCAGTTTGCATTGCTCCAATTCCTCCCCAGACAGCCAGCCTCGATGGACTGTCTGTAGTCCACACTTTTTTTTTTTTTTTTTTTGAGACTGAGTCTCGCTCTGTCACCCAGGCTGGAGTGCAGTGGTGCAATCTCGGCTCACTGCAACCTCCGCCTCCTGGGTTCAAGCGATTCTTCTGCCTCAGCCTCCCGAGTAGCTGGGACTACAGGTGCGTGCCACCACACCCGGCTAATTTTTGTGTTTTTAATAGAGGCAGGGTTTCACCATATTGGCCAGGCTGGTCTCAAACTCCTGACCTCATGATCCACCCACCTCGGCCTCCCAAAGTGCTGGAATTACAGGTGTGAGCCACCACGCCCAGCTGTTGTCCACACTCTTATTTGAGCCAGAGTACCCATCAGGGAGGCTGAGGTGGTGGGAGAAGGCTGCTTCCTGACTAACAGCTGTGCCAACTCCAGAGCTGCAGGTCCAGGCAGGCAGGGACCTCAACCCCAGCACAAAAGGATGTAGAGGGGTAGGAGGCCAGGGTGACTTGGGAGCCAGGGGCTTTATCCTACCAAAGGAAAGGATCTCTCCTGGAGCGAGGTCAGTGGAGTGGGTGTTAGCGAGGGCCTGGGCTTTAGGGAGGCTCATGGATGACCCAAGAGTTTCATGCCTGAAGGCTCCTGTGCTCCCCCAGTGAGAAGGATCAAAAGTCCACCTGCAGGGTCTCAGCATTCCCTAGGTCCGCCCTCCAGAGCTGAGACCTAGCTGAGAGAGAGGAGGTGTGAGAAGAGCTGAGGGGCCTTGGAAAGAGTGTGGGACATCCTAGAACCCTGGCTCAGCCACCTGCTGGCTGTGACCCTGGCGGGGCATGTCCCTTCTTTGGATCTCAGTTTTTCCACTCTGTAAAATGGGTTGATCATCATAAGGCTGACCTCACCAAATTGCTATAAGGATCAAATCAGAGGACATATGTGAAGTCCCATTACTGTGCATATGTGAAGTCATATCACTGAATCTATGGGATGCCAGACTCAGAAAAACAGTAGCAAGGGAAAAAGAGAAAACTTGTTCCATGTTTGCTGATTTTCCCCAAGGCTGGTGCTTCACGGACTTGACAAGCACTTTTGTATTTTGGAATCAGACAGACCTTGGTTTGAATCCTAGCAAGTGATTCTCCAAGGCTCAGTTTTCCTGTCTATGAAATGAATGGATGAACACAGTCAGTAATAAAATACTGAAATGCTGAGCACAGCCCCTGGCTCATAGTAGAGCGCAATAAATGGTTTAGTTAATATCACAGGTTAAAGACGAAGAATAAGGGGGATCCCTGCCTTGATGGACAAGGAGAAAAGCAGGGCCCTGATGAGGGAGCCCCGCACTGCCAGGATGGAGCAGGAGTGTCAAAGGAAGCCTTCCAACAGCGGTGGCACAGGCGCCAAGGCAACAAGGAAGGGTGGGAGCTCTGCAAGGCACCGGGCACTCCAGGCAGAAGGACCTGTGTGGGGAAAAGCAAGGCAGCTGGAAAAAGCAAGCGGAGCTGCGAAGGCGCCAAGGTATAAACACAGACCAAGAGCCAAGGGTGGGGCCGGTACAGGGGGTCACTGGGAGATGCCAGCACCCTCCACCCAGGCGTCCTTCGGGGCCAGCCAACCTAAGGAAGGAGGCCAGGCCTCACGCCCCTCTGTGCCTGACCCCTAGCCACACTGCCCTGTGGGGCCCGGCCTGGTTTCCCCTCCACTGCTCAGGGCGGAAATCCAGCAGGGGCAGCCAGGCCGACATCCAACCCTCCCACCGCAGGCCTGGCCTCAGCCCCTCTCCGGGCCTTTAACGAAGCCATAAATCCCCCGCAGGGCCGTGGGAGGGGCGGCGGCCCTGCACATGTCCCGGCGGCCGGACAGAGGCCGGCATCTCTGGCTGGCGGTGACTGAGCGCCCCGACACCCCATCACTCATTCCCCGCGCCCAGCTGCCCCCGCCTCGGCAGCAGCCCATCCATCTCAGCCGGCAGCTTTCAAGTCCGGCCCCAGGCCCCTCTGCTTAGTGTTAAGATGAGCCCGGCTCACGCGGACTGTTCTTATTTATCTGGAGGTTCGTCCCACTGTGGCCATCACTCTGCGGGGCGGCCCCAGTTCCCGGGACAGGCCCCCAGAATGCGATCCTCCTCCGTTTCCTTTCCCGCCCCCACCTGGCAACGCACAGAGAAGGCCTGCAGCCCGAGGGCGGATTTGTTTCAGTCGCAGGTCGCTGGGCGTTTTGACCTCTGCTGTTTTCTTGGAAGGCTTTCAGCAGCCCTTTGAGGCATCAGTGTCCGTGCTCTGTAGCGGTGGAAACTGAGGCACAGAGAGGGAAGCTCAGAGTTCTCCTGGCTGTCTGGCTCTGATGCAGGACCAGTGGCCAATCTTTGGCCAAATCCTGCGAGGCCTCCTGGGGCCTTTGCATGGCTGCCTTGCAAGTTTGGTCAGATCAATTTTCGTCCAGCATTCTCTGCTACACTGCAAAGTCCTCCAGGGCAAGGATCCACTCACGGAGGCCTTGCTGGACTCAGTCATGGGAAGGGGGAGATTAGTGTTGGGGTTTTGGGCATGTTATGCATTGAATGTTTGTGTTCCCCCCAAATTTACATGTTGAAGCCCTAACCTCCAATGTGAAGGTTTTAGAGGTGGGGTGTTTGAGAGGTAATTAGGTTGAGATGTGGTCATGAGGGTGGAACCCCCATCTTGGGATTCACGTCCTTATAAGGAAAGGAAGAAACACCAGAGTTACACCTCTCTGTCTCTCTCCTTGCCACTTGAGAACACAGTGAGAAGGTAGCCAGGAAGAGAGCCCTCACCAGGAACATAATCTGCCGGCACTTTGATCTTGGACTTCTAGCTTCCAGAACTAGGAGCAATAAATGTCTGTTGTTTAAGCCACCCACCCTGTGGTGTCTTGTTAAGCCAGGCCAAGCTGACTACAACAGAAGGGTCGTTCTGGAATCAGATAGAACTGAAGCCCTGACTCTGCCACCTCCCAGCTTGGGGGGAATCGTTGATGTCTTAGTCACAGTTCCTCTTCTGCAAAATGAGCACAAGTGCCAGAGCCCTCCAGGTCACACATGCAAACTTCCAGGAGCCATGTGGGTCTGTCAGGGAGCTCCATGAAGGCCCACAGCTTCATTTATGATCACCATCACCCTCTCAGGGGTGCTTGGCATGGGGTCCTCAGAGGGCAGATGGCCTTCTGGGTTTAATCTTGTCATCTCAACAGTTCAGGGGCCCTCGCAGACCAGACATATTTTGCCTGTGGTCAAGGAATCCAGGCTGGGCAGAGTCTTCCATCTTGGAGGCGACTGGAATTCTGACAGCCAAGCATGGAAGCCACAGTCATCTCTCAGAGGATGACCACCTGTGTCTTTGAGGAATAAGAAGGGGGAAATAAATTAATTATTACTTTAAAACAAAGTTTGTTCAAGAGATAGAAATCTTTCAAAACACAGGATAATAAAAGCCACCTCCCTTGGGGAAAAGTCTGGGAAGCTCTAACTTGGTCCTGCCCCAAGCCCCACACCCCCACCAAGAGCCCTCTGAGGGGCGGTCTCCATTCTACAGGGGAAGATATTGAGTGTCAGAGTGCTGACCTGACTTGCCCCAGGTCACACCTTTAGAGGCCAGGCCAGGCCAGGCCTCCGCTCTGCAGAGGTAGGGCCCTTGGGCAGGAAGAACTGGCCTGGCACAGGCTTCAGGCAGACCCGCATCCCTGCCTGGCTCTGCCACCTGCTGCTGAGAGATTTTGAGCAAATCACATCTCCTCATCAACCAAGATGGTGTGAAACCACTTGAGTGAGTTAAAGCACTGTTCTCTAGGTGACAAGGCTCTAGTGCACATTTTCAGAGATGGGGTCTGGTTCCTCCTGACCCCCCAGGTTCTGGTGTCCACGGTCCCCAGTTCCCACAGCCTCCTTCTGCAGCCCCTGATGCCTGTTCTAGGGGCCGAGGGCTAGAGGTCTGGCTGCCAGGGTGAGGTGGTGCTTCTTAGAATAGGGTCCCTTGTCTTCTGCTGCTTCCCAGACATGGAGATCTCTTTGATCATGGAAGATGGGCTAAAGATGCTTGTATCTTTGAATTTTTGGTTATAGTCCTTTTGGACCTCGGGACATGGAAGACAGAAGAAGAACTGGCTTATTCATGGGGAGGCAGCACAGACATCCAGGCTGCTATTTTTACACTTGGAAAATGGATGAGAGGGAGGTTGGTTAAATGATCTGTTAGGAACCTCCTGGCTGAGGGTTGGCTGCAGACATCCCTGGTGCATCTCCTGCAGGAGGCAGGCTTCTCTGGGTCCCTGTCCACCCAGAGGATTGCAAACCCCACAAAGCCCAAGCCCAGAAAGATTTGAGTGACCAGCCCCTTAGAAAAATCAGGATCAGAGAAGGAAAGTGGTTTACCCAAGACCACACAGGATATGAATGGAGAAGCCCAGGGAACAACCCAGGTGTCCCGACCCCAGCCCAGGGCTCACCCACTGCACCATGCCATGTGCGTTAAACAACCTGATTGTTGAATGAATGAACAAATGAAAGTTCATTTAGAAGCTCTAATCACCTCCCTCTCTCTTCTCCCTTATTCCCTCCCTTCTTTTTTTCTTTATTCTTTCTTTTCTCCTTCCTCCTCTCCCTCCTCCATTCTCTTTACACACACACACACACACACACACACACCCCAAATGTCTGCTCTGGGCCAGGTCTTGTCTTGGCTACTGGAACACTAACTAGCTGACCACATGCCTGTCCTCTGGTGACTCTCAGAGAAGTGGGCAAGATCCTCTCAGAAGCCCCCAGACCTTGCTGGGTGCCTGGGAGTCCCTGATCTCCCTGGAGCCCAGCCTTGGCTGCCTTCTCTCTCTTCTGCAGGTCACGCCCAGGATGTGAAGGGGTTAAAAAGCACAGGGCAGGGCAGGCCCACGCTCACTCATTTGGCCCAGCCACCTATCCAGGCCACTTCTGGGGGCTTGCAGTGTTTCTTTTTCTCTTCCTCCTCTCCTTTTTTTTCTAAAGAAACATATGTCACTCGCCATAACTCATGTGCTTATTATAATTATGACCATATGCTTAATGGGATGTAATAAAACCACTGCTAACCTGGCCCCTGCTCACAAATCTCCCCCCATCACTCCCACTCCACTGGCCGATCTGCCGGCCCCTGGGCTGCTTCAAAATGTTTTCATGGCAAGACTGACCTGAGGAAAGGGGAGAAAAAAGGGGAAGTGAGCTCAGTCATTCATTCTTTTGTTCATGTGTTCATTCATTCATCCATTTGCTACTTATTGAATACCTACTATGTGCCAAGTTCTAAGAGGGCACCAGTGAATGGTACAGACAGAGCTGATGGGAAGGGTAGATGTCTTATAAACAGATAATTCAACATTTATTTAATTACAGCTAGCCACAGAGGAGACTGCATTACAGGAAGGCCCACCAAGACTGAATTGTTGCCTTCCAGAGCAGAACCACATCTGATGCATTAATATACACTGTCCTTAGTAGGGCTTTTATAAATATTTGTTCAATGAATAAATGAATGAATGAATGAGTGAGTTGTAGATCAGAAAATGCTTTCCTGAATAACAGAGATTGAGTTATAAAATAATGCCTCCTAAGAGGAGTGCATAAGCGAATCCATGGGGTACATGAAGAAAATAGTAAAACTTTCATTTATTGTTATTTGTCAATCTTAAAAACAAGATACCAAAATTTTCTCTGATGTTTTATGCACAGATTGATGGCAAAGTATATGGCATATGTATGTAAAATTTATAAATAGTTATGCATACAGTTGGCGGAGGGTGTGCTCAATGTTTTTTGATTTGTTTTGAGACAGAGTCTCATCCTGTTGCCCAGGCTGGAGTGCAGTGGTGCAATCATAGCTCACTGCAGACTAGGCCTCCTAGGTTTAAGTGATCCTCCTACCTGAGCTTCTGAAGTAGCTGGGGCCACAGGCACACACTATCACACCTGACTAATTTTTTATTTTTTTTAGATAAAGGGTCTCCCTATGTTGCTCAGGTTGGTCTCAAACTCCTAGGCTCAAGCAATCCTCATGCCTTGGTCTCCCAAAGTGTTGGGATTACAGGTATGAACTACCATGCCCATCAATGTTTTTACTGTTGGAGAGGGATACATGATCAAAAGAGTTGGGAAACCTCTTGTTTTTGCCTGCGTGGGCTGCCATACAAAGTATCTTAAGTATCTTAAACAATACCTTAAACAACAGACATTTATTTCTCATGTCCGGAGTTCTGGAGGCCGTGAAGTTCAAGATCAAAGTGGTGGCTGATTTGGTTCCTGGTGAGATCTCTCTTCCTGGCTTGCAGGCAGCCACCTTCTCACTCTGTCCTCACATGACCTTTCCAGAGAGAAAGAGAGAGAGCTCTTCCTCTTCTTATAACATCACCCATCCCATTGGATTGGGAATTCACCCTTATGATCTCATTTAACCTTAATTACTTCCTAAAAGCCTTGTCTCCAATGCATTCCCACTGGGGGTTAGGGCTTCAACATGCAAAGTTTGGGGCAACACATCTCTAAAGGATGGAATAGTGAGGCTCTGGGTGAAGGTGCTGGGGGAAAGGAGAGTCCACATTCTCGAAGCTGTAGCTGCATCAAAGGCCCGATATGGGAATAAGTTTGGGGTTAGAAAGAACAAAATTCTTTCATTTGCATTCTCTATTCTTGGAAAAGTATTACATCAAGTCGGACTTCATGCTGGTGTGAACCTAATACCCTTTCAGATGTCCAAAACAGTGTAGGAAGTAGAGACAGAGTAGGATATGTGGTTCCTGGACAGAGGGACAGCTGGAGGGAGGTAATGATAATATAAAAATGTAGCATAGATGGAATGTTACTGTGTGTGCCTCAGGCAAGCACCCAAGGCATAAAGCTCAGTTCTCCATTCTCCAGATGCCAAGAATCCCCACGCACTCCTCCCTCTCCAGTCTCTCCTTGCCCCAGCTGGGGACATTTCCTGAATTGTTCCCAGCATCCACTCAGGCTCTCCCATGGTCTAAACCCTCAGAGCTTCCTGCCACACTCAGAATACATGCAGAGCCCTTCCCATGGCCTACAGGCCTTGCGTGAGTTGACTTCTGGCCTCTTCTTCCATCTTCATTCTTACCCCACCCTTGGCTTACCACATGGGTCTCCTTGCACGTGCTTGAACACATCCTGCTCACTCCCACTCCAGGGCCTCTGC
Source organism: Homo sapiens (assembly GCF_000001405.40). Lineage (NCBI taxonomy): Eukaryota > Metazoa > Chordata > Mammalia > Primates > Hominidae > Homo > Homo sapiens. The sequence continues at coordinate 44,514,998 of NC_000011.10, read as the reverse complement.
ACTCAATGTTATCTCTCCCTGGAGCACTCATGCCCCTCCACCTTTTATCCTCATGGCTCATTCCCTCACTTCACTCTGGTCTCTGGCTAAATGATACCTTCTAAGAGAGGCCTCCTTGGTCTACCCCATCTGAATTTTTTTTTTTTTTTTGGAGAAAGGGTCTCACTCTGTTGCCCAGGCTAAAATGCAGTAGCATGATCTCTGCTCACTGCAGCCTCCACCTCCCCAGCTCAAGCGATCTTCCCATCTCAGCCTCCTGAGTAGCTGGGACTACAGGTGTGCACTACCACACCCTGCTAATTTTTGTATTTTTTTTTGTACAGATGGGGTTTTGCCATGTTGCCCAGGCTGGTCTTGAACTCCTAGGCTCAAGTTCTCTGCCTACCTGAGTCTCCCAAAGTGCTGGGATTACAGATGTGAGCCACTGTGCCTGGCCTGTAAAATTGTTTTCAGAGACGGGGGCTCACCATGTCATCCAGGCTGGCCTCAAACTCCTGGGCTCCAGCGATCCTCCTGCCTCAGCCTCCTGGGTACCTGGTATTACAGGCATGCCACACTGGGCCTGGCCTCTGGTTTCTTCTTTAATAGCACTTGTCACATTTGACATATTATACATGTGTTTGTTCATTTAGGATATTGTCTCACTTTCACCAAAATGTAAGCTTCATAAGGCAGGAATGTACGTCTGTTTGTTCCCTACTAACTTTATATATACTGTCCCTAGTAGACCTTTTATGAATATTTGTTCAATGAATAAATGAATGAATGAATGAGTGAGTTGTAGATCAGAAAAGGCTTTCCTGAAGAACAGAGATGTGGTTCTGCTCTGGAAGGCAACAATTCAGTCTTGGTGGGCTTTCCTATAATGCAGTCTCTTCTGTGCCTAGCTGTAATTAATGAAGTCTTCAATTACCTGTTTATAAGACATCTGCCTTTCCCACCAGCTCTGTCTGTACCATTCACTGGTGCCCCCTCAGAGCTTTTATAGACCCTACCTGAGGGCCTATAAAAGTACCTGGCACCTAGTAGGTGCTCATTAAACTTGCATTGAATGAATGAAAAACGTTTTTGCAACTTATTGAGCAAAGGGAGAGAGTTGTGCAAGATGAAATGGGAGAGGAAGGCATGGGCCAGGCCCCCGGTAGGGAGTTTGGATTTTGTTCCCATTGTGATGGAGAGCTATTGAAGAGTTTAACGTGATTGGGTTTATTTTTTTATTTTATTTTACTATTATTATTTTTTGAGGCGGAGTCTTGCTCTGTCACCCAGGCTGGAGTGCAGTGGCGTGATCTCGGCTCACTGCAAGCTCCGCCTCCCGGGTTCACGCCATTCTCCTGCCTCAGCCTCCCAAGTAGCTGGGACTACAGGCACCCGCCACAACACCTGGCTAATTTTTTTTTATTTTTAGTAGAGACGGGGTTTCACCGTGTTAGCCAGGATGGTCTCTTTATCTCCTGACCTCGTGATCTGCCTGCCTCGGCCTCCCAAAGTGCTGGGATTACAGGTGTGAGCCACCATGCCTGGTTGATTGGGTTTATTTTTTTAAAAATAACTCCCCTTAGGTGTGCCAGGGAAGAATAATAGGATTTTTAAAACTATGGAATTGAGGAAAATTAGGGACAATCTCATAGGATTATGGGAAAACCAATAACTTCAACTTCAGTTTCCCCATCCATCCTCCCTCCTCACTCTCCCCCAATGCCTGGAATCTCTCTCAGATCTCTTTTTGGTTAAAAAAATAATGAATAAATATGGGATGGGGGGGTGATAAAACGTGGTCTTCTGTGTTTAGCCCTCTGTGAGTTTCAGATCTGTTCCCTGCGTGTCTTTTCTGTTCCCGAGTGTGCAAGAAGAAAGTCCGGTCCTGATTTATGCTGCTGACAGAACATCTAATGAATTGAAGACATAAAAGCATAACAAAGCTCCCCCCGGGATAAATCCATTCTGGATTCAGGCTTTTGTGAGGGGCACGTGGCCGTGCTGACAGCCCAGTGTCTGTGATGGATGTGGCCCTGGACGCTGAGCTAGGGGGCATCGGAGGAGCTCGTTGGGGGTGGTATAGGGAGGAGTTTATGTAGACTTAGGAGGCTCTAAACATCCCCAACCTTGTAGCAAAAGGAGCTTAAGGCAAATCCAAAACGGAGATTCCAGCACGTGTGGGGCCTGCAGGGCCGCTTCCATCGAATGGAGAGCGATGCATGGGGATGGCGTGACAGATGGTGGACCAGAGTTAGGACCTGGGGACCTCAGTCCCAGCCCCAGCTTTCCCCCAAATGCAAACTTGGACAAGCCCCTAGCAGGCATCTATGTCCACTTGTAAAATAAGGTTTCAAACAGTTCAGGCACTGAAAATTTTAGTGCTTATAAGAGCCCAAGACAGATTTTGCCAAAAAGAGAAAGGTGAGCTGGGTAGGAGCTGCAGAAAAATGGAGAACCCTTGTCCTGTTTATAAGAAACATCCGCCACTCTGCTCCCACCAACGCGATTATTGTCAGAGCAGAATGTAGGCTGGGAAGGAAAGCAGGAGCAGCTCTTCTGCTTATAGAAGAGAAGTCAGAAAGTTGCATCCATTCCTATGTGGAATCTTTCCTTTAGAAAAAGCTGACAGCTAGTTAAAATAAAATCTTTAAATGATGCTAGCTGAATTCAGCCTTTGGGAAACCCATTTGAGACCTCTGAATTAGATGACCACTCAGAGTCCCATTTCATTTTAATTCAGTTAATTCAACAACTTAACTGAACTTAATTCAGTTAAGTTCTTCTTACTGAGAACTCAATATGTGCCAGGTACTGGGGATGAAGATGGGACAAGCACAGGGCTCAATATTACAACTATTTACTGGATAGAACCATGTGAATCAAGGCTCAGAGGACTTAGTGTCAATGGCACATTTGGAGAACTGTCCAGAGGCAGCCAATAGAGGACATGATTGGAGGTAGGCAGACAGTGGCAGATCTGAAGGGCCAGAAAGGCATGGTGGAGGATGGAGCCCTTGACCTCCTGGTCACTGGGACCTGCAGACACTTAGAAGCTGGGGGTGACAGGTCAGATTTCTATGTTAGAGAGGGTCCCCTCACAGCTGTGTGAACAATGGTTAAAGGAGCAAACTGTGGACATAGGGAGGGCCATGTAGTGGCCATTTTAATAATCCAGGAAGAGTTGGTGTGACCTTGAACTCAGGCAGAGACAGAGGGGGAAGGAAAAGATGGCATCTTTGAGGCACTAGTGGATTCCTCTCATCTTTTGCTGGGATATTTTCCTGCTGGTTGACATCAACTACACAGAGTTCCTTGTAGCAGGCGACACAAACCAATGTGGCTAATTTAAGGAGACAGGGGCTGGAGAAGCAGGCTTAGAGGCTACGCAGTGAGGAAGGATGCCTTTAATCCCTGGGCAGAATGGATCCATTGGAGATGCTACCACCATTGCTGAACAAACCTCGAAAGGGCACAGCCAGCTGTGCTGTACCTGGACTCGTAGGCTGGCTTTGGATGTTGAATTATCAAGAAAACGGGGAAAATGGGGATAATAACTCTGACTTCACTGGGGTTGTTTTGAAGATCAATGGCAATCATATTTGTAAGACATTAAACACAGTACCCAGTGCCTGGCACATAATTACCACTCAGGAGACAGAAGCTATCACCATTGTCTTCAGCATCTTCATTATCATTACGATTACCTGCTTATTATTGGTTTCAGCAAAAGCCAGTTAGACTTGCCCTAAGGGCCATACCCTTATACCATTCTCCTTGTGCACCCAACAAAACTTTGTACATTCTAGGGCTCTACACCCCAAAGTCTCATCCAATGTCTGGCATAAAATGCCTGTTGAATAACAGAATGGGTGGGTGGAGGGCTGTGTGGTACGAGAATGACAGACTTAGCAAGTTCAAGGTTTCAAATGTTTTCTCTTTGGTTGAAAGGCCAATCCCCTTTTCCATTTACCTTGACCATATTCAAGACAAAGGGGGAACAGACGTCCCCTTAGTCATACCAAGGATGCCCCACAGTTGGCGAGACACCTTCTGTGGCTAGTTCCATGTCTCCCACTAGGAAGGAGGGATTCCAGATGTCTTTGAGGTGCTGGATGTTCCGCTGAGGAGTGGTGGGTGTGCAGGAGAGATTGGGGTCTCTGCATGTCAGCTGGAATGTGAGTGGAGCAAAGGAGAGTGTCCAGGGTGTGGCCCTATTTTGGGGTACACACGTAGAAGGTGCTCGATGCTGGTGAGTTACACTCATGAGTGTAGAGGTTTTTCCAACCCAACATCATATCATGGAGGGTGAAAGAGACAGTCGGAACTCACCACATATTCCAAGGGCTCCTTCCACCTCCCAGACTCCCTTGTGGCTGGGTGGAGCCACGTGACTCCTTTGACCAGCAGAACGTGAATGGAAACTGTACTTCCAGGCAGAGGCGGTCAGAGCCAAAGTGCCTTCTTCGTCGTTCTCTCCCCTGCCTCAGGACGTGGAGGACGCGTGTTCCAGATGATGCAACAGATTTTATGTGAGGGAGAAATATGTCATTATTGTGCTAAGCCACCGAGATGTCAGGGTTCGTCAGTTATACACTGTACAGCCTAGCCCAGACTGACTAATAGTAACATTCACATCTAAATAGGTCTCCTACATTTTCCAGAGAGCATTTCATCAGTATGAGAGCTAATTGCAAGGACTCTCAAGATCTGCTAGTTCAACCACTCCTTTTTTACAGAGAGGGAAACTGAGGCAGGCCAAGATAGTGGAAGCAACATGTTCAGTGTCACTCAGTGCAATAGGGACCCAGGTGAGCCCACAGCTATGGTCCCCTGATCATGCCCACACTGATCAAATATAAGTTCCAATGAAAAATATCCTAGGCCGGGCATGGTGGCTCACACTTATAATCCCAGCACTTTGGGAGGCCAAGGCAGGTGGATCATTTGAGGTCAGGAGTTCGAGACCAGCCTGACCACCATGGTGAAACCCCATCCCTGCTAAAAACACACAAAAAATTAGCTGGGCGTGGTGGTGCACGCCTGTAATTTCAGCTACTTGGGAGGCTGAGGCAGGAGAATTGCTCGAACCTGGGAGGTGGAGGTTGCAGTGAGCCGAGATCCTGCCACTGCATTCCAGGCTGGGTGACAGAGTAAGACTCTGTCTCAAAAAAAAAATGTGTATATATACACACAGTATATATATATATATATATATATATATATATATATACACACACACACACACACACACTATATATATAGTATATATATAAAATACATATATATAACATATATACTATATATATAACATATTATATATATATATATATATATATATAATGTAACATATATACATAGTAAAAGTTTGAGATTTCCTCCACAAACGAGGCCTAAAAAGACATTTCGTTTGTGGGTTGGGCTTCTGGGCTCCTGATACCGCCTGCCTCTGTGCAGCTGTCTGTAACCACCCTGGCTTCCTTTAAATCCTGCTGAAAGCTTTCCTTCCTCCCCTCCCCACCAGCCCCTGATCACCCGTCTCTCTCTTGCCTTCTGGAATTCCGCCTGCTGGAGGTCTCAAGTGAGATTTAATCCTGTTACTAAAACCCAGAGATGCACTCTGCCACATGTAGCTGAGAACCCAGCACTTCATGAAACTCTAAGGCCTCTTTCAGAAGTGTAAGTCTTATCTTGCCATGAGTAGCCCATACAGATGCAGCACCACCATTCACATGAAGTTTCTCACCCCCCAGATGTTCAAAAGTCTCATTCTTCAGGATCAAGAGGCATCGGCTGGTGCAGGGCTGGGTGTGCAGCAAGGCACAGAGAAGTGAAATGTATTCATTGAACCAGCAAAGATTGGACACCCCTTTGTGCCGGGGACCAGGACCCGTTCCTGAACACAATACATTCCCTACCCCAGGGAGCTATGTTCTGACAGGAGAAGCCATTAAACAATTAGTTAATTGCAATGGTGACAAATGCTGTATGTGAGATGTACAGGGTGCTGTGGGAGCAAATGGCTGAGTCTAGGGTGGAAGTGGTAGGTCAGGGGAGGCTCTCTGAAATAGGACTTACTGGGGAGAAAGGAGGCAAGCAGAGCATTCCTGGCAGACAGAAGTGCATGTGCAAAGGTCCTGTGATAGGAGAGACCACGGAGTGTTTGATGACTTGAAAGAAGGCCAGCGTGGCCGGGTGCGGTGGCTCACGCTTGTAAACCCAGCACTTTGGGAGGCTGAGGCAGGTGAATCGCTTGAGGTCAGGAGTTCGAGACCAGCCTGGCCAACATGGCGAAACTGTCTCTATTAAAAATACAATAATTAGCCGGGCCTGGTGGCACACATCTGTAATCCCAGCTACTTGGGAGGCTGAGGCACAAGAATCTCTTGAACCCAGGAGGCGGAGGTTACAGTGAGCCGAGATCGCGCCAGCGGACTCCAGCCTGGGCGACAGAGGGAGACTCTGTCTCAAAAAAAAAAAAAAAAAGAAAAGAAAAGAAAAAGAAAAAAGAAAGAAGGAAAGGAAGAGGGCCAATGTGGCGGAAGGGAGAGGAGAGACAAAAAGCAGGGGTTGGAGAACTGGAGACAGTGCACAAGAGACAAAGCAGGGCCTGGTCATTGCAGGACCACATCATGGATTTAGGACTTTATTATTGTTATTCTGAAAGGCACTGAACAACTTCTGACAGAGCCAGTGGCCTTCAGACTGGTGGCTGCTCTGTGCAGAGTTGATGTGAGGAAGCAGGAAGACCAATCTGTGGGCTATGGCAGAGGACCAGGGAACAGATGGGCTTTCCATGAGGGCAGTGGCAGGAGAGATAAAGAGAACAGACGGGATATATTTGGGGGGTTGAATGGGCAGGCCTTGGTAATATATTGGATGTGGTTCTTGCGGGGAATGTAGAGAGTCATCAAATTCCTCTCTTGGGCAACTGACCAGACAGTGTCACTAATTCCTGAGATCAGGAAGATTTGGTGTTGGAGGGTAAATGATGAGTCTGTTGTTGGATGTGGGTGTGAGTGGTGGATGAGGCACGGGAGGCTCTGCATGAGAACTCTCTGCCTTGTAGGGAGCTGGCAGAGTTGCCAGTTGTCTACCCCATGCCTATTCTCCTTTTCCTCCTGAGTAATATAACCCCTGATTCTTAGCTGGGCATGTAACCAACTGGAATAAAGAATATGCTTTCCAGCATTCCTGGTAATACGATGTAAGCAGAAATGGTGTGTTCAAATACTGGGCAGTGCCCTTAAAGGGAGAAAATCTGGCTTCTTTTTCTCCTTCCTCCTTCTGGATAATTGGAAAGCGGACTTGATGTCTGGAGCTCAAGCAGCCATTTTGGGCCATGAGGAATGAACCTCATGCTTTGGCTGTGGAATAGCAACATAGAAGCAGCTGGGGATGTGACAGTCTGGAATGTCATACCAGCCCCAAACTACATACCTCTGTACTTTTTGGACATGCACCTGAACTGGTCCTAATTAATTCAAAGAAATCTGACCCCACCTATCAGACCGCCCTCCCCTCCTGCTCCTCTCTCTCTCTGTCTCACACACTTGCAGGCTATAAGGGCTTTTCTTTCTCCGAATCTCCAAACTTATTCCCACCTGGGGATTTTGCACTCACTGCTCCTTCTGCCAGGAATGCTCTTCCTCTACATCATCCCATTTGTTTCAGCTCAAAGTTCCCCTTCAGAGAAGGTGCCCCTGACCACCTTCCTAAGGAAGACTCCTCCTCTAAGCGTCCCTCCATCGTATCATCCTCTTTCCTTTGTTGCACAGCATTGCTCACAGTCTGTGGTTATTTTGCCCTTTTCTGTGTTTTATTGGGATTTGTCTGCCTCTCCCTGCTGGAATGAATGCTTTACAAGACCCTGCTCTTCACTCACCCTACATCGCCCAGGACCACAACAGAAACCAGCATGCACTACTGGTTTTCTAGATAATTATTGACTAATTAACAAAAGAAGCTAGAGCAAGTTCCTTGTTTTGCCAAGACTATTGAGGCTAGAAAAACAAACTGACTTGTCCAAGATTATCATTTGAGTCAAGGACAGTGCTGGGGTGAAGATCCAGGTGTCCCAGCATTAGCCCAGGATGTGGCCACCTCCCTGTCTTTCAGCCAGACCTTTGGCAGAGCCACCAGCAGGTCCTCCTCTCTCTCTGCCTCATGGGGCAGAAATCTGCATCCATGACCTTCCTCTAAACTGGCTGGGCTTGTCTGGCTCCTGTGACCCAGAACCCAGCCCTGAAAGGCTGATTTAGGCTACTTGGATGTCTCACTCCTTCAGCTGGCCCAGCATTGCCTTGAGTGGCCCGTGTAGAAAGAAGGCAGGGAGAAAGGAGGCCCTGCTGGGGACCGGCTGGGGCCACATCTGGAATTAAGAGCCAAAAATGCAGCTTGGTGCTGATAAGGCTTTATTGAAAGGACATGAAAGTCCCGATGGCAGTAACTCTCCATGCTCCAGTTCACACTGCTTTACGAGGTGTGACTCACTCTGGTACCTTCGAGACGGCCTCTCTCCCACTCCATCCACCCTGCCTCTTCCCTGCTTTCCTGCTCCTAGCCCACCTTGGGCCTCCACACCCACCCTTGGCTTGGGGGGTGGGTGGAAGCAACTGCCCCCGCCCCAGAAAAGACCAAGGAGGCCTGGGGGTCCAGGCCCCTGTCCCAGGCTGCTTGCTCCCACTTTGCCCCATGGAAATTGAAACTTGGGAGCTGCCTGGCCCAAAACTGGTAAAAAAAAAAAAAAAAAAAAAAGATTCAGAGTGGCCCCTGCTCTGGGCTGGAGTTAGAAGTCCAAGGAAGAGAAAGTGATTGTGGAGTATATTAGTCAATTCTCACACTGCTATAAAAAAAAACTGAAACTGGGTCATTTATAAAGAAAAGAGGCTCATGGTTCAGCAGGCTATACAGAAAACATGATGGTGGCATCTGCTCAGCTTCTGAGGAGGCCTTAGGACACTTACAATCATGGCTGAAGGCAAAGGGGGAGTGAGCACTTCACAAGGCCGGAGCAGGAGGAAGTGTGGAAGGAAGTGCTAGACACTTTCAAACAACCATATCTCACGATCTCAATGACAGCAGTAAGGAAGGATGGTGTTAAACCATGAGAAACCACTCTTGTGATCCAATCACCTCCCACCACGCCACACCTCCACCATTGGGGATTACATTTCAACATGAGATTTGGGTGGGGACACAGATCCAAACCGTAGTAGGGGACCAGGAGAGCAACAGCAATGTGATAAAATGGGTGGGGTGGGAGACAGCAGAAGAGAGGCCAGGAGGCAAAGGGAAAGTGCTGTGCTGAGGAAACAGATAGCACTAGACTCATTGCTGCTGTAACACGCTTAGTCACCAAAAACAATAACAATGTATCATCTTATGGTTTTGGAGGGCAGAAGTCCAAAATGGGTCTGGCTGGGCTAAAATCAAAGTGTCTGCAGGGCTACATTCCTCCTGAAGGCTCCAGGGGAGAATCTACTCCTTTGTCTTTTGCATCTTCTGGAAGATACCCACGTTCTGTGGCTCCGGCTCCTTCCTCCATCTCCAAAGGTGGCGTGGCATCTTCAAATCTCTCTCCAGCTCTGACACCGACTCTCACTGCCCTCTTTCACTTGTAAGGACCACCCAGATAATCCAGGATAATCTCCCCAACTCAAGGTCAGCTGATTAACAACCCCAGTTCCTTCTATAATCTTGCTATGGATTGAATGTTTGTGTCCCTCCAAATTCATGGGTTGGAGCACGAAGCTCCAATGCAATGGTATTAGGAAATGGGGCCTTCGGGAGGTGATTAGGTCATGAGGGTGGGGCCCCCATGATGGGATTAGTGTCATTATAAGAGGAAAAGGGCTAAGTAAGCCCTCTCTCTGGCCTCAGCCATGTGAGGACTTGGTGAAGAGGCCTGTCAACAAGCCAGGAATCGAGCCCTAACCAGACCTCTACCCTCCTGGCCCCTTGACCGTGGACTTCCCAGCCTCCAGAACCTTGAGAAATAAATGCCTGTTGTTTAAGCCACCCAGTCTAGGGCATTTTGTTACAGCAGCTGAAGCAGACCAGGACAAACCTTAATTCTCCCTTGTCATGGAACATAGCATATCACAGATTCTGGGGACTAGGGCTTGGGGATATATGGAGGTGGTATTATTCTGCCTTTCACACAGGGTCACAGAGAGATCCTCTTGGGCCTCAGAGTCTCCATGTGGAGGGTGTGTGTGCTGTATGTGAAGGGTGTGTGTACAGAGGGTGTGTGTGTGTCTGTAGAATGTGTGTGTGAAGAGTATACGGAGGGTGTGTGTGTGTAGAGTGTATGGTGTGTGTAGGGGAGTGTGTATGGAGGGTGTGTGTGTGTGTAGAATGTGTGTGAAGAGTATATGCAGGGTGTATGAGGTGTATGTGTAGGGTGTGTGTACAGAGGGTGTGTGTGTGTGGAGGGTGTGGAGTGTGTGTGTATGTAGAATGTGTGTGTGCATGGAAAGTGTGTGTGGCGTGTGTGTGGAGAATGTGTGTGTGTGAAGAGTGTATGGAGGGTGTGTGTGTGTAGAGTGTATGGAGGGTGTGTGGTGCTTGTGGAGACAGTGTGTGTGTGTGTGGAGAGAGTATGGAGAGTGTGTAGTGTGTGTGTGTAGAGTGTATGGAGAGTGTGGTTTGGTGTGTGTGTGGTGTGTGTGTAGTGTATGGAGGGTGTGCGGTGAGTATGTGGAGACAGGGCGTGTGTATGGAGAGCATATGAAGAGTGTGGGGTGGTGTGTGTGTCGGGGGTGGAGAGTGTATGGAGGGTATATGTGCGTGTGTGGTGTGTGTGTGTAGGAAGAAAGGTAGGGGTGCACAGAACTGCACATCCTAGCAGGAAGCACTAGTGTGAGGCAGAATCCTAAGGCGGGTAACCCTTTGCAGGTGATAAACTCAGATGTGTAAGTCAATGTGACCTCTTTCTTTTTTCGGGATGAGCTGATTTCTCCCTGGACCCTCCCTGTGCTGATGCTGTATTGCGCGGCCACACCCACTGCCATGAGTTTCTCAGGATTTTACTGGGCCCAAGTGGGAGGCAGGGCTTCCTCGGGTCTGGGCAGCTGCCATCCTTTCATCCTCCAATGACGGTGATGATGGTGATGGCTGTTCTCAGCCGCCAGACCCTCAGGTTGGGACCGTGGGAGCAGCTAGGCCTCCTCCAGGCTCCTCACAGCTTGGGATTCTCCTTACCTCCTGGCCGGGTCCTGCTTTGGGCCACCACCTTCCTGTCCTTAGCGGTGGTGTGGTTTCCCTGGGCTCCGGGGGTTCTCCCACCACACCCTGGGGAGACTGTGGGGACCCCACACTCCACGACTTTTCTCCAGGCTCTGCGCGTTTGAGGATGTGGGCACAGCCCAATGCCATCCCCCACTCCCCCACCCCCCCATGCAGCCAGTGTGCACAAACACACGCAGGCTTGCTGGGCTTTCCCTGGGGAGGGACAGAAACGTCCCTCTGCTCACCCACCTCCTAGTGTAAGGGGCTATGATTCCCATCTTCTGCCTCCAGATTCGGCCCAGGTGCCAGGCAGAGTCCCCATTCTGAGACAGTCTCCTGCTACCCCTTCCAGCTTTGCCCTTCCAAGCTCATGAAGAAATCCTCTTCCCAAATCGTTCAGCTTTTCCCCTAAGTGGAAGAGAATTAGAGCTGGATTGTGGACTCTGTTCTTTCTCAGTTGCTTGTGATATACATCGTCCCTGGGAACAATGGTGAAAGGCTCCTTGAAGTTAAAGACGCATTATTTGCAGGTGAGAGGTGGGGAGTGTCAAAGGCTTAAGAAGTTGTAGAAAAACATGTTAATAAAGAGGTCACATCTTGGCCTGCCACGCTCCCAGTGTGGCTGATGGCATGGGCTCTGCAATCCATAGATCTGGCTGAAATCTCCAGCTTGGTCACTGATTGGCCAAGGACTCACTATCACCAAAGCTCAGTTTCTCTTCCTGAAAAATGGGTAAGGGAACCCCTCCTCCTATGAACCCTCAGAGGGTTGTTTCAGCATTAAATGAGAGTAGACGGATAAAAATCTTAGCCCTGAGCCTGGCCCCCTAAAGAGGCTGGACACTGGTCAGAAGTTGTTGTTTGGAGGTGACTGTATTTGGGGACTTCCCATTAATAATATGCAACCTACACTAGGACTGTTTCAAAGCAATTTTTTGCTCCAATCATATTGATCTTATGATTTTGTTTATTAACCTCCTTTTTTTTTTTAAACCTCAGAGCTGGTATAAAGTTGAAAAAACTTTGGAACGTGTGTTCCACAGGATCATCTCCATGCTGGCAAAATTCCAGAGGCTACCCCAGCTGTTTCTCCCTCTCCCCAAGAGTAGCGGCCATTGCCTTTGGGGAGAGCCTGGAGATTTCTCTTGGGTGGCTTTGGAATTTCTGTCCTGTTGAAGCCAAAGAACAGAGGACACACAATGTGTTCAATGTGCACGTTATCTACACGCGTGTGCGGGTGGGGTGCTTTCCACCTCAGTGTATCTAGATGCACTTTGTCTTTTGGATCATCTCCACGGAATTACATTGTACAGATGCACCCAAAGTCTCATAATCTGCCCATTTTACAGTTGTGGATAGTCAGTGGCCCAGCTTCTCAGAACCATCATAGTAGCACAGTGACCACATGTGTGAATTCTGGAGTCAGACAGATTCAGTTTCAAATCCCAGTTCTGCCATTTCTCATACTGGATAATCTTAGGCAAGTTGCTTCATCTACCCCAGCCTGAGTTTTCCCCTCTAACAAATGAAAACACTAACAGCATCTATTGAGACATCACCTACCTCACACTGATGTTGAGAGAATTAAATGAAGTCATATGTTGATCCATTTTACAGATGGGCAAGCCAAAGCCTGCATCACCATACCAGAGACTTATCTGAGGTTACACAAGTCCCTACAGAAGAACTGGGGTGAGAGTCTGGTTCTGCACTTTAAAACTTCAAATCTCTGGTGAGCAGCTCTCTCCCCTCAGAGGCTGTGAGCTGGGCACAGGCTGGTCAGCCTCCATCAGGGTCCTTTTCTGCCTTCCCTTCTCTATCCTCTTCCTCCTCATCAGTGTTTCCTTGGCTTTTTTTTTTTTTTTTTTTTGACAGAGTGTCTCACTCTGTCGCCCAGGCTGGAGCGCAGTGGCACCGTATTGGCTCAAGTGTCTCACTCTGTCGCCCAGGCTGGAGCGCAGTGGCACCGTATTGGCTCATTGCAACCTTCATCTCCTGGGTTCAAGCAATTCTCCTGCCTCAGCCTCCCAAGTAATCAGGATTACAGGTGGCCACCACCACACCCAGCTAATTTTTTTTTATATTTTTAATAGAAACAGGGTTTCACCATGTTGACCAGACTAGTCTTGAACTCCCGACCTCACGTGATCCACCCTTCTCGGCCTCCCAAAGTACTAGGATTACAGGTGTGAGTCACCGCTCCCGGCCCCTTCCTTGGCTCTTTAGACAAGGTGATTGTACAAAGACTTGGAAGAGAGTGAGGGCACAGTATTTGCAAAGTCCCTTAGAAGGGTGGGGCATGCTCAAGATGGACATGAAGGCTGGGGTAGGCAGAGGGCAGAGGGCTAGGGAGAAAGAGGAAGAAAGGAAGGAGTGAGGTCTCCCAGGGCCTGGCTTACCTCCCAAGGCCATGGTAAGCTTGCACACAATTCTAGGCAGGGGAATGACATGGTCCAAATTGGAATTGTTGAAGTATCAGTCTTCTGTGGAGTGCCATGTGAGTGGGGGTGAATGGGGAGGGAGGCAAGAGGAGGTGGAGAATCCAGTTCGGTGGTGCTGCACCTGCCCAGGGCTCCTGTGACAAAGCATCTCCAACTGGGAGGCTTAAACAATAGAAATTCATCATCCCACACTTAAAAAAATCTGATATCAAGGTGTCAGCAGGGGTGGTTCCTTCTGAGAGCTGGGAGGGAAAATTCATTTCCTATCTCTTACCTAGCTTCTGGTAGTTTGTTGACAATCTTTGGCATCACCATAATCTCCACCTTCATCTTTACAAGGCATTCTCCCACGTCCATGTCTGTGTCTAAACTTCCCCTTTAAATAGGAACATTAGGGGCCCATACTACTCCAGTATGACCTCACGTTAAGTAATCACACCAGCAGTGACCCTATTTCCAAAGAAGATCACATTCTGAGGTGGTGGGTGGGGGAGCCTGGATTTGAACATATACATTTAATTGGTGGACACAATTTGACCCATAACCAGAGGCTCCTGCCCTTAACCAGGCCAGACTGAATGTGACTTAGGTGCTATCAATGGAGTTGAGAAGGCTGGTTAGACTGAAGATTATTTTGAAAACAGAGCCGATAGGATTTGCTGATGGATTCAATGTGGGGAAGTAGTGATGATGGGGAGGGAAGACCTGTTCAGACTTCAGATTCTGGCCTGAAGAACCAGGGGGATGTTGGGTGGGGGACTCGGAAGAGGATTTGGGGGCAAGAAGTCAAGAGCAGGGTTTTGCAGCCAGATGGGGTGACACATATGGTGTTTGCCCCCGCTTACCTCGTGGGCCCACCTTGTCCTGGGCTGGAGGAAGCAGACCCTAATGAGAGGCAGCTGTGGCCAGGCGGCCGGCTCACATTTGCTCTGCTTTGAGCATCAAAGCCCCGCGAAGTGGTTGTCCAGCCCTGAAGGCCATGGCCATCCATCTTGGAGGCTGCACTGCCAAGAAACCAGGTTCCAGTGGCCAGTGCCTGTTCACTCCATGAGGAGCAACCCCCGCCGCCCCGCCTACTTCCCAGCACAATTTCACCGCTGCAACGTTGGAAGCTGCCCCTCCACCCAAAGCCCTCCCCGCACCCCATGCCTGGTTTAATCCTGCCTGAGGAGATCAGACACCTGAGAGAAGCAGATGAAAGCAGAAAGGGAGAGGTTCGTGGGGGCTTGGCTGATCACCCCCAAAGTGACCCCAAAAATGTCAAATTCTATTTCATAACACAAACGGGGAGCCATTTAGTAAGACGGTTCGAAGCCTAAGCTTGGTCATTATCCTACCTGGGTTAGAACTGATACCTGCCTCTTACAAACTCAAATGTAAAATAGAAGGGAAAATGATACCTGGCTTGTAAGATGATTGAGAGACCTAAATAAGATGGGACATATGTAAAAATTTTAGCACAGTGCTTGTCATATTGTAAGTTCTTGATAAGTTATTATTATTACTGTTGTTATTTTGGGGTAAGCATCTTATTTTAAATTGTATATTTAAAATGTTTACACTAACAGACCCACAAAGGCCCAAACCTTCTATATGGATCTTCTGCCTAATTTAGAAATGTAAGCAGTTGTCCGGGCGCGGTGGCTCACGCCTGTAATCCCAGCACTTTGGGAGGCCGAGGCGGGGCGATCAAGAGATCAGGAGATCGAGACCATCCTGGCTAACACGGTGAAACCCCGTCTGTACTGAAAAAAAATACAAAAAAAAATTAGCCGGGCGTGATGGCGGGCGCCTGTAGTCCCAGCTACTCCGGAGGCTGAGGCGGAAGAATGGCGTGAACACGGGAGGCGGAGCTTGCAGTGAGCCGAGATCGTGCCACTGCACTCCAGTCTGGACGACAGAGCGAGACTCCGTCTCAAAAGAAAAAAACAAAGAAGAAATGTAAGCAGTTATGGTATGGACGCAGCCTCAAAATTAGTAATAAAAATATTAATAACCAAGCCATGTGCTAGTATAGAAAAATCACCTACGGGAGTCCACAAGCATGTAATTCTAATCTCAGTTCTGCTGTTTACTAGCTGTGTGACCTTTGTAAAGTTACTTTACCTCTTTGAGGCTCTGAATCTGGCTCTAAAGGGCCAGATCCTTTACATACATCATCTTCAATACTCATGGGTATCACCCTGTCTCTGGCTCTCAGTAAATACACAGCAAATGGTAAGTATTATGGCAGATCAACGGTGTCAATGTCCCCCTCCTTGTTATCTACTCCTCTTTGTATTCTTGCCATCTGTTATGTAACGTTTTAGTGTCCTTCCTCTGCAACTCAGACATGTGGCCTGCTTTGACTAGTGGGATGTTAGCAGATGTGATACAAGCACGTGTTTTAAAAAGCTTCTGTACATTTCCCACTTCTCTCTGGAGCCTTTGTACCTGCCATGGGAATATGCCCGGGCTATCCTGTTGGAGGATGAGACTTGTGCAGCAAAGTTGAGTCAGCCAGTCATCTCAGACGAGGGCATCCTAGATCAGCCAAGAGTTGGCCGACTCCAGACATGGGCATAAGCCCAGCCAAGATCAGCAGAACTTTCCAGACCACCCACGGCTGACAGCAGATGCATGAGCCAGTCCAGCCAAGGTCAGTTGAGCCCAGCCCACACCAATGAAACTCCATAGACTCTTGAGCCAAATCTATGTTTATTGTTGTGTGCCTCTGAGTCTTTGTGGTTGTTACTCAGTATTATTGTGACAAGACATAATGGAGGCAGATATTAATATGCAACCTTCTGGGTGCTTGCTTAAGAAATATGGACTCTTCCAGATGGGCCCTAGGGGATCTGGGACCCAAAGACATTGACAGTTGTAGTGAGAGTTCACCCTTGTCTTAATAGCTATAAGATTATTTAACTGTGAACCCATAATTGTCAAAATCTAAAATGTAATAACTCAACTTTGTTGTTTTGTAAATAGCCAAGAATAAAAATGCCAGAAGCATTAGTGATGTTGGCCAGATGAAGGAATTGGGAAGGGAAAGGCAGGCAGATCACCTCTCTTTATATGTCTTCAAACTCAAAGCTTGCAGACTTCTTGGCCCCAGAATTATAAATTAGGCCCTTCTCCTGAGGACCTCCTCTGCTTATTACGCAAATCTGATTCTAGAGCCTCTGAATGTGATGGTTTTAGCCAAATCCTGGGTAATTTGTCATTGCTGAACATAAAATTTGCTTATGAGCCTGCAATCCTTGTAGCTCCCAGCAGCCTGCAATCCTTGTAGCTCCCAGCAGCCTACAATGGAGGGAATCTGTGCAAAGGTTGAGAGCGCAGCTTGGCATCAGGCACCCTGGACTTGAATCTCAGCTCCCCTGCTCTGCAGCTGTGCAACTTTAACCAAACTTGGAATCTCTCTGGGAGGTTTTTACAGTAGCTCCTCCTTGGTAAATAGAATAAACTTGGTACCTGTTTCTTAAGGTTCAGTGAGGTAAAGCAAAGAAGGCATCAGCACACAGGAAGTGCTTAATGATTTGTAGTTGTTATTAACGGTCCTTTGATCCTAGTTGCAACATTTAGCCTGTACACCTCACACTGTCCCAACAAGGGTCAGCCTTGAGACCTCAGGGTTATAATCGATGCAATGCCCCATTCTTCCATTTTTAGATTTCCCAAGCCTCTTCTCTGAGACTCAAGCCAGTTTTATTTCTTGGGCCAGACTCTCAAATTATCAGATAGCTAAGAATTATTGACAATCCTATCAGTTAAGGTAAAGTTAGTTGATGTTATGGATAGAGGAAATCCCAAGATCTTAGTGGCTAAACACAATAGAATTTTATTTCTCATTCACACGAAGTCTGAACGGCAGTGGAATACCAGGGAGATGTACTCAGGTCCTAGGCTGACGGAGGCTCTGCCGTCTTTACCCTCTAGCTTCAACAGTCCTCCTGGGCATCAGCATTCAGCTGGCAGCTAGGAGAAGAGAGAGGATGTGGAGGACCACAGCAGGTATCGAACAGGCCCAGCCTGGAAATGGCTTATTACTCTGCTCACATTCTACTGGACCCAGAACCAGTCACATGACCACACACAGAGGCAAGGGGGCCAGGAAACATAGTCCCTGGCTGGGCTGCTGTTTTCCAGCAACGACTCAGCTGGGGAGCATACACTTTTGGTGCACAGATGGCCACCTCTGCGTCAATGGCCAGCACTCCCTGAGCACCTACCATATGCCTGGCACCATGTGATGCCCTTTTCACCCATCATTCATGGATGCTCACGGTAACTCTATGAGGGAGACACCCTTCTCATCACCTGCATTTTCCAGCTGAGGAGTGAGACCCTGAGAGATGACCTCTAGCTGCAGGGCTGGCTCTCAGAAGCAGTGGTTTCCTCTGTGCTCTGCTAAGTGTTCTGGCAAGGTGGGTGGGGTCCATTTCTGAACTTGTCCTGGAAGGCTACCTATTGGTGCTGTCTGACCAACACCACCACTGTCTCGCCAGCCTCTGTATTGACCATGCTCCATCACCCCCTGTGCAGAGACCCTGGGCTGGTCTCCCTTCCCAGCATCACCACCCCTCAGCTCTTGCCAAGCCATTAGCCCTTCTACAGCTCTACATCAGGCATGCCTTTGCTCTGCCTTCTGTCATAGCCAAGATCAGGCTGACCAGCTCACTAGATTTCCAATGTTAATGTGTGAAAGAGCCACAGGGAGGGCTTTGTGCTCAGCTGCCATGATCGCTGTGGCTGCGGGGGGTTACCACCTGTGGCAGACAGAAAAGTGCCCCCTCCTCCAGAGATGGTCACATCTTAATCCCCTGGAACCTGAGAATATGTTGCCTTACATGGCAAAAGGAAATGTGAAGATGTGATTAAGTTAAGGATTTTGAGATAAGAGATTATCTGCGATTATCTGGATAGGCCCAGTGTAATCACAAGGATCCTTATGAGAGAAGCCAAGAAAGTCCAAGTCAGAGAGGAAATGTGACAATGGAAGAAATGGTTGGAGTGATGCACTTTGTGGTTTTGTTTTTTATTTTAGTCAACAAATATTTATTGTGTGTCTGAGCAGAGTGCTGAATTCAGTACCGTGATGGCAGGGAATGAATACAAAATTAAGAAAAGCAATAATAAAAATTATAAAATTAATGATACAATTTAGGTTTTCTTTTTTTTTTTTTTTTTTTTTCTGAGATGGAGTCTCACTCTGTCACCCAGGCTGGAGTGCAGTGGCTCAATCTCGGCTCACTGCAACCTCCGCCTCCCGGGTTCAAGTGATTCTCCTGCCTCAGCTTCCCCAGTAGCCGGGATTACAGGTGAACACCACCACACCTGGCTAATTTTTATACTTTTAGTAGAGATGGAGTTTTGCCATGTTGGCCACACTGGTCTCAAACTCCTGACCTCAAGTGATCCGCCCGCCTCAGCCTCCCAAAGTGCTGGTATTAGAGGCATGAGCCACTGCGCCCAGCCCAATTTAATTTTTCTAACAAGCCTTTCCTCTGGGCATTATAATCCCCATTTTATAAATGTGCAGAATGAGAAAAAGAAAAGTTAAATTACCTGCTTAACATCATATAACTACATGAATGTTCATGATTTGAACTCAGGTTTATTTGCAAGAAAACTGTTCTGCATTTATGTCAAATTTGAGAATAACTGGCCCTGCTGTCAAAAGGCTCATTATCTAGTGATAGATACCAAAAAGTATATGATTAGCAAAAGGACTAGGCAGATTTTGGTGAATACATATGGGTTTAAACAAAATGGTAGCCAAAACACAAAATACATCGAGAATAGCAGAAGAGGAGAGGACAGTAGCTGGAGATGAGATTTTATGAAGTTATATGAAGAAATCTTATGAAGTTCCTGACTTGCCATGCCAAGGTATTTTATTTTGTGTGTTTTCTTCAAAATGTTTTATGTGTGATTATTTTCTTTTTGAGTTGGAGTGATCCACTTTGAAGATGAAGGAAGGGAGTTGCACCTCCTTTCTCTAAAGTGAGTCCCTTGGTCCTATGCAATGTTATGCAGGCTCCTATGTGGATGGATGAACACACTGTAGACCTTGGGTGGTATTGGCTGAAGCCCTGTGGGCAGAAAGGGTAAACTCATACCTCGAATATGTGTCAATTCCAGTGGAGATAAAAGTCTGTTCATTCCGGGGTGGAAGGAAGCCAGTGTCATCACTTGCCACTGAGTAGCTATTTGGGCTCCTTGAGGGAAGAGGCCATATCAAGGGCTTAGCATGGATCACATTGCTGGCAAGTTGGATATTTAGCAATAGCTAGATCAGTCTTGATGATGGGATCTCTCCTATGTAAGGCCTCCATCTCTGCCACTGTGGCCACTCCATTCAGATGCTAATTATGCAGGCCCTTGAGTGACTGATAACGGGTTGGCTGACATCATCTGCCTGAGTTATTCTGTCTGCATCATTGTCTAGTGCCTCTTCTGAGGGAGATGCTCTCTGATGGTCACTGGGTCAACAGGAAGATTTTCAGGCTTTATACCCATTCTTTTAAATCCATCCACGTGTTTCCTCCCCAAGAACTTCTTGCTCCTAATCTTCCAAATGTTCTCCTTCTAGGCTCCTAGACAACCAGTCAAGCCACTTGCCACTGCCCATGAGTCCATATACATTCTAACTTTGGGCCACTTCTCTTTCTGCACTAGATGGATGATCAGGTCAGTGCTCACAGCTCTGCCCCTGGGAGAATCTCCCTCACCACTGTTTTTCAGTACTAGCCCTGAGTGGGGTCATATTCAGTAATGGGCCATTTGTAGCTTGCACTCACAAGTCAAGCTAACCCATGGGTGAATTTTTTTGCTCCTCTGTCAGTTGGGTACAAGGGACCCTCCATATAGACATAGATGAGAGCCAAAGGAAGATGCCAGTGAAACAGTGGCCAATGATGTGGGGAGCTGTGTGATTTGTTTATGCAGTTTATTTCTGCTTTCTGGCCATACTGGGCCCACCCAATCTGTTGGCTCTGCAATAGTGACTGATCTCAGCTAATGATGAGCAGTTCTGGCACATGATGTCCCATAGTCAAGTACCCCATCTCTATCAGGGCACAGTACCATTCCAGGAGTTATTTTTGAAATGTGTATAATTTTCCACTGCAGATGGTATGAGCTTGCTCCAGAACTTCAGAGGTCTACATTGAGATTCTCCTTTTGAAGTTTACCATAACATCTACACAGCATTTTTTTCCCACCATGGAGAGCTCCAATACCATAGGGTCTATTGGGTTGTATGGCCCAAGCAGCAGGGCTTCTTGCATTATGGCCTGGATCTGCTGTACACTGCTTTCCTGCTGGCTCCCACTCAAAGCTGGCAGCTTTTCATTTCACCTGACATATAAATTGGAATGTACATGAAATAGTCTGCCTCTAGCGCCTGAAGAGGCCTACTAGTCATTGTACTTCAGTCTTAGTGGTGAGAAGTTGAGAGGCAATAATCTGTCTTTTACATTAGAAGAAATATCCTGGATGCCCTAAACCAGGACCAGACTAGACCCTAAAACACCACTAATGTGGCACCTGAATTTCCTAGGATTATCTTCCACCCTCTGGAGCATATGTTGATCCAAGGCTTCTGATGTATTTGCTACTTTTTGCTCCTCTGGCCTGATTAACATGATGTCACCAACACAGTAGACTGATCCAGTGTTCTACAGGATGTCCAGATGGCCCACTGTCTTCAGACTATATTATGACAGAAGGTGGAAGAATTAACATAGATGTGGAGGCAAGACAGTAAAGGTACACTGTTGCTCCTTCCAAGTAAATGTAAACTGTTCCTGACAGCTACACATTCACCAGGGCTAGGGAAATTCTTATCATGTACACCTGCCATAGTGTTGCAGGTGCCTTTCTCATGGAGTCCCAGCCTCTTCTTTAGCCAGTGGGTTATAGGTCTGAAAAACTGGCTCAGGGTCAGAAATTGGTCAAGAAAACATGACTTTTTATTGGGATGGCTGCTCTCAGACTCCTAATCATTCATTCTTAATTTCCATTAATTTTACAGTCTAATAAATACTTTGTTGTTTGCTCATCTGTCTGGCTTCTAGGGCCACCATTTCCTCTTAACCAATTCTGGTTAGCTATATGCTCTTTCAGAGTGTAGTCCCTTTCCTCCCTTAGCAAGCCCATCACATCCTTGCCTGAGTTATGCTGTGAATTCACCCTAGATATTGGCCTGATGGCCAGGAGGAGAAATAGGGACTCATCTTAAGGAAGGCATATATTGCCTTGTACGGCAGAAGTCTGTGCATTGCCTCCAAGCAATGGCTACTTCTTCAGGCCAGAAACATCAAGGTAATCTGGGAACTGAAAATTTTCAAGTGTATCAATCCAGAGATCCCCATCTCATATCTCAGGGTCCTACCACTATGTAATCAAAGGTCTGACCTTTCACAGAAAATTCCTTTTCTGGAACTCTCTACTCTTAAGAGCTCTTCAACTTTTCTACTCTGTAAACATCATGGAGTTGAGCCTCAGCTTTTTATGTCTCCTGACCTCAGGAGATTAGAGTCTCTTTATGAGCTGCGAAAACAGGCCCTCTGGCTTTTACAATTAGTCTTTCCTTATCTGTGTCCAAAGCATCTATTACCCCTAGCAACAGTCATTCAATTCCACTGTCCTTAGAATGACTACTCCCCATACTGCTAAAGCCCTGATACATTGCCCTAGCCATCCTTTTCCTTCTACTCAGAAGCCATTTTAGTTTACCACTAACCAAAGATTAATAGCATTATGGCTACAGTACCCAGCAATGACCAGTGTTCCACATACCAACAATAATGGGACCTTCGTTGCCAGTCAAGTAGAGGCTAATCCAGCTCCAAAACCCCACTATAAAGTCTGCTTCTTGGGTCACTTGTGGCACTAAGTGTCATCTATCAGGTTTTCTGGGAATCAGACTCTGAGACAGAGATTGGCTTGCAGGAGGTTTATTGGAGGGGGCTGTCAACATCAGCATGAGCATCTTTGATGGGGTGGAGGAAGCATGCTGGGAGAAGCTGGGCTGCAATGCAGACTTGACAGAAGCCTCAGCCCAGCCCACAGGGAGCCCTGGAGTTGGAATAGCCCTAGAGCATTACCCCAAATTGGGGCAAGGCAGTTGGGTCTTTATACCCCTGCATCAACCAGTCATTGGATGGGTCCTATCCTAGGAAGTAGGCATGACCTTGGGCAACATGTTTTTTTTTCAGCCAAGGGCAATTTCTGGGGTGGTTGAGGCGGGGATGGTACCAGCTGTGAGCTCTCAGCTATCAACTCTCTTCTCAGCTGAAGGAGATCTGGGTGACACACCACAGCATCCACTATATCACACTTATGTAAGAGTCCAAAGAGAACAGAAATGTATTCTACACATCTTGCACCTTTAAAATGTTGATTGATATTGCCAAATTCTATCCAAAAAGCTTGAACCAATTTATACCTCTGCCAGAAATGTTTGAAAATGCCTACTTCCCATCCTCTTAGCCAACTTCAAGTATTCAATCTTTGAAAACTGTCAATACGATCAGGGAGAAATACATTTTATTGTTCTAATTTTCATTTCTTTTATTGTTAGAGAGGTTGATCATCTTTTCAAACGTTATTCAGGTTCTTCGGTCTTTTTTTCTCATTGATGTATAAGAACTCTTTCTATCTTATGGATAGTAAACTTATCCCTGTTATTATTATTATTATTTTTTTTTTACAATTGAAACATGTCTTTCAACCTTATTTGCAATGTATTTTGCCATAAAATCCATAAAACCTCAAACTGCCTATCTTTTCCATTATGGTTTCTGGGTTTCATTTGCCACTTTTAAAGGCTTTATCCTTATAAATTATTCTTTCATAGTTTTTTCTAATATTTTTATGGTTTAGTTTTTACATTTACATTTTATTCCATCTGAAATTTCTTTTGGCTGGAGAAGTATGAATCCATCTTTTTTTTTCCAAATGGCCAGTGAATTGCCCCACACCATTTATTAAACAATATATTTCTCCTCTCTGATGAGAAATTTCTCTTCTAGTGTACTAAGTAAACTCTTGTATTAATGTGGACTTTCTACTGTATTCTATTGACCTATCTATTTTTGATCCCATATTAAGTGATCTATATTATTCTATCTTTAAAATATGTTTCAATATCTGCTAGTACAACTTCTTTTGTTATTTTTCCCAGATATGTATTCTCTCCTATTTATTATTCCAGATAAAATTTAGAACCACACTGTCAAGTTCCAAAAATAACTACATTGGAATTTTGGTTGGAATTGGGTTAAATTTTTCAATGTGTTTTAGAAGAATTGATATTTGTATAATTTTGAGTCATCAAGATATATCTCTGTCTGCTCAAGTTTTCCTCTCTGTACTTCCTGGGAATAATATAACTTTTTAGTTTTTTTGAGACAGGGTCTTGCTCTGTTGCCCAGGCTGGAGTTTAGTGGCTTAGTCTCAGCTCACTGCAACCTCCACCTCCCGGGCTCAAGGAATCCTTCCATCTCAGCCTGCCAAATAGCTGGGACTACAAGCATGCACCACTATGCCCAGCTAATTTTTTTGTATTTTTTTGTAGACATGAGTTTCACCATGTTGCCCAAGCTAGCCTTAAACTCCTGAGCTCAAGCATTCTTCCCGCTTCAGCCTCCCAAAGTGCTGGGATTACAGGTGTGAGCCACCGTGCTCAGCCTAATTTTGTATATGAACCTGCACATTTCTTATCAAACTTATTCCAAGATATTTTATTTTGCTGTTGTTTTTGCTGCCTTTGTGAACAGACTCTTTATTTTCATCATAGTACTTCTTGTTGCACCTTAAGAATACTACTGATTTTTGTATATTTATTTTGTAACTAGAACTATACCAAACAGTCTTATTGTTTACAACAGTTTTTAATTATCTTAGTCTTTCCAGCCTTCAAGATCCATGTTTCAGAAAGATTATTCTCCAGGAAAGACTGGAATGGGAGAGGTTGAAGGCCCAGAGTGAGGCCTGAGCTCTGGCTGGCCTCTCCTGCCAAATATGTTGTCTTTCTTGTAATCTATGTTAGAACTCAAAACTTTCAGCTTAATCCACAAGAATCTAGAAGCATTGCCTTTTCAATTGGCAATGAGGTAAAATAAATCTTCAGTTCCTTGAGATGTAATATTATCATGATTTACTCTCTGATGCAGTATTACGGGAAATCAATCAGTGTGGATGAAGGATAGTAATAAAGGCAAACATTGAATCGGCACTAGCTGTGTGCTGGGCACTGTCCTGATTACTTCACAGACACTGTCTCGCTCAATACTCAAGACAATTTTCAAGGTAGGTACCACTATTATCCCCATTTTACAGGTGAAGAAACTAAGGCACAGAACAGTAGAGCGGCTTGCCCAAGGTCACGTTGCTTTTAGTTGGTAGAAACAAGATTTGAACCCGATGGCTCCAGAGTCCATTGCTCAGAACCACTATAATAAAATGGGTTAGCTCTGTAGAAACCTGCTCTTTATTCAAAGCTCCAGAATAGCTTCCGAATCCCAAGCCCAGATTAAATGCAGGATTTCTCTCCTCTTTCTTCATCTCCTTTGATTCGGCCACCCCTGGAGGCCAGGGACTCCCAGCTTTCCACGCAGCCGAAGAATATTGAACCCCCAGGTCAGAGCTCCAAGTACAGAGTGAGGAGATGAGTTACAGGGCAGCGAGCACATGCTGGATTGGTATGCCAAGGCCTTGGAGGACCTCTGGTTTTAAAATGCAACTTTTTGCTAGGTGGATCTCTCATTTCATTACATTGCAGTCAATGGTTGAATTTTCTCCCTCTTTTGAAAATGGTTTTTAGTTTTTGGCCCTGACCTCTTGCTCTCTGGCCTGTCAGCCACATGATAGGGGGTGGAGGCTCCTCTCCTGTGCCAGACTGTTCCTGAGCAGGGTTTCCAGGCCACTAAGGCAACAGGGCCCAACCATTCTCTCAGAAAAACCCTATAGCTCCCCTCAGAGGCCCTGGACACACTGGCTGGAAATCAGTTTAACTGGCCAGTAGACCTCATGCTCTGGGAAATCAAACATGGCTGCACAGGTGACATTTGGGGCATTTCTAAATACATTTTGTATTAACAGTAATAATATTCATTCATTCATTTAACAAAACTTTATCTGATCCTTATTATATGCTGGAAATACAATGATAAATAAGACAGGTTCTTGCCTTCCTGGAATTTACATGCTAGGGAACTAACAAACAAACAAACAGACAAATAGATAAGAATTTCAAGTTGTTAGAAATGCTATCAATAAAGATAAAATAAACGGATAGAAAGTGGGGGATAAGGAGGTGTGACTTAAGACAAGTGGTCAGGGGAATCCTCCCTAATGAGCGGAAATTAGAGTTATACCTAGATGTTAGGAAGGAGTCATGCTGGGAAGAGCTGAGGGCTGGGTGTTCTGGACAAAGGGTGTTCCCTTTTGCTCACCATGGTATCCCAGGTTTTAGCTCAGAGCTGGCACTGAGTAGGAACTTAGTAATTGACAAGTGAATGAATCATGGCTCTTGGCAACTTTGAGTGGCTTTGCCTCTTGTCTGTGAGCTCTCAGGGGGAGATGCCTGGCTTAGAGCCCCTCTGCCTAGTTCCACCTGGCTCTCCTCTCTGGGAGAGCTCTGCTGGCCTCATCCTGCCAGATCCTTCCTCCCAGGTCGTCTGCTTTCCAGGCCCAAAGGCTGCATCGAGGGCCAAGATGGCTGCCAGAGCCAGGAGGGAGGGAGGGAGGGAGCGGGGAGGACCTGTGTTGGCAGAAGAGAGTTGGAGGCCCTCTTGTGTGGTGCCACTGGGGCTGGTGCTGGGTCTCAGTGTGGCTGGCAGTCAGTGGGCCGCAGCCAGCTCAGCCCTCCTATCCAGAAACACCACCCACCTCCAGGCTCCAGACCCCTCTCCACCCCGCTGGGCTGGGGATGCAGTCTCCATTAGGGAAAATGCTGAGTTAGACAGAGGCTTCCCCTTTGCCCGGCCTCCAGCCTTGTCTCTGGGTCCCTTACAGAAACACTTCATTTTCAGGCACAAGCTGAGGCCGAGTGGGGAAAGAAGCTCCACAGGCCAAATATTTGTAAGCAGAGCTGTTTTCCCAAGCAAAGCAGAACCAGATGCCACTGCCCTCCAGTGGAGGCCGGGCCCTGGCACTGGGAGGCCAGTCTGGGGGGTGGTCAGGGGGAGGCTGGCCAAGGATTGCCATGTGGGGTCCCGCAGAGCCAGCTGCTTCTTAAGATGTTCTTACGCAGTGGTGATCAGAATGTCACAGCATCCAGTGGGCCGCTTTTCCAGGCAGTTATCACCTGCCAAAACCCTGAGGCTCAAGGTTTTACCTGGTAGGAAAAACTGACCTAAGGCCTAGGTCTCAAAGGATTCTATATTTATTGATAATAGAAAGTGTGCCCAGCACCAACCACTTCATCAAGGATGAAAAATGGAAAAACAGGAGTCCTCAGGAGGGTATTTTTTTGAGCTTGAACTAGAAGTCTATCCTCAGGAAGCAGATCTTTAGGGTCTTAGACCCTGGGGAAGCCCCGAGTGTGGATGGAGATGGGGACTGGCCTCAGATCCGAATCTGCTTACTCTGTGAAACCACAGTAGATCCAGCAGAAGGCAGGAAGATTCCTTTATTTATTTATTTATGAGACAGCATCTTGCTTTGTCACCCAGTGGTACAATCACAGTTCACTGCAGCCTCAATCTCCTGGGTTCAAACGATCCTCCCACCTCAGCCTCCTGAGCAGCTGGGGCTACAGGCATGAGCCACCACACCTGGCTAACTTAAAAAATTTTTTTCTTGTAGAGATAGGGGTCTCCCTATGTTGCCCAGACTGGTCTCAAACCCCTGAGCTCAAGGGATCCTCTTGTCTCGGCTTCTCAAAGTGCTGGGATTATAGGTGAGAGCTTCCGTGCCTGGCCCAAAAACTCCTTAGTGAAAATTTGGAGGGATGCGATCTCTCTCCAGGAAATCTCCAGAGGAATATTTTTCTATGTTACATACATATTGTGTAATAAAGGGTCTGCCTGGCCTTTGCCCCAGCCCCTGGGAAGTGACTTCTAAACCCTCGGAATTTCCCAAGTGATAGGAGGGTCTTTGTTCTTCATGGTGGGCCCCTCAGACCACATCTGATAGTTTATGCTAACAAGTGACTCACGGTGGTCCCCTGCAGGGTTTATGGTAAAAGGATAGTTCAGGACAGGGGCTGGCCACGCTGGAAAGACCAACCACATAATGAGAGGGTTGGGGGGCTTTGACCCACGTGTTATCAGCCCCAGCCTCTGGGGTGCAAGGTTCTTGTATCAGTTCAAACCTCCAGAGCAGGCCAACAGACAACACGAGGCTGTGTGGAGCAACATGCTGTTTTAATGAGCGTCTAAAATGGTGTCAGCCCCAAGCGAGGATGGGGCAAAGGTTTTATAGTCTCCTGTAACAGGAAGTGTCCTAGTCTGACGTAACTGCTACGTAGTACCCGGATGGCCTCTTTCTAGATCTTCAGGGGTACGTGTCTTCCGGCCACGGTAGGTGTCTTCCCGCCAGCTCTCTTCCTGCTTCTGCTATTTTGCTGGCGCACGCTTCTGGCACAAGTAGCCTTGCACCTTGGGACTGGGCCTGAGAAGGGAGGAGTTATTCATCTCCTTAAGCTTTCAGGCCCCCCACGGGAAAGGGAGAGGGACTGGGGATTGAGTTCAAGTGCACCTCCAGTGATTCAACCCAGCATGCCTCTGGGATGACACTTCAATAAAAACTCTGGACACCGAACTCTGCTGAGGTCCCCTGGTTGGCAATACTCTTTGAATACTGCCATCCATGTGTGCCAGGAGGGCGACGTGTCCCCGAGAACAATGGAAGCTTTTACTTGAAACCTTCCCAGACTTCATCATCAGTATCTCTTCCCATCTGTATCCTTTTGCTATAATAAAACTATCATTGTAATGATAGCACTTTACTGAGTTCTGTGAGTCTTTCTAGTAAATTATCAAACCTGGGGGAGCCCATGGGAATCTCTTGAGGGTGTAGCTAATTGGTCTGAGCAAAGGTAGCCCTAGGGAACCCCAAACTTGTCTGAAGTGAGGGCAGTTTTGTGGCAGACTGTGCCCTATAACTTGCAATGTTTAGCCCAACTGGGTCCATATGGATATAGATGTAGATCCACACACACATACTCATTGACATACACACATTTGCAAAGATTGGATTTCACTATAAATCCTGTTTTCTAAGATGCTCTTTTCACTTGACTCTTGTTGCTGGTGTCTTACCTAGGATCTGGCCTATTTCCAGGTGACTCCAGAAACCCAGCCAGTGTTCTAGGATTTGGCTTGTTTTCCCCATATTTGGGACAGGTGGGCAAGCCCACCATTAGCTTCTCACCATTACCTGGTTCCCAGTCCCATAGCTGGCCCTTGTCTCTGCTGGTCACTTTGAAGCACCTCTGAAGAAAGACCTGGTTGGTTTAGGAAGGCCAGGGGTGGGAGGGAGACCCGGGCCTACAGCAAGCCCTTTGGAGTCCGAGGTGTGGCCCAGGGCAGGGATCTGGAACAGACCAGGACACCAATATGAGCCAAAGCAGTAGCCCTACACAGGCTCTAGCCTACATGGATTTCTGGATTTGGGGCCAGGCCCAACCAGCCCTAGAGTCAAAGATCCAGCCTGAGGTCTCAGAATGGAGTTCAGCCGACTGAGGCTCCAGCCCTTCACTAGCTGATGGTCTACTGCAGCTGCTGGGGCAGCCCTAGCTCCCCATATGCCAGGCCCTCCTTCACTGCTTCTCTTTGGCCTTTGGAGCTTGAGTGGAGTGACGGGAAGGAAGGCAGACAGAGAGACAGGCAATGTCCACCAACCTTACTATCATATGCAGAGCCTGAAACTGAGCTTAGACATCTCTATGTCAGTGATTCCCCAACTCTAGTGCCTGTCAGAATCACCTGGGGAATCTATTCATAAAGCAGATTTCCAGGCAACCAGCCTCCAGAGAGGCTCAGCCATTAGGGCTGGAGTGGGGCCCAGGAACCTGCAATGGTGACATGTGCTTGCAGGTGTATCTGATAGAGTTGGGCCCAAGTTACTTTCTAGTCTACCCCCTTTGATTCTTGAGGCTCAGAGTGGGTAGGTGACTTTCCAATTTCACAGAGCTAATGGACATCAGAATTCAGGTGAAAACCTAACCCAAGGTAGGCTGGCGATGTTAGGGCTGGCTAGATGCAGGGCAGAGGACAATTTGAAGAGGCCCAAGAAGAACCTCACGGAGAAAGATGCCACCATGTTTGAAATCCCATTAGATGCACACTCCTCTGGGCCTTGAAAACTTTTGATTTCCCAGAGTCCCCTCTTAATATGTTAATTTTTCTGGGGTGGAAGCGTCCTATGTTATTGCAGTGGGCACATTACAACAACTGGCTTCATGTGCCTTCCTGCAGGGATGGGGCACTGTTCACATGCCAGGCATTAGGGGCTCTGGATGGGGCCAGGCTCTCTGGAAAGGGCTGCAGGTGCACCCTAGAAGCAGTCCTTACCTGCTTAACCATCTTAGAAGAAAACGTCCTGGCAGAGAAGCATGGTGTTTTAGAGTCAGCCTAGCCTGGGTTTGAGTCCAGGATCTGCCACTCCCAGTCCTGTGGCCTTCAGCAATCTAGTCACTCCATTGCTCTGTGTCCTCACTTATATCCTGGCAAAATAGATATAAACTAACACTGTCTCATTGGGCTGGTGCAAAACTCTAGAACAAGCTAAATCCTCAGATCTGTGCCCTGACCGCCATGATCTGCCTGAACTTGGGGAGGCAATGAAGAGACCCACAGTTACGTAAAGTCACCCTGCCCTCCCTCTTGGGGCTGCAATGAGTGGTGGCTCTGAGCAGACAGCTTTGTCTGCCAAGGTCCCCTGGCCACCAGGTTTCTCTCAGGCTTGGGTACCAGAAGACACCGAGACCTTGTCATCCAGCAGGGGGTGCACATTCTTCCCCATGGCTGGCATCTGGAAACTCATCCCTGCTCTTTCTTCCCCTCAGGAAACAACGACAAAGCCAGACTCCCTTCCTGGGGGACAGTGCTGCTTCCTCCCCACAGGAATGGCAGTGGGGAGAATTTTTCCCTCCCCTCCCCACATACTAACCACAACTGGGCTGCTCCTCCATTCCCTCCCTCCTCCTCAGGCTGGCGGAGCCTGGCAGGGTGGAGGTCCCTGGGAAAACTCCCCAGACTGAGCTGAAAAGCCGGCAGACATTGCCCTGGGGCCTTGGCAGAGGGCTGGGCTCAGGACACCTCCTCCTGGGCTCAGACTCTGGTTAGGATGTGCTGACGTGATGTCTGGCGGTTTGACACTGGCTTGGTGGGGGTGCACTTTGCAGGTGACATACCACTTTGTGGCCCTGGGTTTCCAGAGGCGAGGCCTGCTCCGCCAAGGGAAGGATGGCCAGACAGTTCAGCACCCAGGGATGAGGATGAAGGGGTGGGGATGGCAGAGATGGGGCTGAGGGATGGTGCTCCAGAAGTAGAGGAGCACCAAAGCCTCTAGGCCTGCCTCTGCCTGCAGAAAGCCACTGATGAATGTCTAGTCCTACAAGGGTCTCATCTGGGAATTGGAAGGCACCTTGGCCACCTGCTCCTGGCTTCTCACCCTACAACAGAGCAGCCTGTACAACCTCAAATAAATGCTCACAACCGTACCTCGGACATGTGCAGCTCTCTTTCCCAAGGGAGGGTACTCTTGCTCACATTTCTTACTTTAAAAAAATGTGTCTCCAAATGGTTACTAGGTGCGGGGAAGGGTAGTGAGGTTGTAGTGGGAGGTGGGGGTGGTTAATAAGTTAAAAAATAGTTAAAAAGAATGAATAAGACCTAGTATTTGATAGCACAACAGGGTGACTATAGATAATAATAATTTAATTGTACATCTAAAGTAACTAAAAACGCCGGACGCAGTGGCTCATGCCTGTAATCCAAGCATTTTGGGAGGCCAAGGCGGGCAGATCACTTGAGGTCAGTTCAAGACCAGCTTAGCCAACATAGTGAAACTCTGTCTTTACTAAAAATACCAAAAAAAAAAAAAAATTAGCCAGGCATGGTGGTGTGTGTCTGTAATCCCAGCTATTCGGGAGGCTGAGGCAGGAGAATGGCTTGAACCTGGGAGGTGGAGGTTGCAGTGAGCCGAGATCATGCTACTGCACTCCAACCTGGGTGACAGAGCAGGACTCCATCTCAAAAAAAAAAAAAAAAAAAGAAATAGGAAAGAAAAAGTAACTTATAAAAGAGTGTAATTGGATTGTTTGTAACACAAAGGATAAATGCTTGAGGGAATGGATACCCCATTCTCCATGATGTACTTATTTCACATTGCATCCCTGTATCAAAACATCTCATGTATCCCATAAATATATACACCTACTATGTACCAACAAAAGTAATCAAAAATTAAAAAGATATGAGTCTTCATTGTACAAAAGTTGAAATATAGATAAGAAAAAATAAAAAGAATTATCCCTAACTTACCATTTACAGAAAATCACTCTTGACATTGTATTGCATTTTCTCTCAAACTTTTATATGGCATAAAACAGGGCAATTCAAACTGTGGTCTGCAAACTGTACCAAACTATCAACTTGCAATAGATTGAAGGTTGTAAAGTCATCCCTCCGCCTCGCTAGTTTGAGGAGCACTAATATAGATATTATTTTAATAAAAATAGAATTGTACTCCACTCACAAAACCCTACATCCTGTTTTGGGACTGCTTCCTGCTCCATCTGCATGGTGGACCTCTCTTGCTATGACACGCTGTGTTATTTTATTTTATTTTATTTTATCTTTTATTTTATTTTATTTTATTTTATTTTATTTTATTTTATTTTTTGAGACAGAGTCCTGCCCTCTCACCCCGGAAGGAATGCAGTGGCACAATCTCAGCTCACTGCAACCTCTGCCTCCTGGGTTCAAGGGATTCTCCTGCCTGAGCCTCCTGAGTAGCTGGGATTACAGGCATGTGACACCACATCCTGGAATGGACAGAACTTCACCTGGCTAATTTTTGTATGTTTAGTAGAGATGGGGTTTCACTGTGTTGGCCAGTCTGGTCTCAAACTCCTGACCTCAAGTGATCTGCCCACCTCAGCCTCCTAAAGTTCTGGGATTACAGGCGTCAGCCACTGTAGCCAGGCTGACACATTGTGTTTAATGGCCACTCACTTCCATGGCATGATTGTTCCACAGTTTTGGTTTCCAGTCCTTAAGGTTGGAATGAACATGGTTCTCAACTTGCAGGATAATATACCGGATGAACATCCTTGTTCATTCTTTGTGTGCACTGGTGTCATTAATTCCTTCAGATAAAGTTTTAGAAATGGAATTGCTGGGGGCAAAGGATGCACACCATTTTATTTTACTTTATTATTATTTTAAATAGTGACAGGGCCTCATAGTGTTCCCCAGGGTGATCTTGAACTCTTGGCCTCAAGTGAGGCTCCTGTCTTGGCCTCCCAAACTACTGGGATTACAGGTATGAGGCTGTAATCATGCCTGGCCACACATCTTCAGATTTTAGACACCTATTGTCAAAATTGTGTAAAGAAAAGTGGACCCAGTTCATACCTTCACCAGTAAGTTATGAGAGCTCAGGTGTTTGAGGCGGGTTTCATTTAAAGGTCCATTGTATAAAACACCTCTTCCAATGAGAGACTTTCAGAGATTTGGAGACCATGGTCATGGGTACCCTTTACCAAGATCCTCACTGCCAGGTTCTTCAGCCACCCCTCAACAATAGCAGGGCCAGAAGGGGCTTAGAGTTTCCCTTAACCAAGAGTTCCCTATGTGGGCTCCATAAAACGCTGTTCTGCAGGACGTTAATTGGTACTTACTAGACAAAAGAATTTATGATGAAATAATCTTGGGGATCAGTGACTTAAACAAATCCAAGGAGATGTTCTCTGCTACAGGGCTTCTCAGAGCATTTATATGCTAAGGATCCTTATTTATCTCCAAGAAGGGGCTGGAGTGAGCAAAGTTTCCCAAACACATCTGAGCATGGAATCTTTCAGTGAAGTGCAGCTCAAAGAACCAATGGTCTGTGAAACACCCTTCCCTAGCAGAGTGGTTTTTAAACTTTTAAAAAGCCATAGAACTCGTTCTTCAGATTATTTTCTGCAAGAAATCTCAATTTATGTGAAGCGGACACAAAACAGGGATGAAACAGACCAAAGCACGGATGGGACAACACAGATAATGACAGTGATAATTCTCTGGCCTTCCCAGTGTGCCCCCTAAGAAGGTATCTCAGAACTCCTAGGGGCCTATGTGGCACCATTTGAAGAACACAGTTTCCTCTGCCTTATCTTTTTTCCCCCCTGCAAGAACAGGATGCAGATGAGTCCCAGGCACTCCCAGGATTCCCTGGAGCCTCACAGCTGGAAGGGACCTCTCTCCTGTTGCAAAATTTGCTACTGTACAATAAACAAGGGGTGAGGAAGTGTTTCCCAGAATTATACGGGTAAACAGTCTTAACTTGGGCAGCCACCTATAGCCCATGATCACCAACAGAAAGGGTGTGGTCATCATCATGAGCACATGGGGTTTGAAATTGGGTTAAGTCCAAGCTCTACCACCAACACACTGAGTAAATCTGGGAAAGTGCTTAGGCAGACCGAGCCTCAGTTTCCCTATTGTAAAGTGGGTGTGGAGCAGAGAATGTGGCCCACTTAGGAGTACATGCATATTATGGAGTCAGTCACCATAGATTTGTGTCCCAGCTTGGACACTTACTAAGTGGGTACTCTCAGCCAAGTCACTTAGCCTCTCTGAATCTCACTTTCTCTTTCTATCAATGAGAGGATGGGCTGTTTAGGATATTTCTCAGACTGGATTCTACTACTTCAGAGCACTAGCTTATAGTTGGAGTCAGAAGGCACGAAGTTTCTAACAGCAGACAATCTTGAAGAACATGAGGTAATTACAGAACCTTGGGAGGCACCCCCCAGAGTTAGAGGATGGGAGAAGAAGAGTGATGGAGACAAAAGAATGGTCATGGAAGTAGGAAGCAGACCTAGCTGTAGCTTACAGTCATGTTCCAGAAGTGCATGGGTAGCAGGTTTAGTTTAACATGTAGGCTGCCATCTTTGTTTTGTGAAGAGAAGACTGACTGGACATGAGCTTCCCTAGAAAAGGGACTCTGTCTATTTTGTTTACTGCTGTGTCCCCCCATTCCTCAAGCAATGCCCTGCAGTAACTTTATGAAGTCCCCACTTGCTGCTTTTTCATAGAAGGGACTCAGGATCAGCCAACACTTCTTGTGCTGACACCTGTAACCTGGAACTTGAAGCCCATTTATTCCAGGAAGCAATGTTATCAATGATTGTTAATGCCCCAGGTTACTCCACATAATTTGCCCAACCCATAAATGAACTCTGGCGTTATTGGTACAATTCTTAAGTCCAAGGAACTTATAAGGCTGGAATAAAGAAGAAAAAGAGGTAAGAGAATGCCTTGAGGATTAGGGTTTCAGGACCATCTCAAGATCAAAAGTGAGGGACTACAGTATCTGATTTGGCCAGGAGGCTCATGTCTTCTTTTCCCTTGTTTCCAGGTATACAGCTGGGCTTCAAGTGGTTTGTGACTTGCTCCCCTAGGAGAACTCTGAGACCCGAATTCTTCTCCTGGAAGCCAGTCCCTATGACAGGTTCCCACTACATGCTGCCAGGCTCCTTGGCATTATAGCCACAGTTCTTTATCCTGCTTTCAGATCCCTTCCTGATCTGGTCTATCTTATAATTGTCCCAGCTCAGGTGATGAACCCATTACCACCAACTCCTAATCCCCAATACCCTGAACTCTAATGCTATCTTTGGGTTTTCTTCCTTATGGCACTCCACAGAGGACTGCCAGCTTGCCAAAGGCCCTCTCCCCATATGAACTGATTTCAGTTAGGTAGCTAGGAAGACAGGGAGAGCATGTGACTAATTCACACTAAGGTGTGAATGGCTGCTAGCATAATAACATCCCAAGAAGTATTTGCTTTTTGTAAAAGGGAACTTATTCACCCAAATGGGTGTCTGGCAGAATATCTGGGAATATAACAATGGAGTAATAAATTCCAGATTCCTTTTCCCTAAATGAGGCTGGTTTTCTTCTTCTTTTACTCCATGTCTTTGCTTTAAAAAGTCTAACATGATGCGACAAAATAGGAAGTTCTCAGCACCATCAATATGCTTTTCTTGTGAATGATGTTGACTCTGAATCTAATCGAGTATTTAGAGTTATCTTCTATTAATAGTTCACAGGAAATACAGGGATAGAGGAAAAATTTAAAGGACACCATGAGAAAGCAAATAGGCAAATATGTAATATAGGCCCTTCTATAGGGTAACTGTCATGGTTTCATCCACAAGTCAATTTGATTAGTTCACTCAGGCTGCTATAACAAAAAGGCCATAAATTGGGTGGCTTAGAAACAACTGAAATTTATTTCTCACTGTTCTGGAGGCTGGGAAGTCCAAGATCAAGGCCCTCACAGATTTGGTGTCTGGTGAGGGCCTGCTTCCTGGTTTGTAAACAGCTGTCTTTTTACTATGTCCTCGCATGGTGGAAGAGGCAAAGGAGTTCTTTCAAGCCTCTTTTAGAAGGGCACTGATTTTATAAGGGCACTAATCTCATTCACGTGGGCTCTGTCCTCGTGGCATAATCACCTCCTAAAAGGCCCCACCTCCTAATACCATCACATTGAAGGCTGTGATTTCAATATATGAATTTGGAGGAGGACCACAAACATTTAGAGAAAAAATGGATAGAGGACAGTTTAAGATGAAAAGATTTAAATAGACATAACAACCAACTGTAGTATGTTGACCTTGTTAGACTTAACAAACCAACTGTAAAAGGACATTTTTGAGACAACTAGGAAAATTTTACCATGAACTGAGTTTTTAATAATACTAAAAAATTATTGCTAATTTTGTAAGATGCAATAATAGTATTATGTTTATTTTAAACTATATATTTTAGAGATATATAGGAAAGTGTGTAGAAGTGAAATGACATAGAAATGCCCAGAATTTATTTTAAAATGGTTGGCAGTAGGAGGGAGAGAAGGAAAAAGAACAAGAAAAAAAGGACAGATGAGGCCAGAGTAGCAAAAGGTTGATAAATGTTGAATCTGAGTGATGGGTCCATGGGGTTCCATGATATTATTCATTCTACTTTGGTGTCTGTATTAGTCTGTTTTCACACTGCTGATAAAGACATACCCGAGACTGGGAAGAAAAAGAGGTTTAATTGGATTTATAGCCCCACATAGCTGGGGAGGCCTCAGAATCATGGTGGGAGGCGAAAGGCACTTCTTACATGGTGGTGGCAAGAGAAAAATGAGGAAGATGTAAAAGTGGAAACCCCTGATAAAACTATCAGGTCTCTTAAGACTTATTCAATACCGTGAGAACAGTATGGAAGAAACTGTCCCCATGATTCAAATTATCTCTTACTGGGTCCCTCCCACAACACGTGGGAATTCTGGGAGTACAATTCAAGATGAGATTTGGGTGGGGACACAGAGTCATACCCTATCATTCTACCTCGGCCCCTCCAAATCTCATGTCCTCGCATTTCAAAACTAATCACACCTTCCCAACAGTCCCCCAAAGTCTTAACTCATTTCAGCATTAACCCAAAAGTCCACAGTCCAAAGTCTTATCTAAGACAAGGCAAGTCCCTTCCACCTATGAGCGTGTAAAATCAAAAGCAAGCAAGTCACTTCCTAGATACAGTGGGGGTACAGGCATTGGGTAAATATAGTCATTCCAAATGGGAGAAATTGGCCAAAACCAAGGGGTTACAGGCCCCACGCAAGTCCGAAATCCAGTGGGGCAGTCAAATCTTAAAGCTCTAAAATGATCTCCTTTGAATCCATGTCTCACATCCAGGTAACGCTGAAGCAAGAGGTGGGTTCCCATGGTCTTGGACAGCTCCACCCCTGTGGCTTTGCAGGGTACAGCCTCCCTCCCGGCTGCTTTCATGGGCTGGCATTGAGTGTCTGTGGTTTTTCCAGCCACACAGTGCAAGCTGTCGGTGGATCTACCATTCTGGGGTCTGGAAGATGGTGGCCCTCTTCTCACAGCTCCACTAGATGGTGCCCCAGCAGGGACTCTGTGTGGGGGCTCTGACCCCACATTTCCCTTCCACATTGCTCTAGCAGAGGTTCTGCATGAGAGCCCTGCCCTTGCAGCAAACTTCTGCTTGGACATCCAGGCATTTCCATACATCCTCTGAAATCTAGGTGGAGGTTCCCAAACCTCAATTCTTGACTTCTGTGTACTTGCAGGCTCAACACCACGTGGAAGCTGCCAAGGCTTGGGGCTTACACCCTCTGGATTGGATTATTTGGGGGGGTTTGAATTCCTCATATATTCTGGCTACTAGTCCCTGGTCTGATGAATAGTTTGCAAATACTTTCTCCCATTCTACAGGTTGTCTCTGCACAAGTTGAATTTGGTTCAACACCTTGTTGCTGAGCTTCCCAATGAATGTGGTGCTAGCTTGACCCCCACCTCCACTCCACAAATCTGCTCTTCCCCACAGCAGCAAATGCACATCATCACCCATCCAGTTGCTCAAACCCCAATTCTGAATCCCCCTCTTCCACTGGTGCCATCAGCAGCTCCCATCAGCATACCTCCTAGAGTACACCCTGACTGTCCTGCTCTCCCTCCCTAGCCAGAGTCATCATCCTCCCTGGCTAGAACTGAATAGACTTAGGGGGTCTCCCTGCTTCCTCCCACTGTCTCCTGCAACCCACTGTCCTCCCACTGCCAACATGCTTTTGAAAACAAAAGGCAGATCATGCCATGCCTCTGTTTACAACTCTTTAGTGGCTTCTGACACCACTTAGAATCAAGTCCAGAATTCCCCTCTGGCTTCCAAGGCTCCATGTCTACACAACCCAGCCACTGGGTCCACCCTACCTTCATCTAGTGCTGCCCTCCCTGCCCACAGTCCACTCTGGCCACTCTGCCCTTCCTCACTTGCTCCTCCCTTGGGGACTTTGCCATTGGATGTTTTCTGGGCTCCCAATACCCTTTGTCCAGGTCTTCGCATGGCTGGCTGCTCCTCAGCTCCAGGGAATTCATGCAGATGCCACCTCCTCCCAGAGGACTCCCTGACACCTGATGGAAGCAGCTACCATCCCATAACCCTGCTCATTTTCCTTGTGTTGCTGATTGCCATCTGAAAGTATCCGCTGTCTTTCTTAGTTTCCTTGTTCCTTGTCCCTTTTCTCCCTTCTAGATGTAAACTGGGACAACTGAATAACATGCAAGAGTCAGGGCCTCCTTCTGTTTGCCATCCCACCCGTATTCCTAGAATGAGACCTTACACAAAGACACTTGATTGACATCTAATAAGCAATCAACTGAATGCACAAAGTTGTGTGACCAGGGGTGAGTCTGAGGTCTCCATGTGTTTTCTGTGACTCACAATGGGATCTAGGTTCTGTCAACACTTTCTTGTGGCCTAGGGTCTCACACAAACAATAAAAGCATGGACCATCTTCTGACAGGTGGTCACATGAATGGCACTTCCTTGCCACCACCCACAGGTGGGAGAGTGTCTTTAACATAAAATGAACAGGCACAGGGTGTCACCCCCTTCATGAGGGTGCCCACTCTGGGTACAGGGCTTTGAGACTCCACAGGGGAAATCAGTCTACCTGGAAAAGCACCTCTGTTCCCAGCAGTTCCAGGAAACCCCAGGGCCTCCCAACATGTGGTCTTTTCTGCTCCAGGGAGAACAATGTTTTCAGAGACCGCCTTCCTGTCTTGTGGTCGGGCTATTCTTGTGCCTCGGAATGCCTTTCTGCTCAGTGCTGACAGCCGCCACCTCTCTAGACGGTGCCAGGCCTCTGGAGCCCCGCTTGGTGGGTGGTGAGGGCTCCTACAGCCTCCACGCCCACCTGGGCTCTGGTAGGCATGCTGGGGAATGCAGAGCATGTGGCGCTGGGGGGCTCCTCTCTGGCATTGCCCAGCTCCTCTTTCTCCTGCCAAACAAAAGTGTTCTGCTTGGGCAGGGACAAGAGCCTACTTCTAACTGCGGAACAAACAACAGACCAAGCCCTTTCTATCCTGGGAGAAGTAGGGCTGCCCAGGACCTTTCCTCATTTGCTGATTTTTCCAAAGTTTGGAGCAGTACAGGAGGTGGTGGAAACTTGTGCTTTCTCTGAGTCTGAAGAGCCTGCCTCGGACCTGGGGGCAGGGCTGTTTTCTCATCACCACTTTCCACTGGCCATGTTGGCATGCCAGTGGGCTCCTCCCTCTCTTCTCTCTGGCCTCCTCCAGACATGGTCTTCTACCTGCTGCTGCCCTCTGCTCTTCCACCAACCCTCAGTTTATCACGCCTGGACTTCTCCAGAAACTGCTAACAGCTCCTTTTTCTCCTGCACTGCCCACTCACTCAGCAAGCATTACATCATCATCACCATCATCATCATCATCATCATCATCATCATACTTGCGTGTCATCTTCATGGCCACCGTTGACTATCTTCTCATGGTTAGGACATGTCGCACTCTGTGTTAAGCAGGTTACATGTTGCATCTCATCTACTCCATGTGAAGTAGTTACTGTTCTCTCCATTTCACAGATGAAGGAACTGAGCTCACAGCGGCTGAGGAACTTGTCCAGGGTCACCTTGCTGATGAGGGGCAGAGCTGGGATGCTTACCCCATGCCAAGTCTGCTCAGCCCCCAGCTGTATGGCTTGCCGTGGCGGAGGGTTTAGGACATGCAGCCAGACTGCTAAGCCCATCCTCCTGGTCCTAATCCTGTCACTTGCCAGCTTTGTGACCTCTCTTGGCCTATGTTTGCTCTTCTGTGACATGGGGACAGCAATAGCAACTTCTTCCCAGGGGTGCTGCAAGGATGAAAGGAGTGTGAAGTGTTTAGAAGGGTGACTGGTAAATGCTCTGTAACAGGTGCAGAGAATGTGACAAGACACAGCCCCTGCCCTCAGGAACTTCTGGTCTAGTGGGAAAGATCATCGCAGCTTGGGATGGTCTAAATCACAGCAAGGAAAAGAACAGGCACCACCAGTGTGAGTGGCAGGGACAGCTACCCCAGCCTGCTGTGGTGGCTTCCACTTGAGTGATGCCTAAGCTAGTGTAGTTCTTATTTTCTTTTTTAAATTAGCTTTTTATTTGGAATAAATTTGGATTTATAGAAAAGTTGCAAAGATAATACAGAGTTCACATATACTGCGCCCAGCCTTCCTGAAGAACATGCCACTTCCCCAGAAATATGACAAAGGCAATGGGATAGGGGGAGATGTGTATCATGTTAGCTGTTCTCAGGCAAGCTCCCTCTAGGCATGTCCCACAGAAAGGCAAACATTGTAAAATCTGGGCCGGGCACAGTGGCTCAAGCCTGTAATCCCAGCACTTTGGGAGGCCAAGGTGGGTGGATCACCTGAGGTCAAGAGTTTGAGACCAGCCTGGCCAACATGGTGAAACCCCATCTCTACTAAAAATACAAAGATTAGCTGGGCATGGTGGTGGGTGCCTGTAATCCCAGCCACTCGAGAGGCTGAGGCAGGAGAATTAATTGAACCCAGGAGGTGGAGGTTGCAGTGAGCAAAGATTGTGCCATTGCACTCCAGACTGGGTGTCAAGAGCGAAACTCTGTCTCAGAAAAAAAAAAAAAATCATCATGAAATCAAGGCCACCTCCCGAGGGCCTAGCCTCCTACCTGGAGGGCTTGAGTGAGGGATTAGTCCGCAAGCAAACTCAAACAGGAAACACAGCACGGCCATCTAGACTGGGGCTGAGCCCTGGCCCTCCAACCTCTGTGCCGTTGGAGTGAGGAGAACTGGGCCTGACCACTCAATGGAAACTCCTGGGGTTGATGTCTTGGTCTTGGGAGGTGTTTGCCACATTCAGGAGGTGGCTGGCCACTGGGTTGGCAGTGGCAGGATCTGCAGAGGGTCAGCAGCCAAGCAGAGCTCCCAGCTCAAAGGAGGCCTCTGGTCAGGAACAAACTCCAGCTCTGGATCTCTCTCTTTGGCTCACTGATTCTGTCTTGGCCTTTCCTCACCATGGGAGTTGTAAGCGACAGAGGCCATGGGTCTGGAGGGAAAGGGTAATGGGTGTGACAAGGTCAGCTTTGGGCTTAGGTCTGCCCAAACCTCTATGTGGGTGACTCACCTGGGATTCCTGGATCTTCTCTTGGGCTTGGGGCCAAAGCCATGGGTATGATTGCATTGCTGGCCTCATCTTCCAAGGCTGGCTAACCAGGGCAGGGGATCACGGATCCTGTGCTCATTCATCCTTTCATTCAATACAGATACAGAGAATAGCAGCCCTGAGCCCGGCACTGTGCCAGGCCCTAGGGGTACTGCGCTGGGCTCCTCACAAGGTTCCCTTCTCTAGATAGCCTACCTTCAATAAGAATTGCAAAAGGTGGAAAGTTTTTTCTGGCCCTGTATAGTTTCCTATTACTGATGTAGTGGCTTAAAACAACAAAAATGTCTTATCTGGCAGTTCTAGAGGTCAGTGGTCCAAAATCAGTCTCAAGGACTAAAGTCAAGGTGTTGGTGGGGCTGGTTTGTTCCGGATGCTCATTTCCTTGCCTCTGCCAGCTTCTGAGGCCACCTGCATTCCTTAGCTGGGGGCCTCCTTCTTTTACCCTCAAAACAGCTGTATAGCATCTCCTCTCCTCTCTGACTTCTGCTTCTATCCTTACATCTTCCTTCTCTTTTATAAGGACCCTTGTGATTACAATGGATCCACCCAGATAATCCAGGACAATCCCCCTATCATAACATTCTTAACTTAATCACATCTGCAAATTCCCCTTTGCCATATAAGGTAACATATTCACAGGTTCTAGGAATTAGAACATGAGCATCTTTGGAGGGCGATTATCCAGTCTACTATAAGATTTTTTTTTTTTTTTTGAGACAGGGTCTTGCTCTTTCCCTCAGGCTGGAGTGTGGT
This sequence comes from Homo sapiens, assembly GCF_000001405.40. Classification (NCBI taxonomy): domain Eukaryota; kingdom Metazoa; phylum Chordata; class Mammalia; order Primates; family Hominidae; genus Homo; species Homo sapiens. The sequence continues at coordinate 44,472,396 of NC_000011.10, read as the reverse complement.
GGCTACATCACGGCTCGCTGCAGCCTGGAACTTCTGGGTTCAAGCGATCCTCCCGCCCCAGCCTTCTGAGTAGCTGGGATTATAGGCATGAACCACCACATCCGGCCAGAGCTCTTTCTTGAAGTAGTTGAGAGCCCAGGTTCTGAGGTCCACAGACTTGGGTTTGAATCCATGTCCCTGCCATTTTTTACTGTGTGACCTCCTATTACTTAATCCCTCTATGCTTCAGTTTGCTCGTCTGTAAGACGAGGCTAATAGTTACCTGAAGGATTGATATGAGAATTAAACAAGCAATCACAGGGGTTCTAGCCAGAGGTCCTAGTTATTAACAATAAAAGGGGCCTTTGGCTGCTTTAAGCAGAAAGGTAACAGCTCATTGTCTCCAGGAAGGCTGGAAATCTAGGGTCAGACAAAGCCAGAACAAGTGAGAAGCTGGTGGCCAGAACCACAATCCAAGCCATGCTATGGAACCCACGGATGAGGCTTCCTGTTTACCACCTGCAGCCCAGGGCACCCAACTCCTGTTGCTACCATTTGTGGCCCGGCCACTCTGGGACACTTGGAGCTATGGAGCGAAACTCTCCATGGCTCCTGGCCTGGGTCCAGTTCTGGACAGGAGCATCAGATTTGCTGGCTCTGGTCACATGTCCACTTCCTGGTTGCAAGGGCCCCAGGAGAGCAAGGATCTGGCTTTCTCCACTTCTTGGTGGAAAGCTGGCTCTTCTCTGCCTACTCTCATCCTGGGATGGAGAATTCCCCAAACATAAAAAGGGGTTCAGCCCCCAAATCAAGCATTCACTTGATGCCAGCAATGATTATTATTAGTCCAGGCTCTCCGTTGAGAGTCGTGGTAAAATTGAACTCACTCCCTGGAATTGGAGAGGGAGGCAGAGTACAGGTTCTTGTCCAACCTTGCTAGGATGTGGCCCTGTGCCACAGGCGCTGTCACCCAGATGGCAGCCAAACACGGAGAAGGTCAGTAGTTCCTGGATACCTGTCTGGTTGGTGAGACCCTGCTTGGACCAGAGAGCCTACAGAGCTGACTACTTCATCAGCTTTTGTTGGATGGAGGACAAAAATCAAAACAAAACAGAGAGTGAGAATGAGCGTGCAACAAGAAAAGGCATCCGAAAGATGTTTTTAATGTGCATCAGATTATGCAGCCAAGCCAGGGGCCTCTGCCCAGCTTCCCGGCACGTTCCTGCCTGAAGACAACTTGATGATTTGAAGGGAGCCGCGGTCAGATTGTATACCTGTCAACTGCCTCTCCATGCTCACTGGGGCACGGGGCTGTAATGAGGCCTGACACTTCAGGAATCTGGCAGGATACAAAACAGCCGCAGAGGGCAGAGGGGAGGCAGGCGGGGCCTACTCCAGCCACTTGAGCCTGCCTGGAATGTTCCAGAAGAGTACCAGAGGGAACCCAGGGGGCCCAGCTCCAGGTTCTGCCTTGACCACTTGCTGGTAGGACAATGAGAAAAATCACATCAGCTCTCTGAACCTCAGTTTCCTCATCTACAAAATGGGTTTTACTCTCCCCTTAAAGTTTTATTGGGAGGATCCAAGACAGTGTATACAAAGTGCCTAATGTGGCAACACAATAAATGATCATGATAAATATTATCATCATTGTCAACATCCTCATCAACCCGATCGATCCTTTCTGCTTTAATTGCCTGTTTTGGTGCTTTGGCTTCCACTATTCGAGAATTTGTTCACCATTATTCATTGGTTTGCTTTTGTGAGAACTTGCTGGGAGGATTTTTAGGCTAAGAGAGATTTTAGAGATGATTTTGGCCAACTTATCCATCTTATTGTGGAGGAAATTAAGGCTCAGAGAGGAGAGGTTATTTACCCAAGGTTGAACTGCTTGGTGGTAGAGGAGTTTCAACAGCAACAATGCTGGAGAGGACATGGAAGTCTCTGGTACCTGGGGTGAGGGGTACAAGGAGCCCTGTGCTTGATCGTATTCCTGGAACGACTTCCATGACTCTAATCCCAGGCATGTTAGATAAATTCGGAGAAGAGACACAGCCAAAGCGTCAACCATCATTCTGGAAAACACGGGTTGAGTGTCATCTCAGTCCCAGGAGGTCACTGTTTAGGGAAAGTCAAGGCGCCCTGAGTCCTGGTGCCCTGGTAGAAAAAACTGACACTTTCACAGCTCATCCTAGTCACATTCTAGGAACTGCAAATTGCAGGCTCGGCGGCAGAGAGATGAAGTCTTCTTGGAGGGCGGATGTTTTCATAGGAGCTAGTATTGGAGCCAGCCTTCAAGTCAATCACAAGATGCAATTCTGGGGAAAGGGGTTTAAAAAAAAATCACATCTGCCTGAAGACAACTGGTTAAGGCATAAGGAGGGGCTTTGTGAGGGAGATGGGATTGGTCCTATGCCTTGGAGAGGAATAGGATTTCTATAGACAGAAGAGGGTAGAAGGGTAAGCCTCTCACCAGGCACAGCTTGATGTTTCTGTGCAGGGAAGGGAGTCACCGAGAGCACTCCAGAGGAGGCCTGAGCAGAGCACAGCGCCATCATCATCACTGCCCAACCAGAACCAGGCAGGAGGAAGCTGGAAGCAGCCCATGTGAGGGAGATACCACAGACGGAGGACGGGTGCTGGGGCAGCACCTACTTCCCTGGAAAGCCTGGATACTGAGAGGCTGAAGTTGGCCATTTCTTGGCAGGTAGGGGTTCCAGCTCTCTAGAACAATGTTTGCTAAAAGGTGGAGCCAGGACCTGCCAAGGACATTGCACCCTAGTGAGCAGGGAGTAGGGCTTACCCAGAGTCTCATCGCTGACGTAATCATAAATCATTCACAGGAGACTCTGCAGTTCCTGACTGTCAAGTCGGCTGTTGAGTTTCCATCATGTCCTTCCAAGGGAGGGTTTAGTTCTCCAGAGGAAGCAAGGCACTGGAGAAAGGTCAGAGTTTAGAGACACACACATTTGGGTTGGAGTTCCCACTCTGCCCCATTCTAGCTCGGAGACCTTGAGCAAGTTACTTAATCTTTCTGAGCTTCAGTTTTCTCATCTGTGAAGTGGGAATTATAACATATCCCCTATGGGGTCATTGTAGGATTAAATGAGATCACAGATGTAAGGCAAATGAAAAGAAGTAAAGGTATGCAACTTTGCCTGACATATTCTAGGTACTTTGCAAATACTCTCCTTTCCCCTCTTCATTGGCTGTGTCTGAAACAAAGTCATTGAGTGACAAGAATGACTTCAGGTGTGGCTAAGGCAAGACACCAAACTAGACAAAACCACCAACATTTATATCACTTCTAGGCACTCAGCTCCAGCTGGCTGTGCAAGGGCTTCCCTGCCCTTTCCCAGCCAGTATTCCAGGCAGAAAAGTTCTCAGAAAAGCCAGGTGTATCAAAAGGACACGAGACTTGGACCTGGAATAAAATAAAATAGGCCACTGAGTTTTGGGCTACTAAATGTCAATTACTAGTGGCATCACCAGGCTGTTCAGTGATGCTTCCCCCCCAGTGGCTCTTGGTGACAGTGGAGCCCACACTGCAGGCCCATTTTGCCCTGCTTCTCCTGCTCCAATTCCTCTCCTATGCCTCATCCCCAAGTGTGTCCTCTAGGTTGAGTATTGCCTGGAACCCTGCCTTCCCTCAGATAGCCTTTCCCCTTGCATGTGCTTCTCTCACCCCTGGACAAGCATTCCTTCAATGGCTGCAGCTGGAGCTAAATGCTGTCCATTGGCTTCTGTGTTGGGGTATAACTGTTTAATTCTTTTGTGCATATTTATTCCTTGGCAAATTTCTACCATGCCAGACTGCCACTTACCAAGCCCCACCCAGCCAGGAGAGGATCATGATCTTCTCTGGCACTGGTCCTACCTCGGTCCTGCCAACTTACCCATCAACATGTCCCAGGACACCCAAGCTCCAGCTCTGTGACAGCTGCATTCATTAGGTCTCTTGATTGCAAGTGATGGAAACCCAGTTGAATGCACTGAGTATAGAATAGAATAGAATAGAATAGAATAGAATAGAATAGAATAGAATAGAATAAGATAATGGAATAAAATAGAAATTAGCTAATACAACTGGGAAGTATGGGGATGAAGACAGGACTAAATCCAGAGTTCAAAAATGCTAACAATCAGTCATTTCTTCATGCCCCGCTCCCACCTCTAACTCTCTGTGTGCGTCACTCTTACCTCCTGCAGGTGGGCTACTTTACAGGATAAAGAAAAGGCTGGATTTCCAAACCTCCAGCTTCCCAATCTATCAGCTGCAGAGGGACTGAAGCCAGCTTCCTGCTCCCAGTGTCCTTCTCAGGGAAGAATTCTGATTGGCCCTGTGGAGTCACACATCCTTCCCTGACTCAATTTCTGGGGCCAGGAGGACGTTGGGATAATTATCCAGCCTGGGCCTGCCTGTACCTCCTCTGAGGCTCGGGGGCAGGGCGGCTTGTTTCCAGAAGCATGGAGGTGGGGAGCAAACTTAGTGCCCAATGGGAAGAATTGTTTCCATAGACCAGGAGAGGGCCAAGGAGTGGGAGGGAGGGAGTGCCCATCCTGCGGGGAGCAGAGGGCATCAGGGTGCCCTTGAGTTGGCCCAGGAGGGTTTAAACAAGAGGGGGCAGCTCCAGGCTCTGGGCTATCCCAGGAGCTGAAAGGAGAGGCGAGGGAAGGGGCCCAGTGGGAAAAAAACAGAGCAAAGGAGGAGCTGCAGGTCCCTCTGCTGAGAGGAGTCCCAGTTGTCCCAGCAGAGAGGGGCCATGGGGCAGGAGCCCTGGTGGGAGGATGAAAGCCAGGAATTTAAGGAATGCCAAGGCTGCCCAGTGGTCAGAGTTACCCCAAAGGCTGGTACCAGATGCTGGCTGGGAGGCAGGGGCATCCTGCTGCTCACCAGGTCTGCCCCTTATTTGTCCCTCCCACCCTGCCCCTCAGGGGTTCTGGCAAGAGCCCCTGCTGGTCAGAAGGTGGAGGATCTTATCCTGCCTGCACTGTTAACTCACTGTGTGCCCCTTGGCCATCTGCAGCCTCAGTTTCCTCACCAGTAACGTGAAAAGGATAGAATAGAAGTGGCCTCAGCTCTGCTGGTCTTCCCCAGCTCTTCCTCCTCATCGCCCCCAAGAATGAGGGCGCCCCAGAAGGCCCTCGGAACTCAGGAATGTGCCCCAGGCCTCAGCCTTCCCTCAGCTCCTCCCCGAGGAAGCTGGGGAGCCGTTGGCAGGGGTGGCTCCAGGTCCCCTCCCTATCCCTCCCCTCCCTGCCCCATTCCTGCTTCCCCTCTCTTTCCTCTTCTGGCTGCAAAGCACATACAGATGTGGGGCTGTCGGCCACAATCAGGGCGTTCAGGTGAGGAATGGGGCCTGGCAGCCCTTGGCTTGTACTCGTTTGCCTGAGCGCAATTTCCCCATAATTACACTTCCTAACTTTTCAGCATCTGTGAAAGATCATCTTCTGACACAGCAGAGTCAGGCTCGCGCCAGCCAGGAAGCACAGCCCTTCGCTCGGAATCATTTTCAACAGGCAGAGAAAACACATTCGTTCTTTCTTTCTGGCATGAAGGACGTCCCCAGGAGGCAAGCCCAGCGGTGTCTTGGCGCCTGCCACAGGCATCCTCTCGCGCACTCTGGCTCCCCACCCATCGCAGTGTCGCCGAGATAGTCACCCACTGGAATTACCACCCGCCTACTCTGTCAGTCACTCATGGTGACATTTATGAGGACACCCACACTATCGCTCCCGCCACACACACACACCTGCTCCAGTCCCACCTCCTCACACCTTCACCAGCCACATTCCCTGTAGTCACCTGTCTGCCGCCCACACCCACACCATCACCCTCGGGGGCACGCACTGCTTTCTTCCTGTCACCCTGAGTGGTGCTGATGTCATCTTCCCACACTTGCCCCATGCCACACCCAACCCCACTGCCCTGCAGCCAGCAAACCCATCTCCCCTGTCCACTCCTATGCCCTGGGGTCAGCAGAAGTTTTGTTCAGGGCAAGAGCAAGCAGAGTGCCCATGCCACCTCTCCCAGGATCTTGCATAAAGATTTGCTTTAACAAGATGCGGGGGGCAGGAGGAAAAGCAGGGGGAACTACAGGCCTCAGAAACCCTGTGGAAGAAGGAGCCAGTAGGAACCTTGTAAATACATTCCAAATGTGGCCAGGGCCAGGCTCATGCCTGTAATCCCAGCATTTTGGGAGGCCGAGGCAGGCAGATTGCTTGAGGCCAGGAGTTCAGGACCAGTATGGGCAACACGGCGAAATCCGGTCTCTACAAAAAAATACAAAAAGTTAGCCAGGCATGGTGACACACACCTGTGGTCCCAGCTACTTGGGAGGCTGAGGCGGGAGAATCACCTAAGCCTGAGAAGTCAAGGGTGCAGTGAACCAAGATCACGCCACAGCACTCCAGCTTGGACAGCAGAGCGAGACTCTTGTAAGAAAGAGAGAGAGAGAGAAAGAAAGAAAGAAGAAAAAAGAAGAAGGAAGGAAGGAAGGAAAGAAAGAAAGAAAAAAGAAAGAAAAAGGAAGGAAGGTAGAAAGAAAGAAAGAAAGAAAGGAAAGAGAGAGAAAGAAAAAGAAAGAAAGAAGAAAGAAAGAAAGAAAGAAAGAAAGAAAGAAAGAAAGAAAGAAAGAAAAAAAAAAAAAATGTGGCCAGGTTCTGGACAATAAACAACAGCTCAAGGGACAGGAAGACACAGGGTGTGGGAGAACAGTGGAGGAAGGAGGCCCTCATATACTCTAATCTCCACCTGGGGCCTGATGGCCAACAGGGCAGGGGACCCAAACCTGCTGCCTCCTGGGAAACAGACTATGAGCCAGGGAAGTTTCTCCCACTCTTACGAAAACCAAATCCCCCCAGGGCAAGTCATGCCAGAAACCCAATCTTCAGACGTGGCCTCTCTGCTCTTGCAGTTCTGTAGGAAACATTGTTACTTCCAAGACCAAGAATCTGGAAGGAGCCTGAGTGTGGGGCAGGGTTTCAAGTGAGCTTTGCATTTTGTCCAGAGAGGCAGACAGGAGGCATATGTCCCCTAGCCTGAGCCCATAGCAGACATCACTAATCCATTATGGCAAATGTCACACAGCTGATAAACTCAAGGAGCCAACTTTGAACTCGGGCAGTCTGGATTCAGAGTCTTTGATCCTTAGCCACTATGCTGTACGATCCTATGCAAGTTCTGGTTCCTAGCCTCAGAAGGGGCACATGCACCCGGTACAGCTCCCAGCAGAATAAGAGATAAAAACAAACACCCTCAGGGAAGGAGGGAGTAGAAAGCAGGGGCTAAATGTGTGTGGGGTTTGGTGTAGATATAAATTCAAAGCCAGGCCCTGACACTTACTGGCTGTGGGATCTGGGGCAGGGACATAAACTTTTGGAGCCCTTTCTCTTCCATTGTAAAATGGAGACCATAATGCTCTTACAAAAGTATGTAGATCACCTGGTTCTAAATGAATAGCAGTCTTGATGCTCTAAGAAGCCAAATTCTAGCAGCATTATTCACAATAACCAGCAGGTGGAAGCAACCCAAGTGTCCATTGACAGGTGAGTGGATAAGCAAAATGTGGTCTATCCGTACAATAGAATATTATTCAGCCTTGAAAAGAAAAGAAATTCTGATACATGCTGTGATATGGATGTATTAAGGACATTATGCTAAATGAAATAAGCCAGTCACAAAAAAAGACAATCACTATGTGATTCCAATTAAAGCAAGACACCTAGAGCAGTAAATTCCTGGAGATGGAAAGTAGAACAGGGGTTGCCAGGGGCTGGGGGCAGAGGGAAATGAGTTGTTTAATGGGCACAGAGTTTCAGATTTGCGAGATGGAAAAATTCTGGAGATGTGATTCACAGCAATGTGAGTATACTTAACCTACTGAACTGTACAATTAAAATGGTATAAAATGGTAAATGTTATGTATATTTTACCACAATTAAACAAAACTAACTAGCAAAAAACAATGGCTCAATAGAATGAGTTAGGTGACATGGGTGTGGAAGAGAGGAGGGACCTGCAGCTCCTCCTTTGCTCCGTTTTTTCCCACTGGGCCCCTTCCCTCACCTCTCCTTCCAGCTCCTGGATGACCAGGGTAGGGCTGGAGAAGCCATCTGAAAGCTGGCACCTGAGATGAGGTTTTGAAGAGGACACATGAGACAAGAAAGGCTCAGAGGCAGGAATGTGCCCATCACCGAGAAATCCAGCCAATTTTCTCAGCTGGATTCTCAGTCTCACCTCACATGCCCCAACCCCGACTTGGCCCAGAAGAGAGAATGCATTGTTGGGACATCTTGGTGGAGGAATGGAAGGTCCAGGCTGGAAGGGGCAGTAGGTGGCAAGCAGGCCAGCAAGAGGCCAGGGCACAGGGCAGGGAGGACAGTCTGCCAGACAGCACTGAGATCTCAGTGGATCCCTGTGCTGGCCCCACCCTGGAGAGCCTGTCCCCATGGCGGGTGCGTGCCCCATCACAGGGCAGTGAGTATTGAGTGAGCACCTACTCTGCGTCAAGCCAGGCAGACCATTACGGGGCTAGGGGTATGTGGAAACCAGAGACAAAAGACCCATCCCAGCCCTTGACACCAGACATAGTGACACAGCGGGGTCAGGGAACCCTGGGCCCAGTACAGACTGGCTCCCTCAACTGCATGCCTCTCCTGCATTGCAGTGCTTCATCCTGGAGGGTCCTGTCAGTCTGATTAAATGTCACCTTTCCCTCAAGGGCAGGGACAAAGCTCATTTCTTCCATTCATTTAGCAAAATTCCCCCAGGGCCTCTCTGTACCCCACCACAGGGAGGGGTGCCCTGGCCTTGCCTCTCCTGCTTCTCTTGAGTGCAAATCCTGGCTCTGCCACCTACTAGCTCCATGGACCCCTTGTGCCTCAGCTTCCTTATCTGTAAAATGGGAATATTAATATTACCTGATTCATGGGATTGAAAAGCAACTACAACCCTTGTACATAGCATTCCATAAATATGAGCTGATTTCATTTTTCTCACTGTTTCATCATCTTCTGCACCATTTCCCTCTTCTTGTCCATTCTGTTCATCTGAGTCTGAGTAAAAATACATTATGTACTTTTTTAATGCGTAAATAATGGCCATTCAGTGCAGAGGGCTAACTTGAATGCTGTTTCTTCACATGCAAGTTAGGGGTCATTACTGGAGGAATGGTCTTGGTGGAGGAATGGAAAGTCCAGGCTGGAAGGGGCAGTGGGTGGCAAGCAGGCCAGCAGGAGGCCAAGGCACAGGGCAGAGAGGACAGTCTTCCTTGTTCTTTAACACACTCCCTCCTGCCACCTTGTGATGAAGATTCCTGCTTCCCCTTCACCTTCCACCATGACTCTAAGTTTCCTGAGGCCTCCTAGCCATGCTTCCAATTAAGCCTGTGGAACTGTGAGTCAATTGAACCTCTTTCCTTTATAATTACCCAGTCTCAGGTAGTATTCTTTATAGCAGTGGGAGAACAGACTAACAGACATTCTCATGGACTACTACCCACCCCTTGCCAAGGAGACAGAGGGACCATAATTCAGAAACAGGTGTGCAACCTAAGGCCTCCGCTCCTGCTGAGGGTGTATTTCTACTGGGGGAAGGAAGGGCAGGAAAAAAGAAAAGGAGTAACACATTTCAGAGTGAAAATCACTAGGAAGAAATAAAACAGGGTGATGTGATAGAAAGCCAGGAACACTCCTGGTATATGTGGGGCCCATCAAAGGCCCATGAAAGTCTCTGGCCATTCTTTTTTCTCTCCACCCCATGGCTCCATCCCACATTCTAAGGGGTTGCCCATGAACATGCATAGCCACATAAAAGCTCAGTCTACCTCCTCAACCTCACCATATGCCAAACAGCACCCTTGGACCACCCTTGGGCCTAGGGGTGCTCACACAAGCAGCATGGCTGGTCCTTAGAGAACAGGCCAGAGGAAGAGATTCCCAGTCATAGAAGTAGGCTCAGAATGTTTGGACAGGGAATTCCAGAGTCCTCAGGACCCCAAGTGTGGTCTAGAAGAAGGATGTGTTCTTCAGGTGGGCCCAGCACCTCAGCCCATGGGCTTCTCATTACATGAGTTGGGTGCAGCCAGAGGTGGGGCAGAGAAGGGCCCTCTGAGTCAGGTTCTAGAAGTGTCCCATTCTAAGGGTGGTCCTAGAGGAAGCTGCAGCAGCAGTGGTGATGACTCTGTGCAGATAATGAGCGAAGGCCCCCAAGGAGAGGGACCTGTGAGCAGAGATCTGGTCAGGAATCAGGCAGCCTCAGAAGCTCTGGGGAAAGGCTTTTGGGGCCAGGGGAGTAGTTCCCCCAGCTTTCCAAGCCCACTGACCAATCACCAGTCCCATGTGCTCCCCAGCCAAGCTGGGAGGGGCCCCAGGAGAGGCCACCTGGAAGCAATCTTTCCCAGCGAGCTCCCTGAAAGTGAAAGCCATTCTCTTTGATAGTCTCCAAATTGCCTTTCTTTCTCCCTTCCTTCCAGGGAGGGAGGCTGCAGGAGTCTGGAAGGCAAATGTGAAAGGAAATTAGCTGAATGCTCTCAGTTCTCCAGCATTGGGTGAGCAGCTCTGGAGGTTTATTGGTCAGGACCATCCCCTCATTCCCCTCCTTATTGACTGCCAAGCACAGAATCTCTCAAGACAGCGTTCTGCTCTTCTAGGCTAAGATATAGCTGTGTGACCCTAGAACCATTACTTTCCCTCTCCAATCCTCTGTCCTTCAGCTCCTAAAAAGGAGACATGCAAAAGATCCAACTTCTTAACAATGTTGGAAACTTCCATTCTGTCCCTGTGTCCTCCCAAGCACCTTTTTGGACTTCTTTGGCTGACACCCAAATAATGTTCAGTTATAGTTCATCCTGCAGGCTTTAAAAAATGTGTCTTCAAATTCTTTGGCATTCCTTTCATGAAGATGTGGGGTCCCCCACCTCTTGAGTCTGGGCCAGCCTTAGTGACTGGTTAACCACTAGACTATGGCAGAATGACACTACCTGACTTCTAAGGGTAGATCAGAAAAAGTGAGGCTGCTGCTTCTGGGTTCACTGAATATCCATGCTCGAGCCCTGAGCCTCCTGTAAGATGTTCTACTACAATGAGGCCACCATGCAGTAAGGAAATACAATGTGGCTCGCATGGAGAGACCACGTAGGATGCCTAGCAGTTTCTAGAAGACATAGAGAAACTTAACTGCTCTCAGCCAGCCCTTCAGCCCCTCACCACTCCAGCTTCAGCCTCCATCTGTCTGGAACAGCGTGAGAGGCCACAAGCCAGAACCACCCGGCAGAGCCCTTCCTGGATTCCTGACCCACAGAAACTGTAAATGATGCCAAAACGACTACAGTTATTTCTAGCCCAGAGTTTTGTGTTTGTAATGAGAAACTATGGGAGAACAGCATGGCCCCCTCCTCTGCCTATGCTGGACTTTTTCCGTTTGCTCTTCTGGGTCCCCCTCCACCCTTCTCCACACTGCTCTGGAGCCCCCAAGACTGACTCCCCCAGCCACCCATCTCCCGTGTAGACTCCATCATCAGTCTCCCCTGCCCTCAGGCTTCTGGCTGGGTTCTGCCAATTGGGGGCACTGTGAAGAGAGTGGGAGGGAAAAGGAGAAGGAGGTCAGGGCATTTGTTCCAGCACCCTCCCTGCCAGGTCACCGTGGCCCAGCCATGCCCCTCTACCAAAGGCCTCAGCTCCTACCAGGCTACCTTTTCTATGTAGCTTGCTTTCAGGGTTCCAGTAACTGCCTCCTCCCTGCCCCTTCAGGCCTAGGTGGTCATCATCCTCTTCCTCCCCAGCCCCTGTGCTTCTTTGTCCCTTTTCCATTTCCCTGGAAACAAACTATGCCTTTTCAAACAGCCCAGGACCGAGCTTTTATGTAGCTCCGCATTTGCATGGACAGCCCCTTAGGATGCAGGATGGAGCCATGGGGTGGACAGAAGAGGGCATGGGCCAGAGACTTTCATTTGACTTTGTTTAACTCTCTTCGATTCACCTGCCTGAATATGTCCTCTGTTTCCTTCGGGCTGACGCCAGCCCACATCACCTGATTGCATTCTACACCCCACTGTTCAACATTGTCCCATTCCCAAGCAGAACATCCATATCTGCATATTTGACAAACCTTTACTCACCACCTGTTGAGTGTCTGGCCTTATTCTAGGGTCATGGATAGAGCAGTAACCAGTAGAGACACAGTCCCTGCTCCTCGTGGAGCTACATGCTAGCATTTATGTGAGAGGTGGGGGCATAGGTTAAACAAGTACAGCATAGGAAATAATTTTGGATAGTGATGAGTCAATGAAGAAGATAAAGCAGGGTGATGGGACAGAGGAAGACACACTGCCCCAGACATTTCTCTGAAGCCTGCCTGAGATAAAGTCCACATGGAATATTTTCCAGTGTTAGAAAAGCTGCCCTCGCACACCATATGCACATTTTTAGCACACAACAGCACAACAGCCTTCCACAGCCACTTCCTAATTGTTCAGTTGGAAGAACAAAGCAAGGAATGAAGCTCACAGTTGTTTCTGTTGGTGAACTTCCTGAAAGGTTCTCATAGGTTGATCCAAGCTGGGGTGACAAGGGCTGCAGCTGGACTGAGCTCCAATACGGATGAAACCAAAGTGGCATAACTCGTCTTTAGCACTTCTCTAGAATCCACAGCTCATTCCTCCCCCATATTCACTGCACAGTCAGCTCTGACCTGAGGTTCTGCTTCTCTTGGGAAGATGATAGATAAAGCCAGAGAGGGCTCTGGGGAAATGGTCCAAAGTCTGTTAGCAAAGAACACTGGCACCAGGCAAGGCCTCTGAGGTCAGATCTCCCTTCTCTCCTCAAAAGCAGAGAGCCAGTTCCCATGACACCCGCCCTGGCCTACACCTCAGCTGGGTGCATACACTTGTTTGAGACCCCAGTGAGGCCATGGGCCTTTTTTGCCCTGGGATGGACTGCAATGAGCAAAAGAGCTAGGTCACTTTCTCTGCCTTTGGGGAGCCATTCCCAACAAGTTTGGCTACGAGTCCCCCACTTTCCAGGAGCTTTCTCAGTTTTATCAGCTCTCCAACACTTCTTCCACCTGGGATTCCCACCTGCTCCTCTCTGATGCTTCAAATTCTAGAACATCATGGTCAGTAAAAATGTCAACCCAGTCACTACCCTCATTTTACAGATGAGGAAGATGAGGCCCAAGGATGGGGTTGAGTTGCCCAAGCTCACATAGTGGATGCAAGAACTCCAAGTAGAATCCAGGCCTGGCTTCCTACCCATTGTAGTCCTATTCCCATTAGCCTTGCTCTCATTTCATGAGGCTAGCTCAGGCACACCCTCTCCAAAATGTCTGCCCTGACACCCGAAGCTCATGTGCTCTTCTCCATTCTCATCTCTGAGAGCCCTGGCTGTGCCCTGCTCAGTTGGCAATTGAATATGTCCACCCTATTCTCTGGTTGTTCTTGTGTACAAACTGAGCTTCTCCAAAGACAGTATGACCTCCTGGAGGGCAGAGCCCCTTTTTTCTTCTCTTGTCTCCATCAAAATTCCTAGCAGAGGGTCAGTTTTACACCAACTCTTTGGTAAATGCTTCTGGCCTAATTAACTAATGAACTGGCAGCATCTTCCATACTGAACTACCTCCCTCCACCTAAGAGGAAGCAGAGAATTTTAAACTAAGGAGCTGAAGCAAACAGAAAAACTTGAACATTCCAGCTCATCAAGATCATCTCTGAATTCCCAGCATTTTGGATGAGTAAGTTGGTAGGTGGGTGTCACAGTGTCCTCTGTGATCAAAGGGGCTGCTGCAGGAGTTCTACCTCTTGAAGAAGTGTATTTCTGGGGAGGCTTTGGAAGTTGACTCCAGGGGTGAATTTGGGTAGATTCCAAGGCCCTGGAAAAACTCAGTGTCCGTGGTTACAGGATAACGGTCTACCATATTGAGTCCTCCTCTGTTTCTCTGGAGAAGCGGCCATAACCCTGGCCTCTCTCTCTAGATGATGCCACTGGCATGAAGAGAAAGGAGAAGGGACAGCAGGCCAGGACTCTAGCCTGTAATTAGCCCTCTGAGCCACTCAGTTTTTCACAGGGTGTTTCTCTTGTGATTTTCAGTGTATTTTCATCTTTTTAGCCTCTTCCCTCAGCTTCTTTGTGGCGGTGTTTGCAAATGGTCAGCACAATGATATAAGCCCAGCTTGTCCAAGAAGAGCCCTTCCTTGGTCTTGGCTCCTCTGCCCACTCCCCTGGGTGACCCATTGCCCAGCTGGCCCCTGCCTGGGGCTGGGGAGACAAAGACCCCCTCTTTGGATCAGGACATGACCTGTGCTCACTGGAGCTTTTACCAATCTCTGCAATTCCTGCCTTTATCAGATTAGCTTTAATTAGACAAATGAAAATCACATGGAGCATAGAGGGGAGGAAGCCCTGGGCTTTCAGGGGTGTCTTTCAACAGAAGGATGGGGGCAGGGTGGCCATTAGGAAAGGAGAGGGACAGTGGGTGGAGATCCCCATGCACAGATGTGGGTGCATGCAAGTGCCTTCAATGAAGAAAAGTCTGGGCATCTACCCAGAAAGGCAAAGGTGCCATCATCAACTTGGAAGGGACCTTGGGACCGCCTATCAAGAAGGGCCTTTTGAGGGTCACAGACCAGACCCCTTTGGGACTCTGCTGAATACAGTAAGCCATAGATGTAATTTTTAAATTTTTTATGTAGTCACATTAACAATTTTTAAAGAAACTAATTTATTTTAATAATAATAAATTCTAATAATAAACTTTAACATATTTTATTTAACCTAATATATCCAAAATATTATCATTGCAACATATAACCAATATGAAAATAATTCATGAGATAGCTTACATTCTTTTTTCCACACTAAGTTTTCAACATCTGCTATGTATTTTACTCCTACAGCCCATCTCAATTTGGACTAGCCACATTTCAAGTGCTCTATAGCCTCCGGCTGCCACACTTTGGGTAAATAGCTGTTCTGGTTTGTCCAGGACAATCTTGGTTTTAGCACGGACAGTCCCATGTCCCAGGAAACCCCTTAGTCCCAGGTAAACTGAGATGGTTGGTTGCTCTGACTTGGTTAGCACAGCCCTAGACCTTCTCCCCAGAAAAATGCACAGACATTTGACTTACAATTTCCGGAGGTTTAGTGCTCTTTCTTGATTCTTCTTTGGGGAATGTGAGATCTGATGTTACAGGCTCCCATTCTACAGATAGAGAAGGCATAACCCAGAATGGACTTGCATAGGGCCACATGGTGACTTTGCAATTAGAACTGTGACCAGACCCGGGCATCCTGACTTCACGATGTTCAGTGCCAGCCACCAGGGGCGCCTGGTAGAGCACGATGCCTGTCCATGGTTCCGGAGTGTTAGCAGTGTTAAATAGAGTGGGGCTGTTGCCCTGCAGCTGTGTGGTTCCTAGGATAAGTAGGTGCCCTCTCCGCCACACAACAGGGCAGTAAGCCGTCCGTCCCAGACAGGCAGCAGAGGTGACACCAGGGACAGTGTTAGCCAAAGTGGGCACACACCACTCCTGGCATGTGAGATGGTTTCGTGTTTCACGACTTTGACTCCCAGAGTGACAAAGCTGCATTCTTTTCAGAATTCTCTTTCTATCCTTCTGATTTGTCAAAGAGAAAGTCTTGGTGTGGGGTTAGGATCTCTGACATCAGTACTTGCCAGTTCCTCTTTTCAACAGAGGGAGACCCAGGCTTAGGCTAGGAGAAGGCAACCATGTGTTCTTAGGATTTTCTTTTTTACTTTTTATTTTTAAATAATTACAGATTCACAAGAAGTTGCCTTGTGTATATATTCTTCACCCAATTTCTCCCAGTTCTGAAAGAACTATAGTGTAACATTAAAACCACAAAACTGACATTAGTACAATGTGTGTGTATAGTTTTATGCCTATTTATTTATTTATTGAGACAGGTTCTTGCTCTGTTGCTTGGGCTGGAGTGCAATGGCATGATCCTAGCTCACTACAGCCTCGACCTTCTAGGCTCAGGTGATCCTCCTGCCTCAGCCTCTTGAGTAGCTGAGACTACAGGTATGAGCTACCACACTCAGCCACTTTATGCCATTTTATCAGGTGTAGATTCTTGTACCACCACCACCACCATCTGCCTGCCTTTTAATAACATTATTTTATTTCCCGTCTGTTAATTTTTTCTTCTTTATTCTCTTCATGCAATTGAAACTGTTTTTTTCATTTATAGTAATGATATAACATTTCCCTTTAAATAAATTTCCTGAAGTAGAAAGAAAAAACGTAAGCAGAGTTGAGGAGCTTTATTAAATATTAGTGATACAGTGATATAGATAGAGGAATTTTATTACATATTAGTGATATCGATGATATAGATTAGTGATATAGATGATACCCAGGTATGACAAAGTTGTGAAAATATCATGTAAGGGCCAGGCATGGTGGCCCTGTAATCCCAGCACTTTGGGAGGCTGAGGGAGGCGGATCGCCTGAGGTCAGGAGTTTGAGACCAGCCTGGCCAACATGGAGAAACCCTGTCTCTAGTGGAAATACAAAATTTGTCGGGCGTGGTGGTGCATGCCTGTAATCCCAGCTACTAGGGAGGCTGAGGCAGGAGAATTGCTTGAACCTGGGAAGCGGAGGTTGCAATGAGCCAAGATCACACCATTGCACTCCAGCCTGGGCAACAAGAGCGAAACTCCATCAAAAAAAAAGAAAGAAAGAAAGAAAGAAAATGTCGTGTAAATAACAACTATATGGAATAATTATGATGTCCCAGGCACTGTTTAAGTGTTTCGTGCTTCATATATACTATTTCAGTTAATCCTCCCAACAACCTTTGGGTTAAGTCTTATTACTATTATCTGCACTTTACAATGAGGAAAGCAATACTTTTTTTTTTTTTTTTGAGACAGAGTCTTGCTCTATTGCCCAGTTTGGAGTACAGTGGCACAATCTCGGCTTACTACAATCTCTGCCTCCCGGGCTCAAGAAATTCTTGTGCCTCAGCCTCCTGAGTAGCTGGAACTACAGGTGTGGGCCACCATGCCTGGCTACTTTTTTTCTGTATTTTTAGTAGAGATGGGTTTTTGCCATGTTGGCCAGGCTGGTCTTGAACTCCTGACCTCAGGTGATCTGCCCACCTCAACCTTCGAAAGTGTTGGGATTACAGGTGTCAGCCACCGTGCCCAGCCAAGCAAGACATTTTTAAAGTCTAGAAGCATCAACCTAGATTTTTTTTCTACACACACCACACATACACACACACACACACACACACACACACACACACAAAAACATGTGGTTCACAAACATGTGGGCGTATCATACATATCATTTAGCAACCTCTTATCCAGATCTGACTTTGAAAATCCTAAACCAGGATTCCATGGTCTGTGTTGTCATTTAGGGGGCCATAAGATTATGGTAAAGCAAGGGTGTCCAGACCCCCATGGCTTGTCCTCTCAAACTCTGCTCAGACAGGGAGGTGCTGCTGAGATCCGTCCATCCTGGCGTGGAGCCACAGCAGGCACCCTCAGTGAGGGAGAGCAGACAGAAATGCCTGGCAAAGGCCCTTGGTCTGGAGCCCAGGGCCCAGCGTCTCCCCAGGATCTACTCTCTGTCTTTTAATAGCCTGCATGCTAATGGATAACAAGGTCATCCTGCATCATTCTCGAAACCCTGATGGCATCAAAAAGTGCTAGAGCTGGAAAGGACCACAGACACTCTGCATTTGACAGAGGAGGACACCATGGCAGAGAGGGAAGGGGCAGGGTCCAAGGCCACCCCACAGGTGAAGGGGGGTCAGACCCCACCCACCCGTGGCAAAGGGCAGCCCGGCCTAAGATCTAGGCCTGATTTCTGCAAATGTTTGTTGAGTGAGTAAATGCATAATCTACCATCCTGACTGTCCTGTCACTTCCCTGACATTATTCTCTGCTTCTCCCTGGCGTGGATATAAAATATTGGCCTGCCTCAAAGGCTCTGAATCAATGCACATCCCTCGAGACACCTTCAGAGATTCTGAATCAGGAGGTTTTTGGAGAGGAGTCAGGAGTTTGAATTGTAAACAATGCTTCCCCTCTTCCCCGCCCTACTGGAGCTCCTGGGTGCAAAGTGATGCCAGTGTAGATGCCCAGGGTGGGTGATTTGACCACTGTTTCCCTCTGTAGCTTCCTCCTCTACCAGGCTGCAGAATGCTCCCAGCTGACAGTCCTGGCATTGTTCAGAAACCTGTGGGCCCTGCCCCTCCCTTTGGACCATTTACCCAAAGCAGAGAGCGGTGGGGTGAGCTAACAGGAGGCCTGGCTCCCCTCCGACACTCACCCTCAACACCCACCAGGCTTAGCCTGGGAGAGCCGATGAGTGTCTATTACCATAGCAGGCCCCATAAAAAGGATTATAGGCTGTTGCTGAGTTTACAAGCCTGTTCTCGTAAAGCTGCCAGACTTGGGGTGGCCACAGCCCCTCTGGAAGGAGGATGAAAAGGAATGTTCCCTCTGCCGGATGCAAACACCCATTGCTTTCATGGGAACCATAGTGGCCTGGTTGAAAGAGCACTGGACCATGAATCAGAAGACCTGGATCAAATGGAAAGACAGCAGCTCACAGCTGAGCTGCCATCAGCTGGACCCTAGCCCTCTCCAAACCACTACTTTCCCATCTGTGAAGTGGGTGCTGCACTAACCTCTCAAAAGTGGTCGTGCACAGGACTCCAGCTAAACCTTCGATGTTGTGAAACTGTCACAGGGCCCGCATCAGAGGATATGACTTTGAATAGTGAGGGAGTCTCTCTGCTCATGGGGAAATAGGACTCTCTTCAGCAAAGTTGGAAAAGAGAGGTATGCTCATGGTCCCTTTTTCCATCACCAGTCCGGTGCCTGGGGCTAAAGATGTGGCCTCACAGACAGAGGGCAGCAGGGGAGGACAGAGATCTGGGCCAGCCCCAAGAGACCCCCCAGGCCTCTCTGGCATCTGGCCAGGCTGGCTTCCTAGCAGCCCTCACCATGTTCAGGCCTGGTTTGTGTCTGGCAAGAAGCCCCAGGCTAAGCCAGTCTGTGCCCGCTTGACACTTGATCTCAGGGCTCTTTCCCCTGTCGGCCTCCAAACCTGGATTGTCTGTGTCAGGCCCTTCTGAATTGATCAAACCCAGAGCCCTGGAGCCTGTGGACAGTCTGTAAAATGTGAGGCACGACTGGGTGTTTCTCAAGAGCACTTCCTCCATCAGTAGACGAGGCAGCCCCAGAGGTGGGGAAGGGACAGCCGCTGCTCCCCATAGAGTTTCAGGAACATTTCCAGTGAATGTGTCTGGACAGGGGTTTTGAATCTTGTCGGCAAAAGACCAGAGAAGCAGTCTGCTGTTTGTGCCCACAAGGGAGTGGCCATAGGGACCCGGGTGTAGGTAGGGCCATGGTTCTGTGGCCCAGGTCATACTGTTGTCATTTAAAGCTAATGATAATGATAAATAGCAACAAACAGGCGCAGGGCTCACACCATGCTGAGCACTCTGCTCTCATTCTTGTCCCCACCCATTATGGCTATTATTGCTCTGCCCTCTTTACAGAGGAGGAAACTGAGGCTCAGACAGGCCCGCTGACCTGCCCAAGGGTATATTGTTGGGAAGTGGGAGAGCCAGAACTCAAACCTAGCTCTGGGGACTCTTAAGAAAATGCTCCCTCTTCCCCAGTGGGGAAGCATGTCCCCAGTGGGAGGCAGGGGAGGGAGAAAGATTGAAATCCTTTTCTTGTTTTTTCACTCATGTGGCAATTTCTGTTTCTAGCATGTGTGTCCCCCATCTGCCTTCCCCCGAAGCTTCTCCCTACCCCTTGACCCCCACTCAGGACTTCTATGGGCACAACCTGGGCAAAATCAATCATATGCAAACTTAAAAAAGTAATAGAGACTAATTGTTTTTAGGAAATATAAACAAAAATAATCGCTTTCAAGAACATGTTGCTTCGTGTGCCCTTGGGCAAATGACTTCACCGCTCTGAGACTCTCAGGTTGTCTCTCTGCAAAATGAGGATAATAATGTCTCCTATCTCACAGGGTCACACTGTGGCAGCCCAGTGGCTGACACTTAGTAAATGCTCAATAATAGTGAGTTCTTGCTGTTAGTAGTAACAGTGCGGAGAAGGTGAGTAGATGGAGATACCAGAAGCACCTAGGGGAAACATAGGGCATTTCCATGGTGATAATGTTATGGAATCTTACTTCTGTGAGAACTACCCAAAGTCTGGTGACCCAGGTAGTGGGGGCTGGGGTTCAATATCCCTCTATGGGAGGTGGGCTTGCAGGAGGAGCCAGGCCCCATAAAGGAGGCTGGGGTCAGGCAGGGCCCCACATCAGAGGGAGCCAAGGGGAGGAGCAGGTGTACAGGCAGTGGGGGTATCACAACCAGAGCCCAAGTTGTAACAACTGGGGCTTCTTCCGTCTTTCTCCACCCCGTACTGATGTCCAGACCCTACTCAGGGGCAGCTCAGGGGCAGTCCTGCTTGTCTCCAGGGGCCACAGGCTGATGGGGCTGAAGCTCCCAGAAGGCCATGTAGCTATCCAGGGTTGGCCAGAAGCTGCAGAGGCTGCAGGATGAAGGGAAGCTGGGATGGGGACTCAGGGAGGCCAGAGCCTGCTCCCCGTGGAGGGGTTCAAGGTTGTGCTTTCCCATACTTCAAACTTCCATTACTGTTGCCTTCTTCCAGGGTTGGTCAGAGGCTGTGCCTGTGATGGGCCTAGCCCAGGTGCCCTGTACTTCATGTTGTGCTGAAGTGACTCATGAAATCTGATTGTTATATTTTCAGAAATTTCATGAGCCAGTTGTTAAACACAGCCATTACTAAAAATCAAATTATATAAACTTGCAAGTAAATAAATCATATTAAAAAGCAAAGGTAACCATCAAAACTTATCATTTCCTAAGTATTGTAGTCCATTTTTACTGTTCTGTCTGCTCATGAAGCTATTTCCATCTATGGTATCTGTATAGAAACACTGTACAGTCATGTACCCTGCACACCTCTTCTCAACTCTGCAGTCAGTCACATGTTTTGTTTGTTTGTGTTTGTTTGTTTGTTTTTGACACAGAGTCTTGCTCTGTCACCCAGGCTGGAGTGCAATGGCGTGATCTCGGCCCACTGCATCCTCCATCTCCTGGGTTCAAGTGATTCTCCTGCCCCAGCCTCCCAAGTAGCTGGGATTACAGGCGCTTGCCACCATGCTCAGCTAATTTTTGTATTTTTAGTAGAGACAGGGTTTCACTATGTTGGCCAGGCTGCATCATCTTTTAAAGACATTTTTTTTGTTAGTGATATCATCTTGGTAGCTTGAAATTTGGTCAGAGGGCAGTATTTACACCATGGAAATCAGCAAACGCTGCAAATCAGGCCCACTCCCTTTCTGGATCTGATCGTTAAACACTTAGGAGCACAACACTGCCACACAGAAGCCAGGATGCAGGAGCCAGAATGAAGGGGAGCTGGGATGGGGACTTACGGAGGCCAGAGTCCACCCCCAATGGAAGGGTTCAAGGCTGTGCTTCCCTGGTAGGATTTACTTCGACCCCAGAACGCCAGGGTTTATTTTAGAACATTAGAAGAGTCCTAAATTGATCATGACCCATTGTTTCCCCAGCAGCCGGAAGGCCCCACCCCCCATTGTCCACCACCCATCCCAGCTCCTCAGAGGCTCCTGCAAGACGGGAGTGGGAGGAACCTTGAGGTCAGAGCCTTGGATGGCTGCCTTGTGTGCTGGTGGCTTCTATTGTGAGCACCCGAGGATCTTGGGGCTTCCTCATGCCTGGGCCTCAGAACCCACTGGGGACCAGCCTGTTTATGGTAAATGATGCCTGTTCACTTTGATTCCTGTTTCAGACCTCGGGGCCACTACTGTGTCTCCACAAATTAAAGGCTGCTTGTGTTTGGGGGATTAAGCAATCCTGTGGAGCCCTGGGAACATCGGAGCCTTCCATGAGGGTAATCAACTGGGCCTCCCAGATGCAGCCGTGGGGCACGCCCATGTCCACACCAAGGCCAAACCCCTGGCTGGTGTTACAGGACCCTGGGGACCAGATGACACCACGTCTGCTCTACAAGCACACATGGTTTAGAAAGAAAAAAAAAAACCCACAAACTTCCAACACTGTTGCCTTTTTTTTTTTTTTTTGAGACGGAGTCTCGCTCTGTCGCCCAGGCTGGAGTGGTGGCACGATCTCAGCTCACTGCAAGCTCCGCCTCCCGGGTTCACACCATTCTCCTACCTCAGCCTCCCGAGTAGCTGGGACTACAGGCGCCCGCCACCACGCCCGGCTAATTTTTTGTATTTTTAGTAGAGATGGGGTTTCACCGTGTTAGCCAGGATGGTCTCCATCTCCTGACCTCGTGATCTGCCCACCTCGGCCTCCCACAGTGCTGGGATTACAGGCGTGAGCCACCGCGCCCGGCCCTGCCTTTTTCCTTCTCCAACTTCTGGGTCTTTGAGATGCTATTCCTCCTGCCTGGGAGGTGCCCCGCACCCCCACACCACCAATTATATACATCCCATACTGAGATGCGTATAATCTTCAGTTTTAAAGGCCCAACTCAAATTCCATGAGCCCAGGAGTAAGAATAATGACATTCAATGTGTGCCTCATCTCAGGGTTTACAAAGTACTTTCTTCCCCTGCTTTATTTTCTTGCATATGTCCATTCAACAAATCCACAGTGGCCGGGTGCAGTGGCTCATGCCTGTAATCCCAGCACTTTGGGACGCCAAGGTGGGTGGATCACCTGAGGTCAAGAGTTTGAGACCAGCCTGGCCAACGTGGCAGAACTCCATCTCTACTAAAAATACAAAAATTAGCCAGGCATGGTGGCGCACGCCTGTAATCCCAGCTACTTGGGAGACTGAGGCAGGAGAATTGCTTGAACCCAGGAGGTGGAGGTTGCAGTGAGCCAAGATCACACTATTGCACTCCACTCTGGGTGACAAGAGCAAAACTCTGTCTCAAAAAACAAACAAAAAACCAAATCTATAGCAAGTCCCCAGTCTTCACTGTGTTCTAGGCCCCGGCGTGGTGGAGCTCATCCCCTGGGGAGATGTTCAAGACCCACAGGGCCCAAAGCAGCAGCATTTTCATTTCACAAATCAACAAACGGAGGCTCAGAAAAGTAAAGTAACTTGCTGCCAAGTGGCTCAGCTGGAGTAGGGGGAGTCAGAAACATTTCTGTCTTCCTGACTCCGTCCCTGATCCCAGCTAATTTATCTAGTCCTTTATCCTGTGACAATAAGAAAGATTGAACTGGGAAGAAAAAGATAACTGGTGCAGAGGTGCCAAGCTCTATGGGACTTTGAGGGTGCCAGGTGAGTGTCTAGAAAGGGTCTTCGGGTAGCTTGCTGTGGAAGTGTGATCTAAGTCTCTCCACTAGCTCAAGAGCTCTTTAGCAGAGACCAACATCACTGCTTAAGATTTGGTGGCATCAGCTCAGAGTTTCTTTGCCAGTTTCATTCTAGATACATCCCACCCCTCCCTCCCAGCCTCTGTCACTCTCTTGTGTTACAGAGATTCATGGGAAGGACTTGACATCCTGGTTGCTCCCTGGAGGCGGCAGCCCTGACCTATCATTGCAACCTGTGGAAGCCCAGCCTGAGCTCAGCACATTTAGGAACTCTAAAACATGAATGTAAAAAATAAGTGAGCATCCTCTCCCTCCATACGAAAGCATTCGGGGCTGCCTCTGTCAGATGGAGGGCTCCTGGAGTCTCCTCCTAGGGTCTGCAAGGCCTCAGGGCTGGCCGTGAATTTGCATGGGAAAGAGTGTTTTTGCTATTATGATTCCACTGTAAAGGGAGCACAGAGCTCTGCCTTAGGGGAAACCTCCCCTCTCAGATGGTCACGTCCCTCCCAGGAAGTGCAGGGTGAAGGGCCTTCCAGTTCTGTAACACCCATCAGTGGGCATAGCCCATGCAGAAAGGACTGACCTCTTCCACCACCAGAAGACATAAAGGGAAACTGAGGCCCAGAGAAGGAATGCCACTTAACATGCACTGCCTCTCTCTCTGAGCCAAGCACACCTTTATGCTGTTTAATCTGAACAATGTCCCTCGAAGGTGGGCTTTATCATCACCCTCTGTTTCATAGGTATGCTGACTTGCCCAAGGCCCTCCAGGTAAGAGATGGCAGAGCCAGGGTACATATCTGAGTTGGCCCTCCCAATTCCCACACCATGTCACTTCCCCTGAAATGGGAATGGTAACCCCTATCATTCCTATCCTGCCATGGGCTCACCGGGAAGATTCAACTAAGATGGTATCACAAGCCTTTTAACTCAGCCTGGCACGAGAGATGCTGTGTAAGGAGCCCTTCTTTCAAAGGGAGGCAGCATCAAGGAGTCCTCCTTAGTTTCAAATCAATGTCCAGATCCTTATGACCACTGAGTGCTTTGCTTTTCAAAAGTTTGAGTGAGATGTAACATACATAAAGTCTACAAGTCTTAAGTATGCAGTGCAATGAATTTTCACATATGAATACCTTGCTATATGTACACTTTAGATTAAGAAATAGAACATTTTCTGTACCCCAGAAGGTTCTCTTCTACTTCTTGCAATCAATCCTCTCCCAAAAGCAACCACCGAGAAGCTTTTAAAATATATATAATTATATATATTCATTCCCATTTTTCAGCTTAAAAAACTGAGGCTCTCTGGAACTGAGGACTATGAAGGCACCAGTTGCTGCTGTAACAGGAGGTCCCTGGACTTGTTGCCAGTAGGTGGGGGTTGCACAGGGAGCCACCCAGACTCTTCTGCCTGGGTGAACATGCTCCAGACACCTCCTTTGGGTCAGGGCAGTGACCAATGTGGACAGAACCCAACCCCTGGCCCACAGAGGCTATCCTCTGAGCTCCCTCCTGAGGCCACAGTGGTTTGAGGCAGGGCTACTCTGCCCAGAGAACCTTAGCCACACGCAGCTCCCTGCTCCCTGGCTCTGAAGGGTCTCACCTTCCCTGTTTCCCATCAGCCCTTCAGCATCCATGAAATATTAGGAAAATGGGCTGAGTATTAGGTAATGACTGTCCAATTTATTCTGACAGCAAGAGCCAGAGGGAGGAAATTGACATTGGTGATTTTACTTAGGACCTGACAACTTTAATTAATCTTCACTCCTTTTCCAGGGAGCAGGGGGCCTCTGACAGCTGTGCAGAGCTCAGGCGGAGGCCTCGTGTGTGCTGACTGCTCCTCAGCTGTGTGGACGAGGCAGGCAATGTGGGGAGCCCTGGAGAGCCCAGCGTGGCCCCCATTCAAGCCACAAGCTTGTCTGAGTTTCTCTAGCCATCCAGCTAAGGCCAGCCCGCATGTCCTCCTTTGCTTCCCCAAGGAAGGCAGAGGATGCCAGAAAGCTTCTACCCACTTCTCAGACGGAAACGCTGAGGTTTAAAGAGGCGCCTCCTTTCCACCCAAGCCTATTGTGAATCAGTCCCACAGTGGTCTAGCAACCCAAGCGGCACCACAGCTCAGCGGCAAAGATGGCCACAACCTCTGAGCAGCCCTTGAAACCCAACCAGAAACCCTACCCCAGGGCTTCTGCTGAGAGGGCACCAGGCGTTCCAGAATCTGCCAGGCTGATAGAAAAAAGAGGCCCAGACCCAGAGAGGAAGGGGGTCTCACTGGCCTGCACTGCCACCCCAGCTGCCCCCAGTGGAAGTCCTCACCCCATCAATCAGCCCCTCTTCGCAGGCACAGACATCTCCAGGGGGGACTCTCTGAATGCCAAAAATCCTTCAAGGCTCCAGATAAGGACGGGTGCTGGTGAAAATAGACCATCAGGGACCCCCCATGTGCAGTCACATGCCTCAATGACTTAGCAAACCAGCTCCGGCACTACCTCCAGTGTGTGGCTTTGAGCTGGTAGAAGATTCTGGTAATGGGCCAGGGATGACAACAATAGCATCCACATTACCATAACAACCAACACTGAGTGTTCACCACGTGTTGAGCCCATTACCTAGCATACAAACGTGATCACATTCGGGGTCCTCTGGCACCTCTCTGGAGGGTGCACCATCATTTCCCCTATTCTCAGAAGAAGCAGTCGAGGTTCCGTGAGGGTAAGTGAGTTTGCCAAGATCACTGCTAAATGGCAGAACTGGAATTCAAGGCCAGTTCTATCTGTGTCCTCAGCTGACCATTCCACCACGTGGCCCCAGGGAAGTGCCCTGGCTTGCTCTGACAGCCCCACTAGATACAATCTAGTCTCACGCCTTGGGCCTTGGTTCGTTCATCCCTGCTCTGACAAATAGAATCCTGGGGATCCCAGGGCAGGTGACACAAAGTCAGCCATACTCTCAAGCACCCTGCTGCCTGAACAAGCAGGTAGCCCCTTCTCTAACTCCAGGAGGCTGGCCAGAAGCCGCTACATACCTGTATAATTAGGAAAGTCCTCCAGGGTGTGTGACTCATCCTCCAGCTATGTGGGGTGCACAAAGGGAGGTTGAGGGGCAGAACACTCCTGCCAGGTCCACGCTAATTTCAGGTGCTCTCCAAAGCCTCTTATGATTCCCAGGCTTGGGGCAGATCCAGGGGAAGACAAACTAATTGGATTCATGCTGCACATATCCCCTCCCTGTTGGGCCCCTTCACTGGTCTTATGAGCCTCAGTGTCCCCCCGATGAAATGTGGACATTTGCATCCACCACATAAGGATGTCTTACGGTTCTAATGACAAGGAGGATGCTTCGTCCTGTGCACTCCATATATGCATGATCAGCTCTACCAACAAAACGCAAACTTCCTTCTTTCTTTCCTCCCTTCCCTCCCTCCCTCCCTCCCTCTCCTGCCTGCCTTCCTTCCTTCCTCCCTCCCTCCCTCCCTTTCTCTCTCTTTCTCTCTTTCTCCCTTCTCCCTTTCTTTGCTTTCTTTCCTTTCTTTCTTTCCTTCTTTTTGAGACAGCTATTACTGTGTCACCCAGGCTGCAGTGCAGTAGTGTGATCACAGCTCACTGAAGCCTTGACCTCCTGGCCTTAAGGGATCCTCCCACATCAGCGTCTTGGGTAGCTGGGAGTACAGGTGTACTCCACCATGCCCAGCTAATTTTTTTTTTGCTTTTTTTAGAGATGGGGTCCCACTATGTTGCTCAGGCTGGTCTCAAACTCCTGGGCTCAAGTGATCCTGCTGCCTCAGCCTCCCAAGCACTGGGATTACAGGCATGAGCCACCATGCCTGTAATAAACAATATTTCTATTAATAACGTTAAATAGAGAGGTTTCTCCATGGAAGGAAAATGACACAGGCTTTGGAGGCCAGCAACACTGTTTTGCATTCAAACCATGCACCTCACTGTCTGGGAGTTTCTCAGGCTCTAGCCTCAGTTTCCTCATCTGTAAAATGGGCTTAATAATCTCTCCCTTGCAGGAGTGTTCTGATTCAATGAATTAATAAAATATATGTAACATATATGTAAAAATACATATAAAATATATGTATAAAAATACATATAAAATATATGTATAAAATACGTATAAAATATGTATAAAAATACATATAAAATATATGTAATATTTTTAAACAGAATAATATATTCTGATGAAATAGCATCTGCAAGGTGCCTTGGAACATTGCCTTGGTCAGTAACTAACACTACCTTTTCTCACCTAGTGCTTTATCTTTGACCATTTGTTTCAAAGATGAAGAGACGGAAGTTCAGAAGTTTCAATGGTTTGTCGCAGGTCACACAGCTGGTGAATGGCAGAGCCAGGATTGGAACCCAGGGCTCGGGCTTCCCTGCCTCACGTGAGGAAGATGCTAGAGGACTGGAGGCACCTAGCTGGAGTCCTTCCTCCATGGAAGCAGAAAGAAGCTGAGGCCGTCACTTTTTCCTTAGGGCCTGGGCCTGCAGCCTCTTGGCTGCGACCCCGGGGCCTCTTCCCATTCCACCTCTGCCTCTCCACCTAGGCAGGGCCCTGGCATCCTGTGAAGTGGGCCAGCGTCAGCCCTGGTGCCACGTGAAAGGTCCCACACTACTCGGGGAAACGGCTTCACACTCAGAGACACCCTTCCCACAGAAATATGTCAGAAAGTCAGTTTAATCCTGTCTGCTCTGCATTCCCACAGCTAGTGCCTACCTCCCGCCTCGTGGGCTGCAGTCTGCGCCCTCCCAGTGGCTCGGGAGGCGGAGGGCCATTCCAGGATTTTCCATGGGTTCATTTCTGGCAAAAAGAGGCCTCACCTCCCCACCTCCCCGCCTCCCACGGCTGCCTCTCAGGCACCCATGGCACGGGGGAAGTGACAGGGAGCCTCCACTGTCCTCATCTTTCACATGGGCCTATGGGAGCAGCCAGTCAGAATCCGGGATTGGGAACAGTGAACGTGCCTCGCTCCTGAGTCCCATGCCATCCACACCATATCGTCTCCTTCAACTGCAGCTGCTCCGTAATGGAATCCTGCTGCTTAAGACGCCCTCTACAGCTAATATCGCCAGGTGTTAAGGACTACCAGCACACAACAGAGGCTTTCTTCCCCATACAATCAGAAGAATTGGCAGAGCAAAGCTGCAGAGAGAGTCAGCCACCACCCTGGGCATGCCGTACCGGGAAGATACACGGGAAGTTTTTTCATTCATTAAGACCTCAAGAGCAATGCTCCAAAGTTAAATTGCTCTGGGCAGACACAAGTGAGATCTCAGGGCTTTTACACAAGGTAAATGTCCCAGGGATACCCAGAGAGGGAAAGAAGCAGAAATAATAGCAACAGTTGTCATTTATTGGGCACTTACTCTGCTCAGCTCTTGATAATTCATCACCTTGTTTAATTAGCTCCACAACAATTTGACAGACGAGGAAACTGAAGTTTGGCTTCTTAAGCCCAGGGGATATCACTCCCATAACACACCCTACTTCTGGGGTTCCATTTACAAGGAATTCAATATGGCTGGAGACCCCTGCAGTTGTACAATTGAATGGTAGTGTTAGGATTTATTTATTTATTATTTATGTATTTATTTTATTTTATTTTATTATTTTATATATTTTTAAATTATACTTTAAATTCTGGGATACATGTGCAGAACGTGCATATTTGTTACTTAGGTATACACTTGCCATGGTGGTTTGCTGCACCCATCAATCCATAATCTACATTAGGTATTTCTCCTTACGCTATCCCTCCCCCAGCCCCCCACCCACCGACAGGCCCTGGTGTGTGATGTTCTCCTCCCTGTGTCCATGTGCTCTCATTGTTCAACTCCCACTTATGAGTGAGAATATGCAGTGTTTGGTTTTCTGTTCTTGTGTTAGTTTGCTGAGAATGATGGTTTCCAGCTTCATCCATGTCCCTGCAAAGGACATGAACTCATCCTTTTTTATGGCTGCATAGTATTCCATAGTGTATATGTGCCACATTTTCTTTATCCAGCCTATCATTGATGGGCATTTGTGTTGGTTCCAAGTCTTTGCTATTGTGAACAGTGCTGCAATAAACATACTTGTTCATGTGTCTTTATAGTAGAATGATTTATAATCCTTTGGGTATATACCCATTAATGGGATTTCTGGGTCAAATAGTATTTCTGGTTCTAGATCGTTGAGGAATTGCCACACTCTCTTCCACAATGGTTGAACTAATTTACACTCCCACCAACAATGTAAAAGCATTCCTATTTCTCCACATCCTCTCCAGCATCTGCTGTTTCTTGACTTTTTAATGATTGCTATTCTGATTGGTGTGAGGTGGTATCTCATTGTGGTTTTGATTTGCATTTCTCTAATGACCAGTGATGATGAGCTTTTCTTCATATGTTTCTTAGCTGCATAAATGTCATCTTTTGAGAAGTGTCTGTTCATATCCTTTACCCACTTTTTGATGGGATCTTTTGTTTTTTTCTTGTAAATTTGTTTAAGTTCTTTGTAGAGTCTGGATATTAGCCCTTTGTCAGTTGGATAGATTGCAAAAATTTTCTCCCATTCTGTAGGTTGCCTGTTCACTCTGATGATAGTTTCTTTTGCCGTGCAGAAGCTCTTTAGTTTAATTAGATCCCATTTATCAATTCTGGCTTTTGTTGCCATTGCTTTCAGTGTTTTATCATGAAGTCTTTGCCCATGCCTATGTTCTGAAGGATATTGCCTAGGTTTTCTTCTAGGGTTTTTATGGTTTTAGGTCTTACATTTAAGTCTGTAATCCATTTCAAGTTAATTTTAGTATAGAGTGTAAGGAAGGGGTCCAGTTTCAGTTTTCTGCATATGGCTACCTCTTTTCCCACCACCATATATTAAATAGGGAAACCTTTCCCCACTGCTTGTTTTTGTCAGGTTTGTCAAAGATCAGATGATTGTAGATATGTGGTATTATTTCTGAGGCCTCTATTCTGTTCCATTGGTCTATGTATCTGTTTTGGTACCAGTACCATGCTGGTTTGGTTACTATAGCTTTGTAGCATAGTTTGAAGTCAGGTAGCATGATGCCTCCAGCTTTGTTCGTTTTGTTTAGGAATGTCTTGGCTATACGGGCTCTTTTTTGGTTCCACGTTAAATTTAAAGTAGTTTTTTCTAATTCTGTGAAGAAAGTCAGTGGTAGCTTGATGGGGATAGCACTGAATCTATAAATTACTTTGGGCAGTATTACCATTTTCACAATATTGATTCTTCCTATCCATGAGCATGGAATGTTTTTCCATTTGCTTGTGTCCTCTCTTATTTCCTTGAGCAGTGGTTTGTAGTTCTCCTTGAAGAGGTCCTTCACGTACCTTGTAAGTTGGATTCCTAGGTATTTTATTCTCTTTGTAGCAATTGTGAATGGGAGTTGACTCATGATTTGGCTCTCTGTTTGTCTATTATTGGTGGATAGGAATGATTGTGATTTTTGCACATTGATTTTGTATCCTGAGACTTTGCTGAAGCTGTTTATCAGCTTAAGGAGATTTTGGGCTGAGACAATGGGGTTTTCTAAATATACAGTCATGTCATCTGCAAACAGAGACAATTTGACTTCCTCTCTTCCTATTTGAATACCCTTTATTTCTTTCTCTTGCCTGATTGCCAGAACTTCCAATACTGTGTTGAATGGGAGTGATGAGAAAGAGCATCCTTGTCTTGTGCTGGTTTTCAAAGGGAATGCTTCCAGCTTTTGCCCATTCAGTATGATATTGGCTGTGGGTTTGTCATAAATAGCTCTATTATTTTGAGATATGTTCCATCAATACCTAGTTTATTGAGAGTTTTTAGCATGAAGTGGTGTTGAATTTTATTGAAGGCCTTTTCTGCATCTATTGAGATAATCATGTGGTTTTTGTCATTGGTTCTGTTTGGATTACGTTTATTGATTTGCTTATGTTGAACCAGCCTTGCATCTGAGGGATGAAGCTGACTTGATCATGGTAGATAAGCTTTTTGATGTGCTGCTGGATTCGGTTTACCAGTATTTTATTGAGGAATTTTTGCATCGATGTTCATCAGGGATATTGGCTGAAATATTCTTTTTTTGTTGTGCCTCTGCCAGGTTTTGGTATCAGGATGATCCTGGCCTCATAAAATGAGTTAGGGAGGAGTCCCTCATTTTCTATTGTTTGGAATAAATTCAGAAGGAATGGTACCAGCTCCTCTTTGTACCTCTGGTAGAATTTGGCTGTGAATCCATCTGGTTATGAGCTTTTTTTGGTTGGTAGGCTATTAATTACTGCCTCCATTTCAGAACTTGTTATTGGTCTATTCAGGGATTCTACTTCTTTATGGTTTAGTCTTGGGAGGGTGTATGTGTCCAGGAATTTATCCATTTCTTCTAGATTTTCTAGTTTATTTGTGTAGAGGTGTTTATAGTATTCTCTGATGGTGGTAGTTTGTATTTCTATGGGATCAATGGTGATATCCCCTTTATCATTTTTTATTGCATCTATTCGATTCTTCTCTCTTTTCTTCTTTATTAGTCTGGCTAGTGGTCTATCTATTCTGTTGATCTTTTCAAAAAACCAGCTACTGGATTCATCGATTTTTTGAAGGGTTTTTTGTGTCTCTATCTCCTTCAGTTCTGCTCTGATCTGAGTTATTTCTAGTCTTCTGCTAGCTTTTGAATTTGTTTGTTCTTGCTTCTCTAGTTCTTTTAATTGAGATGTTAGGGTGTCAATTTTAGATCTTTCCTGCTTTCTCCTGTGGGCATTTAGTACTATAAATTTCCCTCTAAGCACTGCTTTAGCTGTGTCCCAGGGATTCTGGTATGTTGTGTCTTTGTTCTCATTGGATTCAAAGAACATTTTTATTTCTGCCTTAATTTCGTTATGTACCCAGTAGTCATTCAGAAGCAGGTTGTTCAGTTTCCATGTAGTTGTGTGGTTTTGAGTGAGTTTCTTAATCCTGAGTTCTAATTTGATTGCACGGGGTCTGATAGACTATTATTTCCATTCTTTTCCATTAGCTGAGGAGTGTTTTACTTCCAATTATGTGGTCAATTTTGGAATAAGTGTGATGAGAAGAATGTATATTCTGTTGATTTGGGGTGAAGAGTTCTGTAGATGTCTAATAGGTCCACTTGGTCCAGAGCTGAGTTCACGTCCTGAATATCCTTTTTAATTTTCTGTCTCATTGATCTGTCTAATATGGACAGTGGGGTGTTAAAGTCTCTCACTATTATTGTGTGGGGGTTTAATTCTCTTTGTAGGTCTCTAAGAACTTGCTTTATGAATCTGGGTGCTCCTGTATTGGGTGCATATATATTTAGGGTAGTTAGCTCTTCTTGTTGCATTGATCCCTTTACCATTATGTAATGCCCTTTTTTGTCTTTTTTGATTTTTGTTGGTTTAAAGTCTGTTTTATGAGAGACTAGGATTGCAACCCCTGCTTTTTTTTTGCTTTCCATTTGCTTGGTAAATATTCCTCCATCCTTTTATTTTGAGCCTATGTGTGTCTTTGCACATGAGATGGGTCTCCTGAATACAGCACACTGATTGGTCTTGACTCTTTATCCAATTTGCCAGTCTGTCTTTTAATTGGGGCATTTATCCTGTTTACATTTAAGGTGAATATTGTTATGTGTGAATTTGATCCTGCCATTATGATGCTAGCTGGTTATTTTGCTCATTAGTTGATACAGTTTCTTTATAGTGTCAATGGTCTTTACAATTTGGTATGTTTTTGCAGTGGTTGGTACCGGTTGTTCCTTTCCATGTATAGTGCTTCCTACAGGAGCTCTAGTAAGGCAGGCCTGGTGGTGACAAAATCTCTCAGTATTTGCTTGTCTGTAAACGATTTTATTTCTTCTTCACTTATGAAGCTTAGTTTGGCAGGATATGAAATTCTGGGTTGAAAAATCTTTAAGAATATTGAATATTGGCCCCCACTCTCCTCTGGCTTGTAGGGTTTCTGCAGAGAGATCCGCTCTTAGTCTGATGGGCTTCCCTTTGTGGGTAACCCGACCTTTCTCTCTGGCTGCCCTTAACATTTTTTCCTTCATTTCAACCTCAGTGAATCTGATGATTATGTGTCTTGGGGTTGCTCTTCTCAAGGAGTATCTTTGTGGCATTCTCTGTATTTCCTGAATTTGAATATTGTCCTGTCTTGCTAGGTGGGGAAGTTCTCCTGGATAATATTCTGAAGAGTGTTTTCCAATTTGGTTCCATTCTCCCCGTCACTTTCAGGTACACCAGTCAAACATAGGTTTGGTCTTTTCACATAGTCCCAATTTCTTGGAGGCTTTGTTTATTCCTTTTCACTCTTTTTTCTCTAATCTTGTCTGCATGCTTTATTTCATTAAGTTGATCTTCAGTCTCTGATATCCTTTGTTCCACTTGATCGATTCAGCTATTGATACTTGTGTATGCTTCACAAAGTTCTCGTGCTGTGTTTTTCAGCTCCATCGCGTCATTTATGTTGTTCTCTAAACTGGTTATTCTAGTTAGCAATTCATCTAACCTTTTTTCAAGGTTCTTAGCTTCCTTGCATTGGGTTAGAACATGCTCCTTTAGCTCCGATTAGTTTGTTATTACCCACCTTCTGAAGCCTACTTCTGTCAATTTGTCAAACTCATTCTCTGTCCAGTTTTGTTCCCTTGCTGTCGAGGAGTCGTGATCTTTGGAGAAGAGGCATTCTGGTTTTTGGAGTTTTCAGCCTTTTTGTGCTGGTTTTTCCTCATCTTCATGGATTTATCTACCTTTGGTCTTTGATGCTGGTGACCTTTGGATGGAGTTTCTGAGTGGATGTCCTTTTTGTTGATATTGATGCTATTCCTTTCTGTTTGTTAGTTTTCCTTCTAACAGTCAGGCCCCTCTGCTGCAGGTCTGCTGGAATTTGCTGGAGGTCCACTCCATACCCTGTTTGCCTGATTATCACTAGTGGAGGCTGCAAAACAGCAGAGATTGCTGCCTGTTCCTTCCTCTGGAAGCTTCGTCCCAGAGGGGCACCCACCAGATGCCAGCTGGAGCTCTCCTGTATGAGGTGCCTGTTGACCTCTGCTGGGAGATGTCTCCCAGTCAGGAGGTATGGGGGTCAGTGACCCACTTAGGAGGCAGTCTGTCCCTTAGCAGAGCTTGAGCACTGTGCTAGGAGATCTGCTGCTCTCTTCAGAGTCAGCAGGCAGGAATGTTTAAGTCTGTTGAATCTCTGTCTTATTTTATTTTTGAGACAGAGTCTCACTCTGTCACCCAGGCTGGAGTGCAGTGTTGCAATCTCAGCTTACTGCAGCCTCTGCTGCCCAGATTCAAGCGATTCTCATGCCTCAGCCTCCCAGGTAGCTGGGATTACAGGTGCACACCACCATGCCCAGCCAATTTTTGTATTTTTAGTAGAAATGGGGTTTCACCACACTCGTCAGGCAGGTCTCGAACTCCTGGCCTCAAGTGATCTGCTTGCCTCGGCCTCCCAAAGTGCTAGGATTACAGGTGTGAGCCACTGCACCAGGCCATAGTGTTAGGATTTAAACCCAGATGCCCAGCTCAGACCCAGAAACTACCAACCACCCTTCCCTGCTATCAGGCAATTGGTCCACTGTGAAGTGGAAACCACTTCTTGCTGTGGGCTAGTAGCTATTTTCAAATCCTTATTATGTGGTTCCCACTTCTCCTACCCACACCCAGAGCAGGGAACATTAGCAATGGCAGGAAGGAAACCATCTCCATTCAGGAGGTGGGGAGAGCCTGCCAGATTCTGATGGCTGCTGGACATTAGCAACTTGGCCACAGTCACTTTTCCTGAAATGTTCGATTGTTTTCAGAAATGGCAAGGTCTTGGCAGCTGAGCACACAGAGGAGGTGGGGTCAGGTGTCTTGCAATTCCAGGGCCAGAATCCCCTCACAGACTCCTTCTCCAGTAGGGGCAGAGGTGGACTGTCTGGGGAGAAGCCCTTAGCTAAGGAGCTGCAGTGTGTCATGAAACCTTCTAGCAATGGGGAGTGATTAGCATCTTCCTTTTGAAGAGAGCTGTGCTCAGAGAGGTCTTGTTTGTTGCTTAAAAATCACAATAATTAAATGGGAGAGTTGGGACTTGTGCTAGAGTTCATTCGACTAAATCTGATGGTCTTTCCAAGTATGCACAGGACCTTTCAAGGGGCAGGTGATGAAACTGGGGCCTCCTGCTACCATGGCAGTTCTCAAGGTCATCCCTTGTACAGGAAAACACCCCTGGATAATGCGGCACCCCGTGAGATGTGGAATCTTCCAAGAGAGAGCTGGTACATCAATAGCACTATTTGTAATAATATTAAAATAACAGTATTTGTACCCATCATTTATTGAGTGCACACCATGTACTAGGCACTATTCTAAGCACTTTACACTTATGAACTAACGTACTCCTCAAACAGCCTTATGAGCAAGGTGCTATTATTATCCCCATGTTAGAGATGAAGCAATGGAGGTTTGGAGAGTTTAAGCAACTTGCCCAAGGTCACACAGGTGGAATTTAGGGAAGAAGTAGGCAATCTGTGTATTTATTTTCTCAAGCACTTTGATGAGGGCTTTCTCTGGATTCTGTTCCCTCAGCCGTTTATTCACTCATGCATTCATTTCCCCAACATTCATAGGAGGTTACTATGTGCCATGCCCTGTGTGTAACACCAGGGCTCAACAAGGGACCAAGAGGTAACCCAGCCCTTGAGGGCAGTTCTGGTGCTGGTGGCAGACTCTGAGTTGTCCCCTCTTCTCCATTCCTCCCTTTTCCTGTAGGGATATTGTTGTAACCAGAAACAAGACTACATTGTTCCCAGCCTCCTTTCAACTAAACCTGACCACATGACAAAGTTCTGGCCAACAGGACACAAGCAAAGGTGAAAAGTTCCCTTCTGAGTCTTCCCTTTCAAAGGGCTGGGCCTGTGTGTCCTCACTGTCTGCCCTCCTTCCACCACTGTGTCTGGGAGGTGACTAGAATCAGAAGAGCCACCATGGGGCCACTACTGGGAGTCACGTGTTGAGGATGGCAAAGCTGTCTCACCAGCCCTGGACTGTTAACATGAGAGAGTAATGAAGTTCCAGGTTGTTTAAGCCACTGTATCTAGGGTTCTCTTTATTACAGCAACTAGACTGTACTCTCAGTATGCCACCACTGAAAGGAGCCAACAAGAACCCTGGCTCACAAAATATGTAAGAAAGAAGAGGCCGGGTGCTTTGGCTTACACCTGTAATCCCAGCACTTTCAGAGGCCGAGGCAGGTTGATAGCTTGAGGTCAGGAATTTGAGACC
The DNA here is from genome assembly GCF_000001405.40 of Homo sapiens. Lineage (NCBI taxonomy): Eukaryota > Metazoa > Chordata > Mammalia > Primates > Hominidae > Homo > Homo sapiens. Next base: position 44,435,818 of record NC_000011.10, on the reverse strand, counting down.
AGCCTGGCCAACATGATAAAACCCCATCTCTACCAAAAAATACAAAAATTAGCCAGGCATGGTGGTGCACACTTGTAGTCCCAGCTAGTGTAGAGGCTGAGGCTGGAGAATTGGTTAAACCCAGGAGGAGGAGGTTGCAATGAGCTGAGATCACGCCACTGCACTCCAGCCGGGGTAACAGAGTGAGACCATCTCAAAATCAAAAAGAAGACAGGTGTATACAAATTCAGGTTTACAGTCTTGACCTCCAGATTTCCCCAGCAGAAGTGGGAAGGGGAGTACATTGGCAGTCAACACAAAGAAGAAGATACTGGCTGGGCACGGTGGCTCACACCTGTAATCCCAGCACTTTGGGAGGCTGAGGTGGGTGGATCATGAGGTCAGGAGATCGAGAGCATCCTGGCCAACATGGTGAAACCCTGTCTCTACTAAAAATACAAAAAATTAGCTGGGCATGGTGGTGCATGCCTGTAGTCCCAGCTACTCCGGAGGCTGAGGCAGGGGAATCAGTTGAACCCAGGAGGCGGAGATTGCAGTGAGCTGAGATCGCGCCACTGCACTCCAGCCTGGAGACAGAGCAAGACTCCATCTCAAAAAAATAAAAATGAAAAAAAGAAGACCCTGAAAGAACAGATATACATACACATTGAGCGCTTGTTCTGTGCTGGGCACTGCACAAAACATCATACACATCGCTTCCCATTTAATCTCAGCAGCCCCATGAATGGGCACCATGATTATCCCACCTGACAGATGACCAGGAGCTGGTCCTCAACTTGGCTTCACCCCTTATCCCCAGGAGATGTCGTGGATCTGGCTGCTGGCCAGCAGTACAAATAGCCACCTGCCTTTGGAACACCTGTTTACTTAGGCAGGATCCATCTGCTCTTTCATAAAGAACTCTGTAGGGTCGTTCACAACCAATGACTTGAACAAGAGAAACCAACCTCCGTGCTTATTGACTCATTGATTCATTCGCCAATTATTCCCAAGTGCATACTTTATTTCCACTACTGTATAAGGCATTGAGAATTTAATGGTGACAGCAAACAGATGTGGTCCTTGCCTTCTGAAACTCACAGTCTAATGGAAGAGACAGAAGTTAATGAAGTAAGCACACACACAAATGTAGAAAGACTCTTGTGATAACTGCTTCAAAAAACAGAAATTTAATGTCGAGGGGAGAATAAAGGAAACATTTGGCTTAGTCCCAGAAGTCTTTCCTGGGGAAGCAAAGACCTAGCTGAGAACTGAAGAAAGGATGGGTGTCAATTAGTCTCTAAAAAGAAGGAGTGATGGAGCCCAACAGCTCGGCATATGCACAAACAGTGAGACTGGGTTGGGGAGTAGTGGAAGGTATACCAGAATGGAGAGACCTGGATGGGTAGAGGGAGGTGAGTGTGTTCAGGAAGCAGCTGGAGAGCTGGGAGAGGCCAGGCCATGCAGGGATTCCCAAGCCATACAACAATTGCAGGTCTTATCATTAGGACAACAAGGAGTCGCTGAGGGGTTTAAACACAGTGGGTGGTATGATCCAATTTGTGTTTCCAGAATAACCTTCTGGCATCCAGGCAGTGAATGAATCTAGGATACAAGACTACATAAAGGGAGGCCCTTGGAGAAAGGGAATTGTCAGTAACTGCTGCCTTCCTGAGCAAACTCATCCATAGGGCTTCAGACATCATTCAGAGCTCAAGAACATCTGAGAAGTCAGGGAAAGTAGACAGTGGGGAGCAAGATTAGAACCTAGGTCTCCTGTATCCAGTCCAGGGCTTTCTCCTCTCTTCTGGGTGAATAACGATCCATTCAAAATGACCCTCGCAACAGAGCAGAATTTTGTCACTAGCCCCACTTTACCTGTGGCTAATCCCCACACTCTGTGGCCAAGAAGGTACTCAAGCAGGAGATGGAGAAAATGCAAAGAGGTGACAGGATTTGGTAGAATGTTATGATCCCTTTGCTGGGCTGAAACCAAGTTGAATTTTTCCCCTTGTTTTCCAAATTAATTCAACATTCCAAATAAATCCGGGGAGATTTAATTGAGGGCCCTTTCATGTGGATTGAAACTCATAAATTGCAATTTGCTGAGTTGCAGGAAGGCAGAGAATTGCATCCCATCTTCTCCCACTTGGCACCACCCTGAAGGGTCTGGAAGGAGAGAAAACTCTTGGGAAGGCTCCCAAGTGAGTTTTGGGCTTCATGTATCAAACTCAGTAAAGACTAGAGGGAGGATCAACAGAATTTGAAAGCAGGGAAAATGGCCAGAGGTAGCCACAGCTGATGTCATGGGGAGAAAGCAAAACCCCAAGATGACAGAATTGAGGTGCAAAGGAGTCTTCAGGCTCAAGGAGCTAAGAATAGGGGGAAGACCACCCCCAATATGCTTCATTGATGAGCTCTCTGAGAATGGAGCTTGGAAAAGAGGAATATTCTTGGAAAACATAGGGGAAAAAAAGACTTTGTATATGGATCTGAGGAGTTTTTCTCTGTGGAGGTGGACCCATTGTTGCCAAGAAGGTGTGAACAGAGTGTTCAAATAACCATTTGAAGATATTGATCCCTATAGCTTCAGTACTGCTATAGTTATAACTTGCCTTTACTAGACACATCTGTGCAAGTTGGCTTGGGGGTGATATATGGCACAGATCCTACATTAATGTATCACTTCTTCAGGAGACACTTCGGGAATAACCGAGAGTTTCATTGTTCTATTTCTGAATCTAGAATAATATGGAAGAATCTTCATTAGGAGACAGGAGGGGTTTGTACAACTTTGGGGTTGCTAGTGGGCTGAACACACCATTTGGAGAATGGATGAGAAAGTCGTTCCTGGTGTGATGGGTATAAACAGTCCCACTGAGTGCATGGGGCAGAAGGATGCTAGACAAGAACTTACACACCTCTAAGTCACTCCTTAGTTCTCCTGATTTCTTCCCATACCCAGGTGTTGTGGACTGAATTATGTTCTCCCAAAATTCTTATGTTGAAACCTTCATCTCCAATGTGACTGCATTTGGAAATAGTGTCTTCAGAGAGGTCATTAGGATTAAATGAGGCCATAAGGGTGAATTCCTACTACAATAGAACAAGTGTCCTTACAAGAAAAGGATGGGTGCATACGTGCAGAGAAAAAGCCACATGAGGACACAGAGAGAACGTAGCCATCTGCAAGCTTGGGAGAAAGGTCTCAAAGGAAACCAACCCTGCTGATACCTTGATCTTGGACTGCCAGCCTCCAGAAGTGTGGGAAAATAAATGCCTTGTAGTTTAAGCCACCCAGTCTATAGTGTTTTGTTATGACAACTCAAACAGACTAATATACAGAGGATGGCTCTTCAAGTGTGAACCTCTCTGTCCTATTCCTACAGAGAGTAACAGCCTTTGCTCATCCTCAAATACTTAGAATGACTTCAGGCTTTCCACAGTATTTCTCTCTCCACTGTTGGGTCAAGCAAGCTGTCAAGGAAGATCAAAATCCCTAAGTCAGTTCAGTGAATTGAAAATGGTGTTTCTGAACAGAGGTAGTATCCCAGATGTTCATAATGAGTCTGTATGAGAAATTGTCTTGGGGAGATTTTTTTTCTTGTGGCTTTAAACAAATCATTGTTTAAAATTTTGCAGTAAGTATTGATAGATGTTTACACTATTATATGAAAGTCTGAGGATTAATAGGATATTTCCATAGTCTCAAAGTATCTCCCCATAATTACTTACCAATTACAAAAGGAATAACAGTAACTTTACAATGGAGAAATCTGGCAGATATCCCCTTACTCAAGAGAATAAAATTAACATCCTCAATGATGGGATACACAGACATTGGGTGCCTCCTGATATGGTGTATAGAGGATACCACAGCAGTTTGCTGATACTACTGTCAAACATAAATAACCCAAAACAGTGCAAGAAGAAACATCAGGCAAACCTAAATTGAGGGACATTCTACAAATAAGTGGCCAACTCCAGAAAAAAAGCAAAGGCTAAGAAACTGTTCCAGATTAGAAGAAGCCAAAGAGACGTTACAACTAAATGTAATGAGTGAGTCTTGACAGGGAAGGATGTCTGCAACTTACTCTTGAACGGTTTGGAAAACTAATAACCATACATGTATAGAGAGACCGAGAGAGCGAATCAGCAAATGTCAACAAGGCATGAATCTGTGTAGAGGGCAGATGGGAGTTCTTTGTTCTATTCTTACAACTATTCTATAACTTTGAAATTATTTCAAAATGAAAGGTTTTAGAAAAGCCCTGCCCTTCACAGTATTCCTTACACAATGATCCATGAACAACTTGAATTTTCTTGGGAAGTACTCAATGTCAACATGCCTCCTTTCAACAGATAATGACAAATGTGTAACTCTTTGCTTACCAATTTTGCTTTGACTTTTAGGAAGCCATTCTATGATACAAAGATGTATCATCAACCGGGACAAGTCACTTCACCACTCTAAATGTCAGTTTTCATCATTTGGTAAGGGGGTAAAATAAATGTCCCTCCTGCTGAAAGTGATTATAGAATATAAAGTGCTCAGCACAGTAGATGATGTATAGTAAGAACCCCATTTTATTTTTTATTTTTATTTCTTTCTGGGACAGGGTCTCACTCTCACTGCCCAGGCTGGAGTGCAGTGGCATGATCTTGGCTCACTGCAACCTCAGCCTCCTGGGCTCAAGTGATCCTCCCACCTTAGCCTTCCTAGTAGCTGGGACTACAGGCACGCGCCACCATGCCCCACTAATTTTTTTGTATTTTTAGTAGAGATGAGGTTCTGCCATATTGCCCAGCTGGCCTCCAACTCTTGAGCTCAAGCAATCCACCTGCCTCAGCCTCCCAAAGTGCTGGGATTACAGGTGTGAGCCACCGTGCCTGCCAGCACCCCGTTTTAGTTGTCTTCTTTTCTTCTTCTTCTTATTATTATTGCTGTTGTTATTCTATTACCTATTACCCATTCAACCCTCTTCACTAAAATGACCTTGGGACAGACTCACCTGAAATCAGGAAAACTTAGAAACTTGCAGGGGAGGAAATTTTTTTCATATGTAAATTATCAACACATCAAACATTGTGAATTTTCCCCATAGGACATTCCAAGTGCCTTCAAAACACAGTCCCAGGTACTATGCGAATAGTAGGAACAGCAAAGTCTTTAGAGCCAGAAAGAGGTTCAAATTCCAGCCCTGCCAACTCACTCACTTTGTAGCCATTTAATTCAGGAAGCTCTGGGTTATGTCACAATAGCAAACCTCCCCAAGACTTAGGGACTGAAAAAAGGTCCAACTCCTGCTTATGCTACATGTTCATTGCAAGCTGGTTGGGAAAGCTCTGCTCCAGGATACCCTCCTTCCAGAATCAAGGCTGATGGAGTCTCCACCCTCAGAAATGCCTGGGCAGTAGAAGGGGATGAGGTGTTCACATGTTATTGACCAAAGCAGTACCTGGTCATAGTTCATCCCCGACGAAGTACAATCACACCCTGTGCTATGAAATTAAAACAAAAATGTTTGGTGAACCACACTAATGACTAACACAATCCCCTTGCACAAGTCTTTATCCCCTCTGAGAATCAGTTTCCTCTCTGTAGAAGGAGGAAGAATAATACTTTACATTTCAACACAGCTGTAATGATTTAATGAGATAAACTGGAAGAAGCACCAAGTAATCTGGGTCAGAAACGTAATAACTACTCACTATAGTAAATTACGCTGTTTGTCCTCAACCTTTGGGTATCTCAAAGAAGCAACACCGGCCTCCTAGACAGATAGACAGGTACGTAGAAGACTTATCTATCACAGATAGCCAGTAATTACTTTTTAGGAAAAGTCAAAAAGACTATGATAAGAAACAGAGATAATTTGTCTCAGGGATAGGGAGTAAAGACTCTTCAAGTTTTTGGGTTTTGTTTTTGTTTTTGTTTTTGTTTTTGTTTTTCCATAGGTCCCATTGGGTTTCTGGACATATCTGGTATATCATGGTCTCCAGACAGGGTTGCAGGGCTGCAAAATGTTCACTTATTCAGTACCTAATGTGTGCCAAACTCTATGCAAAGCACTGCATGGATCAGACCCCCTGAGAGATATGGGGTTTTGGGAAAGGAAGTTAGACATTTAAATAAACTCCAGCAAAACAGCTGACCAAGGAATGGCAGCTGCTGCACTAAGTGGGAGCTGAAGTAGGAAGCTTGCACCAGTCTCTGGGGTAGGCCTTGAACACCTGGTTGGGAGGTGGGGATAACAGGGTTACGAACCCATTGCCTGCAGTGCCAGATCTGGCATCCCCTCGCCACTGGCCAGGTATCATACAGCCAAAGGTCTCAGCATCAGCTGCAATGGCCTTGACCTTCAGTTGAAGCCAGCCGGAGGCCAGGTTCTGGATGTGCTTGCAAGGACACCGGGGAAGTACCATCTTGGGGTCCAAATTTAGCTTGGGGTCCACACCCCTCCAAGCTAACATCACCAGCCATACACAGCACATCCCTGTAGGGTGGAGGATGACTTTAATTTTTCTCAATTTTCTCAATTGTCCAATTTTTCTCCAGTTAATATGGCATGACTATTAATAACATTTTGAAGTTTTTTTTAAAACACCTCTGTATGTCATGGATTCTTTTATATCAGTGTTTCACAGACTTCCAGCATCTCTATACCACATTTGGAACTTCTATTGAGAATTATTATTTAATTAGTATTTGCTTTAAGATTTCATCACCTGCGAACCCTCTGATTTTTTAAAAACTCAAATACCTCTTTAGTTTCATGTTATGCAATAAGATCTATAAAAGACAGGTTCATTGTGTTCATTATATTTTTTATACTACACATTAAAGCAAGTATATAAGGATTAAAATTTCAAAAATCAACCCCCCCAACGATATGAGTACCAAGCCACTGTTGTGGCCGTGTATGAGAAACAGGCTGCTCTGGGAGAAGCAGTGAGAGCTCTATAAAAATCAGTTTTGCGGGCCGGGTGCGGTGGCTCCCGCCTGTAATCCCAGCACTTTGGGAGGTCGAGGTGGGCGGATCACCTGAGGTAGGGAGTTCGAGAACAGTCTGACCAACATGGAGAAACCCCGTCTCTACTAAAAATACAAAATTAGCTGGGTGTGGTGGCGCATGCCTGTAATCCCAGCTACTTGGGAGGCTGAGGCAGGAGAATCGCTTGAACTTGGGAGGCAGAGGTTGCGGTGAGCTGAGATCATGCCATTGCACTCCAGCCTGGACAAAAGAACAAAACTCCATCTCAAAAAAAAAAAAAAAAGACATCAGTTTTGCAACCTTGGGAAGATTGTAGAATCTCTCTGGGATTTGGCTTCCTCATCCACAAAGTGATTAAACAGAGTCCACACCTTTTAAGGTTGTGTGACAATACACATAAAGTACCCATCACACAGCCTAGTTCCTGTTGTATGTCTCTCGCTTATTCATTCCATAAATAGCAGTTGAGCCATGTGCTCATTGCTATGGAGGATTTACAAATGAATAAGACATAATCAACACCATTCCAGTAGTTTGCAACCCAGTGTTTCTGTACAAACCTACTAAAACACAGGGCAGGAAAGTTTTACATGTCTCATGAGCAGTCCAGGCAAAATGCAATGAGAGTTTGAAGGAGGGAAAAGCAACTCCCAGCTGGGAGATCAGGGGTGGCTTCCTGGAGGAGGCACCATTTCAGCTGAACAGTGAAAGACGGGCAGGGTCTGAATATGCAGAGCTTTGGCGAGACAGGGCATTCCAAGAAGAAAAAAAAAGGTTGAGCAAAAGCACAGAGGTAGAGAAAGGCAGAGCGCCCTCGTCCTCTGGACCTCCCTCCCAACTGTAAACAGAAGCCTTTCTTCTCTGCCATCGCCATATTGGGGAAGGGCTTCCACTAGGTTTCCTAGTCTGTGCCATCGACATTCTTGATCTGTAAACTACCAGTGGGTCCATTCCTGCTTCCCATTGTCACTCTATGCCCATTGACCTGTCATTTTTCTCTTTCCATCATTCTTGACCCCCTGGGGGTCTTGAGTGCAGCAATCAGACATGGGAGGTGACAGGGAAATTTAGGCTGGAAAAAAGGAGGGTTGGAGGAAACGTGGTCCCCGTATTTCCATACCTGTCTTGGGGAGCAGAGATTAGACTCTTGTGTGAGGCCGTTGGAGGGCAGAAAGAGGAAGAGTGAGGTGGGATTAGGGAGAGGCAGAGCTGCCTCACGGTGCTCTATGCTGCCCCCTAGGGAAGGGTCCTCTCCAGGGCAAGGTGAGGAGAGCATTTGGGCTCCACGTTTTTGAAGAACTTCGCGCACTGGAAAGGCATTGGGACAGTTGAATACTGGGAGTCTTTTTACCTCAAAGATTCTTTTTGGTATGAAGAAAAAAAAAGTCGCTAAAAAAGCAACAGAAAATCTACCGCTGCTACCTGGTTTCCCATTAGTCCTTGGCTAAATTAGCTCGGAAGTCTTTTCTTGAAACTTCCTTGGCTGCTTTTAGCAAATCAAGGCCAGAAAGCCCTCCAAGACCGCTTTCTCCAAGCTCCTGAAGGTCCAGGGTACAGTTTTGTTATGTCTGTCCACAGGCCCCAGCGTGGAGTCAGACACCTGGTGGACACTAAATCCACATCCGAAAGCCGAACCGTAGTCTACGGGCAAGCAGGACCCAGCCAGGGGCAGTGACCTGCCACCCTCAAACCGACAGAGGGCTCAGCCCGAGGACGGAGCCCAGGCTCCAGCCCCTGACCACAGCCCTTTCCCCAGCCTTGTGTTCTGCTGTCTTCCCGGCAACAACCCATCCACAGATTTCACATGTGTGAAATCTGCAAAGAATAAATGTGAAGCTCAGAAAGCGAACAAGGCCTTATTGGAGACAGACTCTCTTTCTAGGTTCAAGCGAAAGCTGCCCAAAGCCAGGCTGGACAGACAGAGGGGGCAGCCATCGTGTCTCCAGTAGGAAACTTATACGGATCCCAAGCATCAGATGAGAGGCAGAAGAAAGACGCCTCAAACAAAGAACACATATCCGATGCCACACACACGTGTTCTGAGGAGACGAAATTCTTGGTATTTCATTAGACAGGCTGGGAGCCGAGAAGGGAACTTTCAGTCACTGCATCTTCTGGGGGTCACAATGTCTCTCTTTTCTTTTTTGATCTAAAAAAGAAAAAAAAAGTAAGGAAGGAAAAAAGGAGGGGTGAGGAGAAGGGGAAGAAAAGAGGAGTAAGCCCCCTCACTATAATTGAATTACTGAGCTGCCCTCTGGGGCTGAGTCTGGAATCCAAGAGGCCTTTGTGTAATAGCGAGAGGAACTGGGACAGAGGCAGAGATTTCAAAAGGGAAGAGGAAGAGCCAGGGCAGTCAGGAAGTGAATAGGGATGGAATGGGTTGAGGAAGGGAAGGGGGAGCTGCAGAGATTGAAAGCTGGAGACCCGTCTTGCTCCAGGCCCTGCCCTGACCGAGGGTGGCTGCCCTCTCCCTAGAGTCCCAGGTGGACAGGGGTGCGAGGCAGGCTGCACAAACAGAAAGGTCTCAGCAGGGGTGAAGCGGGCAAGGATGGAAGGAATTCACATGGCTCCCCAGCACCTACCATGTTCCGGGCTTCGAGCTAGGATCTGGGATCATAATGGAGGGATCATTTACCCATGCGGTGTTGGTGGTGACAAACAGCATGTGCTGAGTGCTCGCTGGCACCAGCTGGGCTCTTTCAGGTGCATTGTCTCAGTGGATCCTCAGAACAACACACTGAGACAGGTACCACGATATCACCCACTTTACAAATGAGGACATCCAGGATGTTAGGTGATTTGTCTAAAGTCACAGTGAGTGAGTGGCAGAGCCGGGACTCACATGTAGATTACACCATTCATGGCCAGGATCTTCACCACCATTCTCATTCTCTGCCTTTTTTAAAGACAGTATTCCTGTATCGCCCAGGCTGGAGTGCAGTGGAGCAATCATAGCTTACTGCAGCCTCAAACTCCTGGGCTGTAGGCATCCTCCTGCCCCAGCCTCCTAAAGTGCTAGGATTACAGGCGTGAACCACCATCCCAGGCCTTAACCACCACTCTCTTCATCAACTTATTTCACTTTTATAACAGTCTTGCCAAGTAGGGATGATTCCCAGGTGGGGAAATTGAGGCAAAGACAGATTCAATAATTTGCCAATGTTCTCACAGAGTGTAACAAGCTGAGCTGGGATTTGAACCTGTGTGTCTGGCTCTAGAGCCCAAGAACCCTCCATCTCACCTGCTGGGGTGGGGTGGAGTATATACCCCATAGCCCATGTCCTGACCACATGAGTGTCCCCATCTAGCTCCTGCTGAGCCAGACAGCAAGCAGTTCAAAGAAAGTGGGCCAAAGCCACCTGTTGGCAGGAGAAGAAGGGGTTAAATGGGGCCCTGGGGTGCACCCTAGGGTGTCATTGCTGACTTGAATGCCCTTAAATTCTCACCCACCCACCAAGCCCCACCCACCAAGCCCCACCCACCAAGCCAGCACCTTGGTGCCCAGGTGGGGTTGAGGTCTGTATTTTTCTTTAACTTTTTAATATAATTTACCATTTTTATCATGTTTAGTGTATGGTTCAATGGTAATAAATACATTTTTATATTTTTCCCTTCATGTCCTCTACCCCCAAGGCCTGTATTGTTGGAACAAAAAGGTAGAAATGTATCTTATAAAGAAGAACTCTTGTCACTATTATGTTGAAAATAACAACTTTTAAGCTTTCCTACGTCACGCTAACAGAACCGGATGGCCTGGGGCAGGGTTTCTCAACCTCCGCTCTATTCACATTTTGGGCTGGATGTTGCTTTGTTGTGGGTGCCTTCTTGTGAATTCCAGGATGTTTAGTCACCTCTCTTGCCCTCTACCTACTAGATGCCAGTAGTACCATTCCCTTCTCTTCCATACCAGGTATGAAAATCAAAAATGTCTCCAGCCATGGCCAAGTGTGCCCAGGATAGGTAAGGAAAGGGCAGATTGTCCTGGCTTGAGAATCACTGGCCTGGAGGATGAAACCCAAACTCTGGCTACTGCTCGCTCTCCTGCCTCCTCTCCCGGCAACCCACTCAACATGCCCTAAGTTCCAACCAAACCAAATGCTTTCTATGCCCAAACACACCTTGCTCCGGGGTGCCTCGGGGCTTTTGCACATGCTGTATACATGTCGGGAATGCCCTTTCAACTCCTATGCATCTGTAAAGACCCAACTCTGATTTGCCTGCCCCTGTGAAGCCCTCCCAGCCTTCACTTTATCCGCACTCCAAACCCCATACTGGGTTGTGATCCCTTCCACTATCATCCTATAACGCTTAGAACATTCCCCCAGTGCAGTACTTTTCCAACTTTGTCTCTCCATGTCAGTCTTGATCCCTTGGCTCCAGCTCCCTGAGGGCAGGGAGTAAAGAATACCACATACCTGATATGTAGTAGGTGCCCAACAAATGTTTGTTGAATGAATACATGTATTATGTTCCTTTCAAACAACCTTACCTAGTAACAAAAGCAGACACCTACCTGGTGAACAAGGCAGACTCTACGCTTGCCATTATAGAGTTCAGAGCCTAATGCAAGCAGTCATTATACAATTGATGAACTGACTGATTAACTCACAACACAGTCGATGAACTGACTGATTGCAGGTATTTCTGATGAAGGCTATGACAATATCTTAGAAGACATGGTGGCTGTGTCTAACAGAGGGGCCCTAAAGTACTTGAGGGTGGTCAGACATGCCCTCCCCAAGAAAGTTACATTTAAGAAGAAGACTAAAAGGTGAGTAGATATTGACCAGATGGAGAGAAGGAAGGGTGTCCCAGACTGATGGAACTGAACACGCAAAGGCCATGAGGTAAGAACGAGAACGAGCAAGACCGAGTGATGAACCGGAAGCCTGGCGTGGCAGAAGCATGGTGAGTGAGGCGGGGGGAGGGGGTGACCTTGCTGGTAAAGCATTTGGACATGATTCTAGTGCAGACAGGGGAGCCACGAAGGGTTGCTGCACATTCTGTTTCTGTTTCCCCAGCTGCTGGATGTGCTGTTAGTGGGTTCTCCCAGTAGCCCTATCCCCATTTCCCCAGGCAGCGACTCCCCTGAACTTTCCCCACTCCACTCCCACACACAGAGCTGATCCTCTAAGAATGGCCTGCTTTGGGAAAAGGGAGGATTTGTAAAGGCATGAGGGCACTGAGCAGGTGAGAAAGCAGGGGTGGGTGTTCAGTCAGTACAGGGCTTGCTTCTTGCTTAAACTTTGCCTGAAGTGACCATGATGGCGCTCATCACTCAGGGTCTGGAAGGTGGACAGAGGATGCCATGCCTGTGGGGAGCAGGGGATTCAGAGCCCAGTGGCCCAAGCAAATAGGAGGGGAAGGACGGGCCTGAGAGACAGGCCGGGCCACCGTCTTCACTCAGAGACAGGGAAACAATCAATATGACCAGCATGGACCTGACTCCATGTCAGGTGCTGAGACTTTCCCTGTGTTGTGTCATGAATGAAAAGATTTATAGTCCCCATTGTGTGGATGAGGAAACAGAGATCGGAGAAGGTCAGTGTTTTGCCCACCGTCACACAGTTGAAAGTGGCAGGCATGGGAAATGAACTCGGGCTAGTGAGAGTTCACAGCCTGCCTGTGCCTCCTGAGGTGAAACTGAGGCTCAGAGAAGGAGAGGGACACACCCGAGGTTCCAAAGACATGCCCAGCCAAAAATTGCAGTGGTTGACGTTTACTGAATATCCACTACGTAATCACAACACCTCAGTGAAATACACATCCTACTGACGTGCCCCTTTTTCAGATAAGAAAACTGAGATTAGAAAGCTAGGAAGCAGAGCCTGGCACAATGGTTCACACCTGTAATCCCAACACTTTAGGAAGCTAAGGCAGGAAGATCACTTGAGCCCAGGAATTCAAGACCAGCTTGGGCAACATAGCAAGACCCAGTTTCTACAAACAAAAAACTAAAATTTAGCCAAGTGTGGTGCTGTGTGCCTATAGCCCCAGCTACTTAGGAGACTGAGGCAGGGGGATCCCTTGAGTCCAGGAGGTCAAGGCTACAGTGAGCCTCAATCACACTACTGCACTCCAGCCTGGGCAACAGAGCAAGACCTTGTCTCACAAAAGACATGAAAAGAAAAAAGAAAGAGAGAAAGCTAGGGACCAGGCACAGTGGCTCACACCTGTAATCCTAGCACTTTGGGAGGCCAAGGTGGGTGAATCGCTTGAGCCCAGGAGTTTGAGACCAGCCTGGGCAACATGGTGAAACACTGTCTCTACAAAAACGACAAAAAAATTAGCTGGGTGTGGTGACACACACCTGTGGTCCCATATACTCAGGATGCTGAGGCAGGAGAATCACCTGAGTCCGAGGAGGCCAAGGCTGCAGTAAGCCAAGATCATGCTACCACACTCCAGCATGGGCAAGTGTCTCAAAAAAGAAAAGAGGGAGGGGAGAGAGAAAGCTAGGAAACAGCAGAGCCAGGATTTGAACCCGGACAGCCTGACTCCAAACCTATGATCTTCACCATTACATACTAAACCCCCCTCAGGGAGAGCTGGGACTAAACCCTCCTCCTCCCTTTTTGACATCCAAGATCAATTCACAAAGACAGCAAAGCCTGTCCTCCCATGATAAGAGTGGAGACTTAGAGACAACCTAGAGAGGCAAGACACTTCCTGAAATTCATACTACAGCATCAGTGACTACTCTGGGATCCTTTTCTCAGAGGATGTTTCTCAGGGTGTTATGGGCAGGGGGAGGAGGGAAGCATGGCTGTGCCTGCAGAGGAATTTGTGGAACAAACAAAACTAAATTGGTTGGAAGCAGGTCTCGGCCATCTGGAAGGCAGGTCCACGGGTGGCAGCAATACAGGTGCCCTCCTGGGACTCCCAGTGGCACTTTTGGAAGATGGTGTCCCATCTCATCCATCCTTCCATTCAGCTCCTACTACATCTGGGCACTGGGAATACAGCAGTGAGCAGAACACTAATATTCTAGTGGGAAAAAACAGATTAAAAGTAAACACTTGGGGAAGAAGTTCTAGAGAATGCAATAAACCAGGGACTGGGTTGGAGCTGACAGGTCCCCTTAGCCAGTGAGTGGCAGTCCATTTAGGCTTGTGGTGCCTCTCTGATGTCTCAGGCTCTGTGCCAATCATGGGGACACACAGACAAGCTCTACTTGTCCCTGCCTTCACAGAGCTCCCAGTTGCTCACGGTCCAGCGAGGAGACAAATGTGTGTCTATTACAAGCCCAGCTCAGCTCCCTGTAGAAACAAACAAAATGGCCTCGTATGTGTCATTAAAGCTCCCAGCCGGTGGCTATTTTAAGTCCCCGTAATCACTTGAAGTGACTAACACTAATTAAAGTTTTACGAGAAATGAGAAAATTCCTCCGCAGCCCCTCCACAGTGGCTCCAAACCACCTCAGAGTCACTTTATTAACTCCCCCAGTCTGGAAGCAAGCATGTCTGGCATGATGGGGATTTATTTTTCCATTGGGTTGCAGCCCCATGCTGGCTGCTCTCTAATAGCCAGGCTGCTGGCTTTGCTGTCACAGATGAGCCCCTCCCTGGGAGCCAGCTGCTAAGGCCATTCCCCAAGCTGGAAGGGCTGTGGCCTTTTCAGCTCTGAGGGATGAGGGCCACCTGGCTCTCTAGGTAGGCGCACCTCGCCAGATGTGCCTTGTCATGTACACACACTGGATCATCCAAGTGATGCCACTAGCTCCCCCCTGCACACCCATCCATATCTCTGCCTCCTTTCCTTCCCCAGTCCCTTACACATTGTGTCTCATGCACAAGCTCACTGATCACCCCTAAAGATGGATTTGAGCACCCACTGTGTTCTTTACAAAATGCTGAGGATACAGCAGAATCAGGCCCAGGACAGCCTTGGGGCTTTAGACCCAATCATCATGTTACAAGGTAAAACAACTTCAGTGGTAAAGAAATGCATGAGCAATGCATACATTTAGTTGACACCCGGCATGGGTAGTTTGTAAAGTACTTTCACTTCTCATCTCCTACTTCATCACCAGAAAAGCTCTCTAAGGGAGAGGAGGGAGTAATTTAGTTCAATGAAGAAATCACAGAAGGCTCTGGGGAGGAGGTGGTTTGAGCTGAGGATACAAGATGTGGAAGTGTTTCACTGGCAGATGGTGATGGTTGACATTTATTAAGCATTTATCATGAGCCAGGCATAGTGCTAAGCACTGTAATGCATCCTCTCATTTCCTTCTTATAATGATCCTAGGAACAATATGAGATCCCTCTCCCCATTTTAGAAAAGGGAAAACTGAGGCAGGGAGAGTTTAAGTAGCTTGCCTGAAGTCACACCGCTGAAAGCAGGGAACGGGGAGTACAGCACTCTTAACTTGGACACTGTACTGCCTCCACTGGAGTAAGGGGAAGGGCTTACAAGGACAAATCCTTTGAGTTTCTTCCCACCCAGCTTTGCGTTCAATGATGTCATGTCAGTAGATTGAAATTGGCCCACACCACAGAAATTGACGTATGCTACAACTCAGGGATTCTTTAGTCTTTATTTTTTCTGGATTGTCAGTTTACCAGCACACAACTTACAGAGGAAATAGAGTTGAGAGAAGGCCTGGGGGCCTGAGAACCCATGGTCATAAACTGGAACACTGAGTTCTGGGAAGAATGCAGTTGAAGGTGAAACTGAAAAGACACCAAGGGACAAGGCAAAGAAGCTTGGGCTTTTTCCCAAAGGCACTGGAGAGCCATAGACGGTTGTTGAGCAGGGGAGGGATACGATCAGATTTGTGCTTCACAAGGGCTACTCTGAGGATGGATAGAGGTGGAGAGCTGTTGAGAGAAAAGTCTGAATAGAAGACATATCTAAAGATCAGCTTCTACCTTTTGTAAGGCATTGTGGCTTCTATAAGAAGTCCAACTCCTCTCCCTGAGAGAAAAGGTTGTCAACTCATGAGAAAAGCCCATGGCATCACATCAGATCCAGAAGGTTCTTAGGCATCTATCTCCCCATGGCCATTGGAAGCAGGTTCCTGCCTTTCCAATTCTAGTTGTTCCTGGAAAGACTGAGTCTCAGGTGGAGCATCCCAAGCCCCTCCTCAGAGCATCACCATCACAATGGCTGCCAACCCTTTCTTCATGCTTTCCCCTCTATCCATGCAGCCTGAGAGATCACAGAAACCAGGGTCTGGCAGGGTAGAGCCCACCCCTCATCCATCCTCATAACCCCTAGCACATAGTAATAACTCTAAGGATGGACGGATAGATGGATGGATGGATGGATGGATGGATGGATGGATGGACAGACAAATGGATGGATGGATGCAAGAAGGAAGAAAGAAATGAGCAAGAGGATTGGCTTCCTGTCCCTGTGAAGCCCCTAGGAAGGGCAGGAGAGAGGAGAAGGAAAGGCAAGTGGTCATGCAGGAGGCTGAGACGCTTGACAGAGCCAAGTTGATTGATGTCCAGGGGACTAGTGGAGAAAAACATTAGAGAAGAGAGACTCTGATGAACGCAGCCTTCCAGGGGACCACAAGGAGCAGGTTTATAAGCCTGTGTCTCATTGTGTCAGCTCATAATCCCACTTGGTTTCTTCTCTGTCTTGAGGTTGGCATAACCTGTAGAGAGGAATGTCCTTGTCATACTGTGGAGACATGTGGCCTTTTCTGGCAGGCAAGTGGGTTGGCCCCAGGATGTGCTTAGCATGGCCTGGTTAACTACTGCGTTGACCTTTCCAGTGTCTCCCTGTCAGAGCCATCTACCCTCACTCATGCGCTCCTTCCTCAACGCACACAAAGAGCAAAAAGATGAGGTCTTCCTGGGCTCTTCAACTAGGACAGTAAACCCTCCTGACATCCCAGAACTTCGTAAATTCCTCAATAACTTCTCTGGGACTCAGTTTCTCAGCTGTGAAATTGACAGGATCATAGATTCCCCCTCCTCTCCCTTAGAGAGCTGTTCTGATGATGAAGTAGATGAAACGTGAAAGCACTCTACAAACTACCCACGCCTGGTGTTAATATAATTGCTGTGAGTCCCTCTCCTCCTGGCCTCTGAAGTCTTTTGTTGGGTGAAGAAAAGGACTGAGAGGGAAGGAGGGAGACATAAAGGCGATCGGGGAACATCCAACCACCAGCCACAGAAATCACCACCCTCTTCCCCGCGGAGCCCAGCATAAAAACATTCTAGCCCTCTCCACATAGCAACAAGGGCAATGACTCAATAACAGAAATTAACACAGGCTTGCCTTGCTCTCAGGCTCAGGCAGTTTCCCTAAACCACTTGGTAACAGCTGTGGTGATCAACAGCCTTTGACCTTGAGGCTTCCTTGTTCACCACCTCCCGGATCGGAAATCCAATAGAAGTCACAGTCCCCATTGACGGAGCACTTTCTATGTGCCAGCCACCATGCTTTACAAATCTATCTCATATAAACGCTCCTTCTTTCCTTGACTTTGAAGACCTGACTTTTTTTCTTGCTGATTCTTGGCTTAAATAGCTCCTTCTCAGAGATGCCCTGACCACTCTCTTTCCAGCCACAGTGCCTCTTGCTTTTCTTCAAATGCGCCAAGCACGCTTCTGCCTTGGGGTTTCTCGCCCCGGAATGCTTGCCTGTCCCAGAGACCCATAGGGCTGCAATCAGCTGCTATTTTACCAAAGGCCTCCCCAGGCCTCCTGTATAATACAGCAGCCTTGTTCTTGAAAGCCTTATCTTGTGTTATTTTCTTCATTGCACTTCTCACTACCTGACATTTTTTATACATTTATTTGTTCATATTAGTTCATATGTCTCTTGCTCCAAGCTCCAAGGATGCATGGACTTTGTCCCCTTTTTCATTTTGTTCACAGTATTTGTATGCCTGTACTTAGCCTGTGCCTGGCTCATCCCAAGCTTAGTAAATATGCACTGAATGAGTCAATGAATGAATGAGCAGACTCAGGAACAAGCGACCAGACAAGACCAGGCTGGTGGATGATGCAGGAAAATGCTAAGAGTAGGGGCTGTGCCACTGTGCAGAGCCAGAGGGCAGGGCTACAGAAGCAGGTGGGACCCAGAGAAAGAGGATGCTGCAAAATTGCAGCCCGTAAGTCAGAATCTGCCCTATCCTTCTAGGTCTTCCTCCTCCCATGCTTGGCAGTTACCTGATGATATGGTTTGTATCTGTGTCCCCGCCCAAATCTCATGTCAAATTGTTATCCCCAGTGTTGGAGGTGGGGCCTGGTGGGAGCTGATTGGATCAGGGGTGGTCTCTCATGAATAGTTTTGCACCATCCCCTCTTGGTACTGTCCTTGTGATAGTGAATTTTCATGAGATCTCATTGTTTAAAACATGTGGCACCTCTCCCCACTCTCTCGGTACTGCTCCTACCATGTAAGACACCTGCTTCCGCTTGGCCTCCCACTATGAGTAAAAGCTCCCTGAGGCCTCTCCAGAAGCAAATGCTGCCATGCTTCCTGCACAGCCTACAGAACCATGAGCCAATGCAACCTCTTTTCTTATAAATTACCCAGTCTCAGGTATTTCTTTATATATTTCTATATATATATATATGCAAGAACAGACTAATACACCTGATGAGCAGCTCCTTCTTGAGAAGGTTTGGGGGGAACTTAAAAAGCCAGAGATGTAGGAAAACCACTGGGACATCCAATTATGAGGAATGTCCAGGCTTCAGGGCTCCCCACCCAGGCCTAGACATTTGTCATCATTCTCTTAGTCCCAGCCAATCTCTAGAACTACAAGAGAAGGTCTCCCAGCAGGAGAAGGAAATGCCAGCCAATCAGGGGTTTGCAAACCAGGCTCAGTATCAAGGAATTCAACCAGAGAGCTGTAGTTCCTTATTCACATGGTTATGATCAACCCAGAGCACCAAAATGCTGAATGGCATGCCAGCTGGACTACTGACATGCATGAGTGCTGTCTTAGTCAGCACTCTTCAGCTCTTCAAAGATGCAGGTGCTCCCCTGACAAATCTATTTCACAAGGCATTGGTCAAGACTATATCTTCTGGACCTTCCCAGCTGGGATGAGTAGGTCAAAAGTGACTAATCCACTCCACCATCCCCATCTCCCCAAGCCTTTGGATCCCCTCCTCTACATTAAGCTAAGGGAGATCAGGCATTTCCAGCTCACTCACAGTGGGCCATCTTTTAATCCATAGTTCAGTTAATCAAGCAAATAGACAATTAGAACCTTTTTGAACTTCCCAAGCTGCAACATTAAATGCAGAGTCCCTACCTAGTGGGCCTGAATCAATAAATTCAGCCTGATCCAACTCTATGTTCCTTCCACCATTATCCCATACCCTTAATATCCACTACCATGCCTGTTCTCCAGATTGCTGTTTATATAAATTAGAGAACTCAGACAGTTCTTTTTGAGTGTAGTGCACCTCCTCATGGGTCACATTCTCAACCTCAACTCTAGGGGCCTGCCAGGACTTTAGTCTAGTTACAGGTCTAGAAGCAAACAGAGGTGTTGGGGGTGGCTTCTGAGGAGAATCAACATTTTCTTGCCTGGCAACTGCCTCAGGGGAGGCCATCACTGTTGCCTCGGGCAGTGCAGGGTTTATCTCCTCAGATAAAAGTAAAAAGGCTGATGGCAGCATGGGTCGGGGAGGGGATGTTGTCACTACTGGGGATGGGGAAGCTGTTCCTTCTGGCAAAAAATATTCATCAGAGTTTACAAACTCAGTGTCCCCAGCTTCATCAGGCTCCTCCCACATGTCCCCATTCCAAGTTGCAGGGCCCCATTCTTTTCCAATCAATGCCCTCACTTTAACGGTAGGCACCTGGTGAGGCTGTGCATGCATCTTCCCTTGCAGCTCAGCCACTGCAGGATAAGAGCTTGTGTCTGTTTTTTGTTTTTTGTTTTTTTTTTACAATTTCAGCTCTTTCTCTACAGGAGATAAGACTCTCACTCAGGGCAGTCTTGGCAGATTTGAGGCTCAGTGTCTGCTTTTGAAGCCAGGAGACAGAATCCCTGGGCTCATCATTTTCTTTCATCACTTTGTCCACTGAACCTAGGAGCAACTAACCAGCTTCATTATGTTCCTTGGTTCTCCACATGTGGTCAAAGGTATTATGTATAGAGTCACTAAACGCCTTGCCTCTCATAAGCAGTGAATCAGGAGTGTCAAATGCATTTATTTTGCATAACTCTCTAAACAGTTCACTCTAAGGACAAGGAGTGTTCTCCACAGTGTTAGAAGTAGAGTCCTTAGCATTTGGGTCTGATCATATTAAGCAGCTAATTCCAGAAACCCCAAAACCAACAAAAGAACTCCATCCTTAATATTCTGTTCCTCTAGAACCACTCCTGGTACCAAAATCTGTATTTGTCAGGGTTCTCTTAGGGGGACAGAACTAATAGGACATATATAAACTCCCATATATATATAATATGTTTGCATATATATAGACCCAATCATCATGTTACAAGGTAAAACAACTTCAGTGGTAAAGAAATGCATGAGCAATGCATATATATGCTTGCATATATAAATGAGAGTTTATTAAGTATTAACTTACATTATAGGGAGTTTATTAAGTATTAACTTAGACTATATGTATATATGTGCGTGTATATATACATTTATACATATAAAGGAGAGTTTATTAAGTATTATTAAATATTAACTTACATGATCTTAAGGTCCCACAATAGGCTGTCTGCAAGTTGAGGAGCAAGGAGAGCCAGTTTGAGTCCCCAAACTGAAGAACTTGGAGTCTGATGTTCAAGGGCAGGAAGCATCCAGCATGGGAGAAACATGTAGGCTAGGAGGCTAGGCCATCTCTCCTTTTCATGTTTTTCTGCCTGCTTTTTATTTGCTGGAAACTGATTAAATTGTGCCCATCAGATTAAAGGTGAGTCTGCCTTCCCCAGCCCACTGACTCAAATGTTAATCTCTTTTGACAACACCCACACAGACACACCCAGGATTAATACTATGTGTCCTTCAATCCAATCAAATTGACCCTCAGTATTAATCATCACAAATGCCTTGAAGTTCATCAAAACCACCCTTTTACCCTTAGCCAAAACTCCACCAAGAAGCATCTGAGGAATGATCCTGTGGCACACATACCCAAAGTGACCCCTGCCCACCACCCATGAGCCATGTCCTTTTAGAATTCCTTCCCCTTGAGTGAAGGACACACCTGTGACGTGACTTTCTTCAACCAATAGGATGTTGCAAAGGAAAGGCGATGTCACTTCAATGATTATGTTTCATTATAAAAGACTCCATCTTAGCAGATTCGAGAAGGAGACTCCCTTGCAGGCTTTAAAGAAATAAAGTGTCATGTTGTTGTGGTGGGGATGCATATGGCAAAGAACTGGGTTGGCCTCTAGAAGCTGATAGCAGCTAACTGCTGACAGCCAGCAAGAAAATGGAGACATCAGTCCTACGGCCATAAGAAGATAAATTCTGCTGATAACCTCAGTGAGTTTGGAATGAGTCTTTCCTCAGCCAAGCTTCTGATGAGACTACAGCTCCAGCAACTTCTGGATTGAAGCCCAAGCAGAGGATTTAGCTAGACTGTGCCCAGACTATTGAGCCACAGAAACTGGGAGATAGTTTTGTGTGTGTTGGTTTGAGCCACTACGTTTGTGCTAACTTGTTCTGCAGCAATAGAAAACCAATGCAATCCTAC
The DNA here is from genome assembly GCF_000001405.40 of Homo sapiens. Lineage (NCBI taxonomy): Eukaryota > Metazoa > Chordata > Mammalia > Primates > Hominidae > Homo > Homo sapiens. Next base: position 44,414,201 of record NC_000011.10, on the reverse strand, counting down.
TTTAAAAGATCTCTAAGAAAGGTAACCCCACCCAGTATCTTTTCATCCCCATACCTTCATAATATTCCACTCTGTACACAATTCTGCCAGTATGCATTTCTACCATGAAGCAAGATACCACTGGATTTTTACCTATAACTATCTGTGAAAATAAAAAATTCAGGTTTTACATTGAAGCAACTAGTTTAAGAAAATAGGGATTGATTGAAATTACCCAAGTACAAAGCCTGAAAAATATACATATACAGTTATTCTGGATCTGTAGGGGATTGGTTCCAGATCCCTGCAGATGCCAAAATCCAGAGATGTTCATGCCCTTTATATAAAATGGCATAGTATTTCTATCTACCTTAGGCACATCCTCCTGTATATTTTAAATCATCTCTAGATTACTTTTAATACCTAATACAATGTAAATGCTATGTAAATAGTTGTTACACTGTGTTTTTTATTGGTATTATTTTTATTATATTTTTCTTGCCTTTTTTCCCAAATATTTTCCATCCACTGTTAGTTGAATCTGCAGATGCAGAACCTGTGGATACAGAGGGCCAACAGTATGCATGTCCCGCTATGTATAACTTATATACACACACAAAATTCACATAAGCATTTTAAGTGTTAGGGAAAAAAGATAGTTCTTGAAATAATGAAGACTTGAAGAAAGGTTTCTACGTTACTGTTGCATATACATTTCTCTTAAACCTCTCTGTGCCTTACTTTATTCATTGCCAAAATGGCATCTTTCATTGCTAAAGTGGTCTGGGAGGGCTATGGTAAGAATTAAATAAGATAATAAATGTAAACTGGCACTTAGTGACATTCTTTAAGCGTTGGCTTTATTATTATCTTTTGTAACATGGACTGGGCTGGACTCTGAAACTGTCCTGGTCACCGAGATTGGGGTAACTGATATCCCTTTCTGCCCCAAGAAGACATACACTGGGGCCCTCATCTAGCCTATGGCAATCTGTCTGTGGTTCCTAGGCTTGGATTTGGTTAACTGTAGATTCAAGCCTCTGGCCAAGTCCCTTTTCCAGGCATCAGAAGTGCGGGGAAGGGTTCAACATACCCATTTCTGTCCCATGACCCACTGGGAGCAAGAAGATACCTGTCCTTAGGATGCTGAAAGCTATCAATGAGCCTGGAAACAATCAGAAAACTTTGATTGTAAATAATTAAAATCCAATTTGAATTTATTTAAGCAAAATTCAGGAAGTCCAAAGCACTTCTCAGTAATGAGGAATCAGGAATTCAAATATGTTCATTCTCCCCCTGCCCCATCTGTCTCTCTTCATCCTTTGTTCTGCTCTACTTTGCATTGGCCTCCTTTTCTCCTACTGAAGACCAGCTCCCTCCACTCAGCAGGAGAAAGGAAAGGGCCACAGCCACAAAGAATCCCAAGCTTATATTAGCTCAGCCCTTTGACTTGAGAAGACCTAGTGCGTCTCTTTTGAGCATCCTTGTGTAAAATCCCAGAGAGAACTCTGATAGGCCCTGTTTCCACCATATGATTACTCTTTGGACCAACCCTTGTAGACATGATTGGCTGTGTCTTTATGAGGCAAACACCCTTTGTTATCTACCAAGTATCCATTTCTGCTCTTCTTTACCCATTTCCTATTTTGAAGGCTGAAAAAATCGGAAACTCAACTTTCCCAGCTTTGCTTATAGTTGAGGGTAGCCAGACGGCTCCATTCTGCCAGTGAGTTGTAAGGGGAAGCATGCTGGTATACTCTGGGAAAGTCTCTCTCTGGTAAGAGCCAGGTTAGCAAGAAGAAAAGATGCTTCCATCCCTGCTTTTGAACATATTCATGATGCAAAAGCCACTGCAGCCCTCTTGCCACCATAAGCCAACAAACCTAAAGACAAAACTCCAACACAGTAATACCAGTAGAATAATAAAAATCTGAGTCTTTGATGATATTATTCAGCTGTTTCACCAAATTTCAGAGATCTCTGCTTCCAGATTTTGTTCTTATGGGAGACAATTACATGTCTTTATTGTTTAAGTTAGCTGTGCATTCTGTTACTTGGAAGTGAAAGCATTCTAACAGAGACACAACATCATATGTGAGCCACGGTACAAGGACAGGGGAAGGCTCTGGGATGGATATCTCTGCCAGAAGCACATGGAATAAAGAAGGTGATGTCCTTCAGGGGAACGGGAAAACATGTCACCAGTGAAAGGGAAAATAAAGAGATTATAGGCCAACAAATCAATAGCTGTCCCACTCCTGACACCAGGTCTCAACCTCCAAGGCAACACCTGCCTGTTTCACCTTCTCTTTCCCAAAGAAGCTTCTTGGGGTGCAGGTGACCTACAGTAGAAGAGGGTACCTGGAAAGAAGGGCACAGCTGCATTCTCAGAATATAGTATAGAAAGAAGACAGCATCCCTCCAGATGACCCCTTGTCCCTTACCTCCAACCCATAGGGATAACTGTGACCACAGCTGGGGCCTTCCCTGTTGGAAGCACCTGCAGTATCCACCATGATCACCTGAACAACAACAACTGGAAAAGTGGGAGGCCTGGGATTCAAGTCTTTGCTGTTTCCTAGCTGTGATCCTGGGCAAGTCAGGAGGGCTCAATTTTTCCATCTACAAAATGGGGCTACCCCCATTAAGTGACAGGTTAGGTAGTAGTAAATAAGTAGGTTAAATAATAGGACCTACCTCATAGGGTCATTTTGAGGATTAAATCAAATATTTATAAAGTACTAGATAGGGCTGGCCACTAATCAATGTTCCATAAAGGACAGCTGCTCTTATTATCCATTTCCAAAAGTTTGTCTGGTTCTGACCATCAATGATCTTGAAATTTTAAGTGGAGATCTGAGTGAGCTCCATGGCCATCTTGGGGCTCCCCTTTATAAAGGAGCAGAAGGGCTCTCTCTACCATCTTGAACTGGGGGCCCAACTTATGCAGTTGGGTGATGCTTTGGTCCATGATGTATTTTTCCAGCTGTGAGAGCCACTCTGTTTAATAGCTCCCATCCAGCCATCCAGCCTTCCTCTATGACTGAACTTGAGAGAGTGTGTGTTTGCTTAACACCCACAATATTCCAGCTCCCATAAAACACAGAAAGAGCAAGAAGACTTCCCTGGGAGATCTTGCTCATTCCTGAAACTGAGCTGGACAATGATAATTTTGGTTTTACCAAAAGAACTATACGTTTCTCTCTCTCCATCCAACCAACACCTTTGGAGCCCTCACATTTATGGATGGACTTCCAGGCCCCGCTCCAGGGCAGCTGGGCTTAGCTTCTTGGCTACTCTCTTTGGTCAGTCAGAGCTGCAGTTACAGAAGAACACAGCCCAATCCCAGAGAGAAGCTCCCTGGGCAGCCTCCACTCCCTTCCTCTTTGTCTCCATCCCTCTGGCTCTTCCTCCTTTCCTCTCTTATTCTGCTTCTGCCTGTCCCTCATCTCTCTCTCTCTTTTTCTCTAAGTTGATTGATCACTGTCTCTCAGTGTCTCAGTCTCTCTTTGCCTGCCTTTCTCTGGCTACTTTTGTCTCTTGGCCTGATTTTCTGTTGTTTCATTTCTCTTTCTCTCTCTCTCTGGCTCTGTTTACCTTTCTCCCTCCTTGCCTACCTCACTACCTCTCTGTATGGCTACCTATATCCATCCTTTTCTTTCTGTCTCTCCAGTGCTCTCTCATTTGTCTCTGTCTCCCTCCTTTGCTCTCTCCCAAGCCTGGGTCCACAGCATCTGGCTTGCACATGAGCTCTGTCTTCCTTTGGGAGGCTGCACTCCACTGCCTTTGCAGGCACACTCTTCCCCAATAGCCACATTCAACTGATGATGAGTAAGGACTATAACTCACACTCAAGCCGCTGCGCTATCATCCTCTGTTCTCACCTGCAGTGGAGAGGCACCTCCTGAAAAACTCCCTTCCACGTATTTTCCCTGAAGCCCAAGGGCTGTGCTGCCAGACAATGACGCTAAGTCCATCTACCAGGTCCTCCCTGCCATAATCAGAGAAAACCTACATCAAGGCTCATGTGCCTTGCACCAAAAACTAGATACAGTAAGTTCAACCTTTCCATTTTACAGATGAGGAAACAGAATGCAGAGAGGTGGCCCATCATGACCCAGGTCACACAGCGGAGTGGTGTCAGCCGTGTGACTTGGAGAAGTGACAGTGTAGTAGAACCTCTATTTCCTCATCTGTAAAAAGGGAATCGCTATTGGGAAGATGAAGTGAAACATGCCCTTGCCCAGCACAGACCGTGGTGCAGAGAAAGCACTTGGTAAGTATGAGCTATTATTATCACTGTGATTATGATTTTACACATGTTAGCCATAGTGGAGCAAAAAAGATTCTGGTCCTTTCCAAGGCAGGCTTTTTGCAGACCAGAGCCCCCTTCTTCACCTGACCTGGCAGAGAAGTTTCCAGTGAGTCATCACCACCCTCTGCCTTCAACTCACACCCCAGACACCTCAGATCTCCCCCACCCCGCCTTCCTGTGTCTGTCGCCTCTCACGGACCAAAGGCCAGTTCAAAGGGTTTCCCCAACCTTCCCACTGTAGACACAATAGTCCATTCTCCCTGGACCCTGAGCCAACAGAAGAAAGCACAGGCAGGAGATCAAACATGGGCTGAATGGAAGACAGAGGAGACAGAGAACGGGGGGCGAGATGGGGCAGCAAAAATAATGACTTCCATCCAAGGCTCTTCCCAAAAACCCACAGCTCTTTGAAGCTGGCTTTCCTTTTATAAAATGCACTGTTATTAATGACCCAAGTGGAAGCTTTCTGGGCAGGACAATACCCAACTCCCTGGTGGCCTCTGTGGGACCTTGTGCATGGGAAAGCATCCGGTGGCCAGCGGATGTCTCCAACACGCCAAGTGCCTATGGGTGCCACAAAGGGGTTTGGGAGCAGGGTCATGTCCACATGAAGACCCATGGGTACCCCGAGTATTTGGGGCTGCTACTGTCCTCTCAGGCCAAAGCTGGGGACAGTAAGGTCTGTGCTGCTGCAGTCCAGCCAATTCATTTATTCAACAAATATTTCTTGAGCACCTACTATGTGCCAGGCTGTGCATGGGTCTAAGGGGCAAATCAAGCACAATTTCTGCCCTTGTGAAGCTTGCAGTCAGAACAGAAAAGATCCTTTATCAGAGGGCAAGAGCCAAGGCTTTGAGAGGTATGAAGTCCCAAGTTCTAGACATTTATCTTACACTTAGCAGTCCCCCAGGAAGCTCCACAAGTTTTCCCGGCCACCTCACTGTGACCGCACTCTTCTTCACTTACCTCCTTTGAGTTGCAGTTCAAAATCAGGTCACCAGGTTACTTGTTGTGACTAAGGCAGACCTTTGGCCACATTCCCTCTGCCCACTCCTTCCCACCCCCAACTAAAGAAGTGTTCAAATCACTGCCTCTCTGCCATCCCTTCAGCCAGCTGATCTGGAGAAATGACTCCTCCACATGGTCAAAGAATGTCATTTTGGAAAAGAAATAACTTCATGAGTGCTAAACCCAGAAAGGAGTTTTGAACTAGTACTCATTCAACGTAACAAATCAGAAGATAGAAGCCCAAAATTACACAGAGCCCAACTGGGGAAACTTTTCTGGTGTCATGGAGGTGCTCAGCACCAAGGGCACAGACACAGTGTCACGTGGAATGCATGCCTCCCTCCAGCGTCTACCTATGCTGTGGGGAAGGCATAGGTGTGAGGAAGTGGCAGGTGCCATCAGGTGGGGGACCCGACAGTCACACTTGCTCAGTACAAAAGAAGACCCAGGGCATGAGGATTGTTTGTGCCTGATTATAGATGAGAAAATGGGCATTCAGAGAGCTCAGATATCTTGACAAGATCTCACAGCTGGTGAATGGCAGACCTGGGATACAGCTGTGCAGGGCCCGGAGCTCTGGAGGGAGGAGGATGAGAAGGGCCTGGCTACCTCTTCCTGGGAATGTGGGCAGGTCCCTGGACCTCTCTCGGTGTCCATTTCTTCATCTATAAAATAAGAGCATTAAACAATCAGAGATCTGTAGAAAGACTCCAGGGGTTTGAGATCCCTCGAAATCACAGCAAAAGCTTTGAGTGTGTGTTGGTAAGAGTGAGTTTCTGGAGAAAATGACTAAACCTTTATCAGATTCTCCTAAAAGTGCCTGCCCAAGAGAGGTTAAGAACATCGAACTGATCGTCTCCACATGCCCCTCCCACTCTGCTGTTCCATGATCTTGAGCCCAAGGGTCTTTTCATTCATTCATTCATTCATTCACTCAAACATTGATCAACCCGCTACTTTGTATCAGGCCCATAGGGGCCCTTCTAGTTCCCAAATCCCCAGGATGGGCCTAGAAATAGAAAGAGAACAGGAAGGTGAGGCCCTGTAGGCTTCTTCTGGTGAGGGACTTCCCCATCATGAGGCCCACACCAAGTCCCATGTCAATCACTTCTTCCAGGGCCTTCCCCTAAAGGTCTGTATCTGCAGGGAAACCCTCTCATCAGCCCCCTGCTCTGCTCCCTCATTCCTACTTCTGCAATGTGCTTTCTGCAGGAGAGCCACAGGGCAGAGAGAAAGGAGCTGGTGTCTGTCCCTGACCTGCCTGGTCACAAGCTGTCTTTGGAAATAATTAGTAACAGGCCAGAGACCCCTGTTCCCATGAGGAACCCATCCTGGCGGGGCTAGGACTGGGAGATGGGGGAAGGGCACTGTGGAGACAAAACAAAGAGATGAAATAAGAAGGCAGAGGATGGAGCAATGAGGCCCCAGAAGGCCCTGACCGAGGCCTTGATGTCCTAGAGGAGGGTTGAGGCTACAAGCTGTGGTCAAGGGACAGACGCCAGCCTGGTTCCGCCAGCTTCGGTGAGAGCCAGCAGCTGCCAGCTAACTTTCCATGACATCAGAGCTCAGCTTGGGCCAAGCCTGCAGGACAGGGAGATAGCTTGGCACCCCCACCTTCCCCAGTAGAGTGGGGACCCCTGTGCTATGGTGGGATGGTCCAGGGGCCCTGTCCTCGTGAAAAGCTGTTAGGAGCACAAAGAGCAGCCACTCGCTGCCCCCCAAATGGGGCAAACAAGCCAAACCTCCAGTGAAGGAGGGAGGGCGGGGTAAAGGATGCTACATTCATCCATCCAATGGAGCGCTGTGAGTTGAGGCCATTTATAGTGATGTCTACAAGCCTTTTTCAGAGAAGCTATGTTCCAATGCTAAATGAAAGAAGAGCAGAGCCCAGGGGATGGACATGTGTGATCGCATTTGAGACACATTTGCCTATAATAAATATTCAGTTTGCATGTGAATTGTATTTTTTAAAATCCTCAAGGAAACTGACAAGGCCCTGCATTTGCTGCTGGATCAGCCTTCCAGCCCCACCTCGCACTGCTGGTCTCCTTACTCAGCTCCATCCAGCCCTGAAAGCCAGCTGTCAGCACCTTGAACATACCCAAACCTCATCCTTGCCCAGCCGTCCGTCTTCTGTGCTGAACTGCAGCTTTCTGAGTGCCCTGTTCTTTTCGTTCATAACAAAACACAGCTCATGATTATAAATTCATTAGCATCGTATTTGGATAGTGTTTGCCTCACCCCTACCCTCACCCCAAAAGGCTGTAAGCTCCCCAGGGGAGGTAACATGCTTGTTTTTTTTGCCTTTACATACCCAGCTCCTTAACCACTGCTTGGCACACAGTAAGTACTCCATAAGTGTTTGCTGAATGATTTAATGGATTGGCCATTGCAGTAGCTGACATTTATTCAGTACTGAACGCTTTATGTGCATAAACTCATTACATTCTCAAGACCATTCTAAGAGGCGGGCACTACTTATGGGCTAATGCCCCATTTTGCAGATTGGAAAACAGAGGGCTTAAACTCACATTAGGTCAGGCAGCTAGCAAGAGGCAGACTCAGGATTTGAACTCACAGTTGTCAGGCTATAAAGCCCATATTCTTAACCTCTGTATTCTCCAGCCTCTCCTAAATGAGCAAGCGAGGAGGAAAAATCAGAAGGAAATACTGTGGCATGGAAGCAGAAGAATCTGGGTGATGGGAGGAGGCTTACTGATTTTATCGCTTTCTTTAGCTTTTCCAGTTTTTCTACGTTGCATGTATAGAAAATTAATCAGAGAAAACAGTACAATAGTAAGTATATTTTTTTGTAAAAGGTCAGCAAACAGCCCTAATGGAGCCCTGCAAATTCTCCCAGAAACCCCTCCAGTCCCCCAGTCATGAGAAGCCAGTGGTCAAACTCACACTATCAGCAGGGCTGCCCAAGAGAAAACCCATCATCAGCAATGTTCCCACTGGAAAGGAGGGATCCCTGGACCACCTGCAGGGCATACATGCTACCCCCTGATTATCCTATTCCCCATGTTTCTCAAACGGAGAGAGAGGAGGCAGGCAAGGAGATAACTGCTCTTCCTGCTCACCTCCTGTCTCTCACTAGCTCCTCCTCCAGCCTTGTTTCATGCCTTTGTGGCCTCCCAGACTTGGGACAAACAGCGCAGCCCACCTCAAAGATCTTGCACATGATTCCATTTTGCTTTATGCATCCCAAATGATGTGCATTTCGCTGGCAGGGTTTGCAGCAAATTATTGCTGGTGAAAACAGGAGGCTGGGGTTTTGGAAACCAGATGAAGCTTTTACTTTTACTGGCTGTGGGGCCAGGGTGATTCCCAATAAGAAGCATCCTGTACGGACAAGCCCTAACAACTCATTCATTCATGTAACAGACATGTGTTGAACATCTAATGGGTCCCAAGAATCATGCCCAGCTTGGGAATGGGGATGGGCAAGAGTGACGTGGTCACAGCCCTCATGGAGCTGACACTGTGGCCAGAGAGAAAAGACAAAGCACTAAACAGAATATGGGGAGAGGGTGGTGGAGGAAGGCTTCTCTGGGATCCAAGAGCAGAAGGAGATGGCCGAGTGGGGAGCTGCAAGGGAGCAGCATCCCGTCTGGGAGACAGCTTTGCTCAAGGTCCTGAGGGAGAAAAGACACCAGTGTACTCAAAGAACTGAGAGAAACGAAGCCCACTTAGACCTTTCCGTTGGCAAGCATCCAGAAGTCTGACCACACCAAATAGGGGAGAGGACATAGACTCTCTCGTACTGCCAGTAGACTTGTAAATTGGTAGAACTGCTCTAAAAGAGTTTGGCATTATCTCCTAAAGTTGAATATTTAAACCTATGACCTAGAATATTCGAATACTGGATATATCCCCAAGCTAAGCTCTTGAAACTGTAGGACAGGGCCCATGGATGAGCGGTTTTATAGCAGCACTGGTCATGAGAGCAGAAACCCACAAACAACTGAAATGCTCATCAATGGATGAATCAACGTGGTAAATTAAGAGTGGGATATTACACAGTGGTCAAACTGAGCGAACCACGGCAACACACAGCAGTGTGGATGATCTTAACAATATAATAGTAAGTGGAAAACAAGTTCCCAAAGATTGCACTGGAGTATTCTAATCATGTTTTATAAAGATTAAAACTATATAGGGCTAATTCTGTGATCACAAAACTGTGTGAACAGGGGCATGGCCCTCAGTTTCTCAGCTGGGAAATGGAGATAATTGTTCCAGCACTGCCTTGCTACGAAGTAACCACACATTAGATTCTCCTTAAAAGAGCTCCATTCGCCCAGTCCATGGGATGAGCCAGGGTTCTCTCTGCTCCTGCAAAACATCGAGTGACATGGTGGGACGCTGGAGGTGAACAGCTGTGACTAACTCGCCTGTGAACTTCTGCCCCATCATTGAGTTACAGCCTTACCAGGAGGCACTGGAGTGGTTACCACACCTGTTTATATCCATTATACTTGGTAATTGTGAACTTGAACTCGGTATTAAGAAAATCAGAAATGCAAGGATGAAATGAAAGAAAGTTAATGTTTCTATGAATGCTCAATTGAATGTTTTGGAAAGACTTTAAAAAAAGGATGGGGGTAGGGTTGGTAAAAACCCAGGATCCTGCCCTCAGATTCCTTTTAAGTGTCTGTAAATTCTCCTTGCACTTTAAAGAAATGGAAACACTGCACCATGGGAATGCTTTATGCAAGAAAGATGAGGAGGACGCCAATACACAAGCCTAAATGCCAAGAAAAGCTCTTGCCCCGCATCCACGTGGGCACCCCTTTATGTTTTTAGTTAAGATAAAATGTGTATGCTTTTAGGACTTCCCCCTTTGACCAGCTGCTTCAGTTTCCTAAGAGATTCTAGACAGATGGTATTGGGTGAGGCTTCTTTCTAGAAAGACTCCTATATACTAAGCCCCTTCTGTGTGTCAGACAATAGCTCTTTTATATTCGGTGTTTACAATTCTTCCACTTAGTTACTATTCATCCCATTTTATAGATGAAGGAATCGAGGCTTAGCATTTATGGTGAAAGTCCTGATGTGGATGACAGTGGTGGTGACATGTTGCCTCTATATCCCCAAGTGTAATGGACAGAGCTCAGCACTAGGGAACAAGACACCTGTACTATAGTTCCTGCTGTGCTCCTCAATTGCTGTGTGACCTTAGGCAGCTTACTTACCCTCTCTGGCCTTAGTTGTTTTCTATGAAAATGGAGGGTTTGTACTTGTATCTATCTACTGCTCTGTAACAAGTTACCCCAGAACATAGCGGCTTGAGACAGCCACACTTATCTCACAGATTCTGTGGATCAGGAATCTGGTCATGGCTTAGATGGGTTTTCACAGGCTGTGGTCAAGGTGCCATCTAAGGCTGCAGCCGTCTCAGGGCTTGACTGGGGAGAGCACTACGTCCCAGGTGGCTATATACAGGATTCAGTTTCCTCCCTGGCTGGTCTATTGGGAATACCACACCCTTGGTCTGGCTGGTCTATTGGCCAGAGACCACACTATAGACATGGACTTCTCCACAGGGCAGTTTCCAATATGACAGCTGGCTTCCTTGCCGTGAGCAGAGGAGAGAGAGCAAGAGAGTGCTTGAAAGACAGAAGTCCCGGTCTTTGGTAACTTCATCTTGGAAGTGACATCCCATCACTTGTGCATATTTTATTCATTAGAAGTTAAGTCACTAGGCCAAGTTCATACTCAAGGAGAGAGATTTACACGCAGGTGTGAATATCAGGAGTGGGGATGGCTGGGAGCCATTGTAGGAACTGCTGACCACAGTACTTGATCTCTAAGGTGCCTCCCAAAATCTTGGATTCTTTGAAAGTCCCCAAAAGATCTGGTTAGACTGACTTAGGATCCAGGGAAAGGTCTGGAAGGAAATGAGTGGAGATGTGCATCCCAGGAATGCCTCTTCCCTGACTCTGTCATATTCTGGGAGCCCCTTGCCTCTCTGCTGCTTCCCTCACCCCAGCCCCCACCATCGTTCCTGTCTCTCTGTGCTGGAGGAGGCCAAGTAGATGGGGGTGGGGAGGCGGCTGCTGCTGTCCTGTAAGTGTCAGAAAATAGAAGGTCTCTTTAGGGAATTATTTTGCAGGAGGAAAGAAAAAAAAACACAAGACAGTTCATTCAAAGGTCAAAAATGAGAAAGCAAAAAAAGAAGAAAGAAGCCACCTAAAAACTTGGCGGCAAAGATGGCCCAGTCAAGACGCTGCAGGGGGCCGGGCGCCGTGGCTCACGTCTGTAATCACAGCAATTTGGGAGGCCGAAGCAGGCAGATCACCTGAGGTCAGAAGTTGCAGACTAGCCTGGCCAACATGGCGAAACCCTGTCTCTACTAAAAATACAAAATTTAGCCAGGCATGGTGGAGGTTGAGGCAGGAGAATCGCTTGAACCCGGGAGGCAGAGGTTGCAGTGAGCCAAGATCGCGCCATTACACTCCAGCCTGGGCAACACAGTAAGACTCTGCCAAAAAAAAAAAAAAAAAAAAAAAGATACTGCAGAGAAAGGCAGACCCCCAAAAGCCAAACCCTTAGTGGCTCAGTCACCCATCACCTGTGGCCCCTCCCTTCTAGCCCCGTGCAGTGCACACCCACTACAACCTGCAAAGAGATGGCTAATGTATGGGGGACAGATGGGGCCTCAGGGACTGGCTGGCTGCTATTTTCTCTGAGTGACTCTCAGCTCTTCCGGGAGCCATGTCGATATGCCCATTTAAAGGAAAGAGCAAGTTGAGGTCTGACACTATTAAGGTAAACTTGCAGACAGTCACTGGCCTGGACCAGTGAAAATGTTCTGCAGCAACCAAGGATGCATATGTGTTTCAATGTCTTCTTGTATGGGAGAAAATGAGTCAAAGTCCATTGAAAGTTAATATTTCTATTTATTTATATGCCGTGCAATTCACCAAAAGTTTTAAGGTGACTGTTTTCTGGGAAGTCCTTGGTTCAGGTAAGGCTGAGTAGTGAGGACCGGAACTTGAATCTTGTAAGTACTAAGCGATACCCACCCAATCTTACCTGCACTTCCCATCCCACCACTACTTCCGGTGCTACTGTGTCACTAGCACATTTCAGAGCTACCCAGCTGGCCTGGGCCAATCCAGCACTCCCGGCACAAGTCCAGACTGGCAGAAGTAACCCGTGCAGGGCAGTTCCAGGCCCTTTTTGGCTGTATGGCTTGGTCAAGTGGGATCAGCAATGTTCCTGGGAAATCCCACACTGCACCAAGAAGGCACACGCAAGGTAATGAAGGCCTGAAGAAGACTTGGCTATATGCATCCTTAGGGGCCAGGTTCAGGTTCAGCCCTTTAAACTTGGCCTAAAACAGTTTCCCCATCTATCCACTAATGTAAGGGTGTTCATAAGAGTGACGGGAGCATGTCAGCTCCTAAGGGCCAGAACTTTGCCTATCTTCTTCACCTTTGTATCCTGGCATATAGTAGGCTCTAATAAATATTTGTCGAATGACTGAAATAAGGGTTTCATAGTCCAAAAAGTTTAGGAAATGTGTTAAAGCAAGATAAACGGATTTCTTGGCCGGGCGCAGTGGCTCACGCCTGTAATCCCAGCACTTTGGGAGGCCAAGGCAGGCAGATCGCTTGAGGTCAGGAGTTTGAGACTAGCCCGACCAACATGGAGAAACCTCGTCTCTACTAAAAATAAAAAATAAAAAATAAAAAAATTAGCCAGGTGTGGTGGCACATGCCTGTAATCCCAGCTACTCGGGAGGCTGAGGCAGGAGAATCGCTTGAATCCAGGAAGCAGAGGTTGCGGTGAGCCTAGATCACGCCATTGCACTCCAGCCTGGGCAACAAGAGCGAAACTCCGTCTCAAAAAAAAATACACGTTTCTTTTGTTCAGGCCTTCGGAGAACCTTCAATATGCCAATGTGTACTCTGACACTCCAAGAGGAGAGTAGGGCATTCGGGGTTTTCCAGATTCATTGGGCTATGGACTCCTTTCTATAGAGAATCTTGTAGAATGTGGGTCTAGAGTCATGATTGTCAAACCTATCCATGTTTCCCTCTTTATCTTCATCTGAGTCCCTCTTGAGAGAAAAAAGTAAGCCACATGGGTCGGTTGCTTCAGTTTCTCCCCAAGTGATCCCCACGATTTTGACCTTTCTCTTGGGGCTTACATTCTACCAAATCGGCAATCTCAGAGGAAAGAGGACTGGATCAATCCTGCAGAAGTCCCAGCCAAGGCTATCATTGGCCCAGCCTGAATCACATGACCATTCCTGAGCCAGTCACCTGACTACAGAGTGTCATGTTCTGATTGGGCAAGCCTGATCACATGCCCTGTCTTGAAACCAAGACAAAGTCTGGTCCATCTGAACTTCAAGGGCCAATGGCGCCCTGAAGAAAAATCTCAATTCTGTTACCAGAAAGAAAGCACAGGACAGAAGTCATGCAGGGGACAGAAGTCATGCATGACAGCAAACGAGGAAGATATCTAAACTTCTATATGGGGTGCTGGCTATACAGCATATGGTCCAGTTGGCCTGGGTTAAAGTTCTGGGGTGACAGCTAAAGTCTCCCAGCCCTAATCCTCCCTCCTCCCCCAAAGGAGGACTATGTATGGAGAATGAGAATGACAGTTAGGCTTGATCTGGAGCAAAGATGAAGGAAGAATGAAAGTGACACATCATCTCATTTAACCCTCATATCAGCCTTGAGAATTGAGTACTGCTATTCCCATTTTACAGATGAGGAAGCTGAGGTTAAAAAAGATGAAGTCACTTGCTGAAGATGACAGAACTAGCAAGGAGCATAAAAGGATGGGTGGGGCGTGTGTTTTGCAGCAAATAAAAACTTTTCTTTTAGAGGTTGTACCTTGGGATCTGCAGCTTCTGAAACCGAAAGCCCTTACTGAACTGTCCCAAGAGCTATGCCAGGGAGAAGAGAGGCAGGTTAAAGAGAGGCTGGACCTGAGCCAAAGGACTGCCCTGGATTTCGAGAGACCCCAATTTACTCCACAGTGTTACTGCAATGAATTGTAACTCAATCAGCCACCAGCAGAACAAGGAAGTGGGATCTCTGCCTCTTTCCCACCAAGAAATCCTTCCTCTACACTGCATGGGGTGGAGTGCAACAGAGACAAGAAGGACCTGGGACTCTTCAGGGCAAATGACCAAGGATAAGCAGGACAGGGGAGATGAGTGCTGACCATGCAGACAGCTGTGGGTTCGAGTCTCAACTCTGCACTTACAATGTGGCCTTGAGACTCTTCCTCAGCATCTCCATGCCTCAGTTTCCTCATTTCTAAAATGAGAAGAGTAATAGTATGTATTTCATAGAGTCCTTAAAGGATTAAATATAATCCTGAAAGTAATGTGCTTCACACATTAAAAAAAAAAACTTTTTTTCTTTGGAGAGATGGTGTCTCGTTCTGTCGCCCAGGCTGGAGTACAGTGGCACAATCCTAGCTCACAAACGCCTCAAATTCCTGGGCCCAAAAGATCCAACTACAGACACGTACCAACACACCCAGCTAATTTTTAATTTAATTTAATTTAATTTTTTTTGAAGAGAGAGAGAGTCTTGCTCTGTTGCCCAGACTGGTCTCGAAGTCCTGGGCTCAAGCCACCCTCCTGCCTCGGCCTCTCAGAGCTCTGGGATTACAGGCATGACCCAGCACACCTGGTTCATATTTTCATTTTCCCCCTGAAACACCTGAAAATAAATGGAGACTCTTTAAGAAAGTCTATAACCTTCCATGGTCTTCTGCCAGGAAAACTACTTTGGGACAGCTTCCTCAGTGGGTCTCATGACCCAAAAGCCTCCTGCCCTATGGGCCAGGTGGGCAGAAAGGATGGACCCCTCCCCCCATTCAGTGGCTTCACATATGAGTTCCCAGAGGTTTGCAATCAGGCCCTTGTCATGGGCCATGCCTCAGTGTCCTGCTAGTCAATATTGGCCAAGAAGGTAAGGAGGGAAGGGGTCCGCAGGGATGCCGAGCCCCACAAGGGCTCTCCCGACACTGTTTGCTTTCTGCCCCATCCTGCTCCAGTTCCCACAGGCAATGAGAGGGCAGCTAGCCTGGAAAGCTGAGTCAGGGCACACCATGTTTCAGTGGCTGGCTCTGCAGAGATGCTCTGGGGAGACACACTCTGTTACTCTTTAGCAGCTCAGAGCAGAGTCTTCCTGCAGGGCTCTGCTTTCCTGCCACTCAGCCTAACACCCAGGAAGCTTCTGGCAAGGCTGGGTGGGTGGGTGCAGGAAAGGGTCCCTGAGGTGTCACCTCGGCCCCCCACCAGGGCCGGGCACCACAGAAAGACAGCAGCTCCTCCTCCTGCTCCTTCTGCAGAGAAGGGAGCCCAGTTCCCCCCTGCTGCTCCCGGCCAGCTTGCCTTCGTGTGGTAAACGCTTGAGCAACTTGGCAAGGCGGCCTCAGCCAGTGAGGTTCCCATGGTGGGACAGATGAACCACCGCCAAGAAGTGAGTTTCGCAGCAACAAGCCCAAGAGCAGGAGGTCGGTCAGGGAGGGGCCAGTCCAATCCAGGGAGCGCTTCCACTCTGGGTTGTGAGCCCCCGGCACAGAGGGAAGAGGGCTTCCAGCCAGTCAAGGCCCAGTGGTCCCGCTGCTGGATGGGATTTCAAAGCAGAGACGCAGGAGGGGCATGTGAGGGTGGGGACCATGCCTTCCATCAGGATTGCCTCATTAGTGGTTTTGCATTGTTGGAAGTCTCTTCATTGGAGGCCAGGATTGCAGCAATATGGGGCTTTAATCCAGGGCGGGCACAGGGACTTGCGGCCAGGAGCCCCAGAAGGAGAACAATCAATATTGCCAGAGCTCACTGTCCTTCCAGGCTTTGGTTTCCCCTCGCGCACCCTGAAGAATGTCTCCTGTGTCCCTGTCATGTTCCGAGAGGCTCGCTGCCTGTCTCTCTCTGCTATCTAAGCCCTCCAGTCTGTGGCATTTTGTAATGGCAGCCTGTGCAAACTCAGATAACTGCCAAAAGAGCTTCAGTGGCACTGGCTAATTCACCCCCAACTCTCTGCCTCACATTCTTGGTCCCAGCTTTGCCAGATACTAATATAGACACTTAAGTCCAACACAGCAGTGCCACAGCCCAGGTATGCTGGGTGCTTCTAAAATGGCTCTCTGCCAGGGGCCGTGGCTCACACCTGTAATCCCAGCACTTTGGGAGACTCAGGCCAGCAGATTGCCTGAGCTCAGGAGTTCAAGCCCAGCCTGGGCAACATGACAAAACCCCATCTCTACCAAAAAACAACAAAATTAGCCAGGCATGATGGTGTGTGCCTGTAGTCCCAGCTACTAGGGGGCCTGAGATATGAGAATCCCTTGAATTTGGGAGGCTGAGGCTGCAGTGAGCTGAGATCGCACCGCTGCACTCCAACTTGGGTGACAGAGCAAGACCCTGTCTCCACAAAATAAGAGAATAGAAAAATAATAAAATAAATAAAATAAAAGAGGTCTCTGCCAGAGCCATGGCTCACGCCTGTAATCCCAACACTTTGGGAGGTCAAGGTGGGAGGATTGCTTGAGGCCAGGGGTTGGAGACAAGCCCAAGCAACATAGCAAGACCTCCATCTCTACAAAAAAAATTTGAAAATTTGTGTCCAAGATGGCCGAATAGGAACAGCTCCAGTCTATAGCTCCCAGTGTGAGTGATGCAGAAGATGGGTGATTCCTGCATTTCCAACTAAGGTACGGGGTTAATCTCAATGGAGTTTGTCAGACAGTGGGTGCAGCCCATGGAGTGTGAGCCGAAGCAGGGTGGGGCATCACCTCACCCAGGAAGCACAAGGGGTCAGGGAATTCCCTTTCCTAGCCAAGGGAAGCCGTGACAGACAGTACCTGGAAAATCAGGACACTCCTAACCTAATACTGCATTTAGGTCCCATGCCCACAGAGCCCCACTCGCTGCTAGCACAGCAGTCTGAGATTGAACTGCAAGGCGGCAGCGAGGCTGAGGGTGCTGGCGTCCGCCATTGCTGAGGCTTGAATAGGTAAACAAAGTGGCCAGGAAGCTCGAACTGGGTGTAGCCTGCCACAGTTCAAGGAGGCCTGCCTGCCTCTGTAGACTCCACATCTGGGGGCAGGGCATAGCTGAACAAAAGGCAGCAGAAACGTTTGCAGACTTAAAAGTCCCCGTCTGACAGCTTTGAAGAGAGTAGTGGTTCTCCCAGCATGGAGTTTGAGATCTGAGAACGGACAGACTGCCTCCTCAAGTGGGTACCTGACCCCCAAGTAGCCTAACTGGGAGACACCTCCCAGTAGGGGCTGACTGACACCTCATACAGCTGGGTGCCCCTCTGAGATGAAGCTTCCAGAGAAACGATTAAGCAGCAACATTTGCCATTCTGCAATATTTGCTGTTCTGTAGCCTCTGCTGGTGATACCCAGACAAACAGGGTCTGGAGTGGACCTCCAGCAAACTCCAAAAGACCTGCAGCTGAGGGTCCTGACTGTTAGAAGGAAAACTAACAAACAGAAAGGAGGACATCCACACCAAGACCCCATCTGTACATCACCATCATCAAAGACCAAAGGTAGATAAAACCACAAAGATGGGGAGAAATCAGAGCAGAAAGCTGAAAATTCTAAAAATCAGAGTGCCTCTTCTCCTCCAAAGGAATGCAGCTCCTCGCCAGCAATGGAACAAAGCTGGACGGAGAATGACTTTGACGAGCTGAGAGAAGAAGGTTTCAGATGATCAGTGGTAACAAACTTCTACGAGCTAAAGGAGGATGTTCGAACCCATCACAAAGAAGCTAAAAACCTTGAAAAAAGATTTGATGAATGGCTAACTAGAATAAACAGCATAGAGAAGACCTTAAATGACCTGATGGAGCTGAAAACCATGTCACAAGAACTACATGACACATGCACAAGCTTCAGTAGCTGATTCGATCAAGTGGAAGAAAGGGTATCAGTGATTGAAGATCAAATGAATGAAATGAAGTGACAAGAGAAGTTAAGAGAAAAAAGAGTAAAAAGAAATGAACAAAGCCTCCAAGAAATATGGGACTATGTGAAAAAAACAAGTCTATGTCTGATTGGTGTACCTGAAAGTGAGGGGGAGAATGGAACCAAGTTGGAAAACACTCTTCAGGATATCATCCAGGAGAATTTCCCCAACCTAGCAAGGCAGGCCAACATTCAAATTCAGGAAATACAGAGAATGCCATAAAGATACTCCTCGAGAACAGCAACTCCAAGACACATAATTGTCAGATTGACCAAAGTTGAAATGAAGGAAAAAATGTTAAGGGCAGCCAGAGAGAAAATTCGGGTTATCCACAAAGGGAAGCCCATCAGACTAACAGTGGATCTCTCAGCAGAAACTCTACAAGCCAGAAGAGAGTGGGAGCCAATATTCAACATTCTTAAAGAAAAGAATTTTCTTTTTCTTTCTTTTTTTTTTTTTTTGATGGAGTCTTGCTCTGTAACCCAGGCTGGAGTGGTGCAATCTTGGCACACTGCAAGCTCCATCTCCCGGGTTCATGCCATTGTCCTGCCTCAGTCTCCCGAGTAGCTGGAACTACAGGTGCCCACTGCCACACCCGGCTAATTTTTTTGTATTTTTAGTAGAGACGGGGTTTCACTGTGCTGGCCAGGATAGTCTCCATCTCCTGACCTCATGATCTACCCGCCTCAGCCTCCCAAAGTGCTGGGATTGTAGGCATGAGCCACTGCACCTGGCAGAATTTTCAACCCAGAATTTCATATCCAGCCAAACTAAGCTTCATAAGTGAAGGAGAAATAAATTCCTTCACAGACAAGCAAATGCTGAGAGATTTGTCACCACCAGGCCTGCCTTACAAGAGCTCCTGAAGGAAGCACTAAACACGGAAAGGAAAAACCAGTACCAGCCACTGCAAAAACATGCGAAATTGTAAAGACCATCAATACTAAGAAGAAACGGCATCAACTAACGAGCAAAATAACACCTAACATAGTAATGACAAGATCAAATTCACACATAACAATATTAACCTTAAATGTAAATGGGCTAAATGCTCCAATTAAAAGACACAGACTGGCAAATTGGATAAAGAGTCAAGACCCATTAGTGTGCTGTATTCAGGAGACCCATCTCACGTGCAGAGACACACATAGGCTCAAAATAAAGGGATGGAGGAAGATCTACCAGGCAAATGGAAAACAAAAAAAAAAGCAGGGGTTGCAATCCTAGTCTCTCATAAAACAGACTTTAAACCAATGAAGATCAAAAGAGACACAGAAGGCCATTACATAATGGTAAAGAGATCAATTCAATAAGAAGAGCTAACTATCCTAAATACATATGCACCCAATACAGGAGCACCCAGATTCATAAAGCAAGTCCTTAGAGACCTACAAAGAGACTTAGACTCCCACACAATAATAATGGAAGACTTTAAGACCCCACTGTCAACATTAGACAGATGAACAAGACAGAAAGTTAACAAGGATATCCAGGAATTGAACTCAGCTCTGCACCAAGCAGACCTAATAGATATCTACAGAACTCTCCACCCCAAATCAACAGAATGTGCATTCTTCTCATCACCACATTGCACTTATTCCAAAATTGACCACATAGTTGGAAGTAAAGTACTCCTCAGCAAATGTAAAAGAACAGAAATTATAACAAACTGTCTCTCAGACCACAGTGCAATCAAACTAGAACTCAGGATTAAGAAACTCACTCAAAACCACTCAACTACATGGAAACTGAACAACCTGCTCCTGAATGACTACTGGGTACATAACGAAACTAAGGCAGAAATAAAGATGTTCTTTGAAACCAATGAGAACAAAGACACAACATACCAGAATCTCTGGGACACATACCAGAAAGCAGTGTGTAGAGGGAAATTTATAGCACTAAATGCCCAAAGCAGTGTGTAGAGGGAAATTTATAGCACTAAATGCCCACAAAAGAAAGCAGGAAAGATCTAAAATTGACACTCTAACATCACAATTAAAAGAACTAGAGAAGCAAGAGCAAACACATTCAAAAGCTAGCAGAAGGCAAGAAATAACTAAGATCAGAGCAGAACTGAAGGAGATAGAGACACAAAAAACCCTTCAAAAAATCAGTGAATCCAGGAGCTGGTTTTTTGAAAAGATCAACAAAATTGATAGACTGCTAGCAAGACTAATAAAGAAGAAAAGAGAGAAGAATCAAATAGGAGCAATAAAAAATGATAAAGGGGATATCACCACCGATCCCACAGAAATACAAACTACCATCAGAGAATACTATAAACACCTCTATGTAAATAAACCAGAAAATCTAGAAGAAATGGATAAATTCCTGGACATATACACCCTCCCAAGACTTAACCAGGAAGAAGTTGAATCCCTGAATAGACCAATAACAGGTTCTGAAATTGAGGCAATAATTAATAGCCTGCCAACCAAAAAAAGTCCAGGACCAGATGTATTCACAGTCGAATTCTACCAGAGGTACAAAGAGGAGCTGGTACCATCCCTTCTGAAACTATTCCAATCAACAGAAAAAGAGGGAATCCTCCCTAACTCATTTTATGAGGCCAACATCATCCTGATACCAAAGCTTAGAGGAAACACAACAAAAAAAAGAGAATTTTAGACCAATATCCCTGACGAACATCGACACAAAAATCCTCAATAAAATACTGGCAAACCGAATCCAGCAGCACATCAAAAAACTTATCCACCATGATCAAGTGGGCTTCATCCCTGGGATGCAAGGCTGGTTCAACATAGGCAAATCAATAAACATAATCTATCATATAAACAGGACCAAAGACAAAAACCACATGATTATCTCAATAGATGCAGAAAAGGCCTTCGACAAAATTCAACAGCCCTTCATGCTAAAAACTCTCAATAAACTAAGTATTTATGGGACGTATCTCAAAATAATAAGAGCTATTTATGACAAACCCACAGCCAATATCATACTGAATGGGCAAAAACTGGAGGCATTCCCTTTGAAAACTGGCACAAGATAGGGATGCCCTCTCTCACCACTCCTATTCAACATAGTGTTGGAAGTTCTGGCCAGGGCAATCTGGCAGGAGAAAGAAATAAAGCGTATTCAATTAGAAAAAGAGGAAGTCAAATTGTCCCTGTTTGCAGATGACATAATTGTATATTTAGAAAACCCCATCATCTCAGCCCAAAATCTCCTTAAGCTGATAAGCAACTTCAGCAAAGTCTCAGGATACAAAATCAATGTGCAAAATTCACAAGCATTCCTATACACCAATAACAGACAAACAAAGAGTCAAATCATGAGTGAACTCCCATTCGCAATTGCTTCAAAGAGAATAAAATACCTAAGAATCCAACTTACAAGGGATGTGAAGGACCTCTTCAAGGAGAACTACAAACCACTGCTCAATGAAATAAGAGAGGACACAAACAAATGGAAGAACATTCCATGCTCATGGATAGGAAAAATCAATATTGTGAAAATGGCCATACTGCCCAAGGTAATTTATAGATTCAATGTCATCCCCATCAAGCTACCAATGACTTTCTTCACAGAATTGGAAAAAACTACCTTAAAGTTCATATGGAACCAAAAAAGAGCCTGCATTGCCAAGACAATCCTAAGCCAAAAGAACAAAGCTGGAAGCATCACACTACCTGACTTCAAACTATACTACAAGGCTACAGTAACCAAAACAGCATGGTACTTGTACCAAAACAGAGATATGGACCAATGGAACAGAACACAGGCCTCAGAAATAATATCACACATCTACAATCATCTGATCTTTGACAAACCTGACAAAAAAAAGAAATGGGGAAAGGATTCCCTATTTAATAAATGGTGCTGAGAAAACTGGCTAGCCATATATAGAAAGCTGAAACTGGATCTATTCCTTACACATTATGCAAAAATTAATTCAAGATGGATTAAAGACTTAAATGTTAGACCTGAAACCATAAAAACCCTAGAAGAAAACCTAGGCAATACCATTCAGGAAATAGGCATGGGGAAAGACTTCATGACTAAAACACAAAAAGCAATGGCAACAAAAGCCAAAATTGACAAATGGGATCTAATTAAACTAAAGAGCTTCTGCACAGCAAAAGAAACTACCATCAGAGTGAACAGGCAACCTACAGAATGGGAGAAAATTTTTACAATCTACCCATCTAACAAAGGGCTAATATCTACAAAGAACTTAAACAAATTTACAAGAAAAAAATCAAACAACCCCATCAAAAAGTAGGTGAAGGATATGAACAGACACTTCTCAAAAGAAGACATTTATGCAGCCAACAAACACATGAAAAAATGCTCATCATCACTGGCCATCAGAGAAATGCAAATCAAAACCACAATGAGATACCATCTCACACCAGTTAGAATGGCAATCATTAAAATGTCAGGAAACAACAGGTGCTGGAGAGGATGTGGAGAAATAGGAACACTTTTACACTGTTGGTGGGACTGTAAACTAGTTCAACCATTGTGAAAGACAGCGTGGCGATTCCTCAAGGATCTAGAACTAGAAATACCATTTGACCCAGCCATCCCATTACTGGGTATATACCCAAAGGATTATGAATCATGCTGCTATAAAGACACACATACACGTATGTTTATTGTGGCACTATTCACAATAGCAAAGACTTGGAACCAACCCAAATGTCCAGCAATGATAGACTGGGTTAAGAATATGTGGCACATATACACCATGGAATACTATGCAACCATAAAAAAGGATGAATTCATGTCCTTTGTAGGGACATGGATGAAGCTGGAAACCATCACTCTGAGCAAACTATCGCAAGGACAGAAAACCAAACACCACATGTTCTCACTCTCAGGTGGGAACTGAACAACGAGAACACTTGGACACAGGGCTGGGAAAATCACACACTGGGGCCTGTTGTGGGGTGGGGGGAGGGGGGAGGGATAGCATTAGGAGATATACCTAATGTAAATAACGAGTTAATGGGTACAGCACACCAACATGGCACATGTATATATATGTAACAAACCTGCACGTTGTGCACATGTACCCTAGATCTTAAAGTATAATAAAAAAAATTAAAAATTAGCTGGGCATGATGGTGGGTGCCTGTAGTCCCAGCTACTCAGGAGGCTGAGGTGGGAGGATTGCTTGAGCCCAGGAGTTCGAGGCTACAGTGAGCCGTAATTGCACCACTGTACTCCAGCCTGGGTGACAGAGTGAGACCCTGTCTCAAAAAATAAAATATAAATAAATAGTATGACTCTCAGTGATCACCACCTCCTGGTGCTCATGCCCTTGTGAAATCCCCTCCCTTTGAGTGTGGATTTGACATAGTGACTCCCTTCTAACCACTGCTAAGCAACAGTGATGGGATGAAGCTACAAAAGTGACCCTCCGAAATGGGACTACAGAAAACTGTGACTTCTGTCCTGCTCACACTCTTGCTCTCTCACCTCTAGCTCTGATGTAGCAAACTGCTGTGCTGTAAGCCACTCTGTGGATGGGTCTACACAGCAAGGAACCAGTTGAACCAACAGCTTGGGAGGAAGTGAGACTTTCGGTCCAACAGCCTGGGAGGAACCAAATCATGCAAATGTCTAACTGAGTGAGTTTGGAAACAGATCCACCCCTGATTGAGCCTTAAAATGACTTTGGCTCTGGCTGACACCTTGATGGCCACCTAGTGACCCAAATGACCCAGCAAAACCATGTCCAGATTCCTGATCCACAGAAAGTGTGAGATCATAAATGTTGCTGTTTTGCCACTAATTTTGGAATAATTTGTTATGCAGCTGTAGCTAACTGATACACCAGGCTTTGCACCTGCTGTCCCCTCTGCCCAGGACACTTCACTGTCTAGCCAGGCTTCTCCTCAACAGGATGGCTTCATCTCCACTGACCATCCGAATGGTCTTAACTCTCACTTCTTCAGCCCCCTGGACCATAGTGTGTGTATTTTTTCCTAAGTGCTTACCCCACCTGACTGTAACAATTCATCCTTTAGACTGCAGGCTCCATGATGACAGTGGTTATATGTATGTCTTGTCCACTGCTGTCTCTCCAGGGTTTTGCACACTGCCAAGCACATGGTAGAGGCTCAGTAAAGATGAGGTATATGAATGGGTGGGTAGAAATTGATGAAAGAGATGCTGTTTCAAGTAGGAGTTGGTAAGGGGGGCTCGTCTTGCCCACTGCACCTCCTGAACTCCCCACATAGCCCCAGGTGTCCTCTCCTGGGCCAGCTTTTATCTAAGATTTGCCCAGCCCCTTTGGATGATGTTAAGCCACAAACAAGACTGACAAGTTTCCTGCCCCCTTGGTGCCCAGCAGGGAGGCAGACAAGAGCAGAATAAAGAGAACTTCCACTTAGATACGTGAGTTTATCTCCACTCCTTCCTAAAATTTCCCTCAAACGACAACAGCAATGAGGAAGGAAAAGGGGAAGATGCCAGGGGATGGGGTCAAAGAACTCTTGAAAGATGGAAAGTGAAAGAGAACTGACTTTGCAGACGGGAAAAGCTGAAACCCAACGGCCGGAGAGGGGAGTGCCCAAAAGAAAGAAGCCAATCTGAGCCACAAAATTCAGGAAAAGCTGGGAGTTTGATGCACCAGTGATGCCTGGAGGTGGGGGTGACACTCAGGAAAAACTGCAGCAGACAGACCCTGGATTTAGGGAGCAAGCAGGAGAGTGAAATGGAAGGAACTTCTACTCCCCTCTCCCCACGTGATTCCCAGAACCCAGGAAGCCCAAGTTTTACCCCCAACCAGGTAAAAGAGGAAAAAGACTGCGGATCCATCTCTGTAGAAATCCTCAGCCCAAAGAAAGAGACGGAGAGATACTAATTTGGGGAACTCCTAACTAAAGGTCTGGGTCCCTCTCCAATAATCCCACACAAACTGCCTACTTTCACAGGCTTCCAGCCAGCTTTACAGAGCATTCCTCCAATGCAAACAGCCAAGGATCACCAGGGATCCAAGGAATCCTCTGACATGAAAAGCAGAAAACAAAACAGGGGTGCAGGGAAGAAGAGATCGGGGAAACACAGATAAATTCAGGAAGCAAAAGAAAAAGCTGAAGAAAATTATAATTTATATCCTCGTAACATATGGGAAGATATTTCATCCATGAAACTACAGGCAGTTATAAAAAGGAACAGATTTAGAAATAGCTCTTCAAAATTAAATGTAAGAGCTAAAATAAAATATTCAATAGAAGATAGAGAGAAGGAAATAACTCAGAAAAAAAGACCAAAAAAAGATAAAGAAAAAATAAGAGAAAAAAATTTAAAGTAGTGAATTCAGCCCAGAATTTCAGCAACTAACTCATTAATTCCAGAAAAAGAGAGTAGAGAAATGGAGTGGGTGGGGAGCATTTAATATTGAAGAAATAATACAAGAAACTTTCCCCAAACTGAAGGCTGTGGATTATTAGAATGAGATGTTTTTTAGGAGCCATTATTTGCCCAGACAATGGATGAAAACCAAAATCATCAAGGGATATCATCAGGAAATTTCAAAAATCCCCAGGATAAAGAGATCCTAAAGACTTTTAGACAGAAAACACTAAATCATATGCCAAGAATCAGAATAGTATCAAACTTCTCAGCAGAAACACAAATCTCTAGAAAACAACAGAGGAATGGCCTAAAAATTCTGAGGAAATGTGACTTCCAGCCTCAGATTAAATATCCAGCCAAACTGTCAATCAAACATGAAGGTGGAATGATGACTTTTTTTGACGTGCAAATTTTTTTTAAAACTATCTCCGAGGCACCCTTTCTCAAGAAGCTACTGAAGGATGAGCTCTATCAAAAAGAGGGTGTAAGCCAGGGGATGGCAAACTATGACCTGCTGGCCAAATGCACCCCATCACTTGTTTTTGTAAATAAAATATTATTGGAAGGCAGCCATGCTCAGTCATTTATGCTTGACTGCTCTCACACAACAATGGCAGAGTCTAATAGTTGTGAGACTATGTGGCCAGCAAACCCGAGAATACTTACTATTTGACCTCTTGCAACAATGTGTGCTAATCCAAGAGCAGTGTAAACCAAGACAATGGGATCTAGGATCCAACAAGATGGAATTTTCTAGAACTACAGCTGTGCCCCCAAATCAAACAATCCTCATTGGAGTACGACATGGTGGAGCTCCCAGAGCTTTGTCTCCAAGAAATTAAAACGTGGCATTTTTGGCCTGACTCATGTGCTAGTTCATATTAAGAGACATTTTAAAGTGCTGTCAGAGAGTTTAGGGAAGAATTAATGACGGGCACATGAAAAGCTAAGAAAATGAGCACAAGAAGCAATTTAATAATTGCTGAATCACTGCAGAAAAAAACACAAAAATTATGCAATAAAGTAAACAATTCCATTATTTCATATGGCTTTTCCTCAAACAATATTTTCATAGTCATGATTATAAAGAGCTGAATAATGACTTTTATTAAAAATTGTGATAAATTATTCAGAGAGTATGGAGGGCGACTATGGTCCTGTGTGTATGTGTGTGTAAAAGTTAAACCTTCAGTAGAACAACTGTGGGTAATGTATAAAATAGAGATGTCAAGAACTTCTAATACAGGAAATATTTAGAAATCTAGAGGCAATCCAGCACTTTGGGAGTCCGAGGCAGGCAGATCATGAGGTCAAGAGATCGAAACCATCCTGGCCAACATGGTGAAATCCCATCTCTACTAAAAATACAAAAATTAGCTGGGCATGGTGGCGTGTGCCTGTAGTCCCAGCTACTTGGGAGGCTGAGGCAGAAGAATCGCTTGAACCTGGGCGGCAGAGGTTGCAGTGAGCCAAGATTGTGCTACTGCACTCCAGCCTGGCAACAAAGAGAGACTCTGTCTCAAAAAAACAAACAAACAGAAAAAGAAATCTAGAGGCAAATATTAATAGCAATAGCGGCTAAAAGAACTAAAAATGGTTGCTTTTGAAAAGCAAATAGGAGGCAGGCAGGAGGCTGCTTTTTTAATATTATATTATTTTTATCATATTATTTCACTTTTAAAGCCAAATTCATATATTACATTAATAAAATAGACACTACATCTCAACACAGTAAATAAATAATTTCCTGTTTTCAAACACCATAAAGAGAAGAAAGCAATGCTACAGCTGTTTCTCAGATGGGGTGGCCACTGAAGGCCTTTTTGAGGAGGATATCTTTAAACTTAGCCCTACATGAAAAAGGCTTGTGAGGATCTGGGGAAAGAGTGTTACAGACAGCGGGCACAGCACGGGCAAAGGCTTGGAGGTGAGACCAAGCTTGGTATGTTTAAGAGACAGAAAGGCCAGTGTGGGCTGTGTGGGGAGAGATCAAGGACAGGTAAGAATTGAACCTGAAGAGAAGCAGGGAGACCGTATGGGGTGATGTTGAGTGGCCCAGGATGGAGATGGAGCCCAGAGGGGCCACCCTAGCTGGACAGGTCACCTGGGAAACTCAGGCTTATAGACAGATGTGAAAAGCCCCAGGACTAGAAGAGATCTGAGCAAACATCAAGAGGACCTTGCTTTCAAGAGTCCCTGTAGGAAGTCAAAAGAAGAAATTCAGGCAACCTACGTAAATGCCAGAGTGATGAGCCAACAGCCCCTAATGAAGATTTCATAAATCACTTTCTCCTGCAAGCCTACCCTACTTTCAAAGCGACTTCCCACCTACTCTCAATACCTCATTTCATTCACTAACCAAACAGGTTGAGATCAGAAGTGTAATTAGAAACACAACTCCATTGCTAATTGTCCAACCTGACCAGGGGCCCCTATTAGCTTATTTCCCAATGCCCACAGGCTCAGCCTCCTCCATCCAGCTCCACTTCTTGACCTCTTGACCCTCCCTTGATTTTATTAATTCTCTCTCTGGAACTTTTTCCTTCTTCTGCCTCTTTGGTGGACCAGACACTCAGATCCCAGTTGCCTCTTGCTCCAACTCCAACTTGCTCCCTCCAGAGGCTCAGATCCTGGTTTCCTTTACTTCATATGCCCTCCCACCAAAACTCCCTGCCCAGCACCTGAGCACCCAGCCCTGTTTGAGATCTGGACACCACTCCCTCCAGGAGGGCAGATCAGCCACTTTGACAGAGAGAAGTGGGTAGAAAGCATAGGCAGGGTGCTGGGTGCTAATCCTGCTCCCTTACTCCCTGGCTGGGGGATCCAGCCTCCTTGTAGATCTCTCTCCTTCTTCCTCACATTTAAAGGGATGCCACGACCCTGCAGGACCTATTCCAGAGGGCAAGCTGGTGCAGCTCCTAGCACACAATTTGGATCAACATGTTGTCCTGAATGAATGAATCAGAAAGTTTTGCTTTCCCCCTGCAATTAGAGATGGGCTACTACATCAATTTTATACTATGGTGTAAATGACTGATATGTTGAAGACTTTTCTTGGGTTGTGTATATTATCCTTCAAGGCCTAGCTCTGGGTCTGCTTCCTGTAAGAATTCTCCCTTATCCACCAGCCCCATGGAAATTCCTCCTTTCTCTGAATTCAGATTTCCTGAGTGAGACAATGTCTGTAATACTCTTTACAGATTAATTTATTCATGAATACACACACCCCCAAAAAATGACAATAAAAGGTAGAATGGAATAAGCCTCTTTTCCTCAATGGAACAAAAACTCTTCAAAGGTAGGGACCAGGTCTTTTGCTCCATAATAATGTCTAGTTAAAATCAACAAACTTAGGCTCAAAGCACAGCTTTGCCACTTGCTAGCCGTGTGACCTCAAGCAAGCTGCTTATCCTCTCTGTGCCTCAGTTTCCTCACTGATGGAGGGGAGAAGCACTGTTAACTTCATGGGCTCATCTTAGGAATGACTACCTAACTGCTTTGTAAACTGTCAAATGCTGAACAGATGTTAACTTGCTAATTGTGATTAATCTGGGATTCTGGCTGTAGATCATTTTAAATCTTTAAATCAAGAGTCTGCAGCCACCTTACGGCTGAGATTTTGCCATGAAGCCTGCCCTGGCCTCCCACTCACTCACACCACCCAAGGAGGGTGGCCCAGAAGGAAGGAAGAGTTGGGGGAACTGAGGCCCCCAGAGACTACACTGGCATTGACCAGGGGGCAGAGCTGGGAGTGGTACCCAGGCATCCCACTCTGCCCAGGTGGGTGCCCAGCAGGCTCCTCTGATGTGGCTTGGGGTATTGTTCAGTCTTGGTTTTTGTTGTTTGGTGTTTTGTATTTTTGCTGCTGTCATTCTTTTTCTAATCCCAATAAGAGAGGCAAAAGGAGGCCAGAGCAGTAGGAAGGCATGATTTAGACTGTTTGGGGGAACTCCGAAACCCCACCCACCCCACCCCATAGCTGGCAGGTCACTCTGACTTCTCCATGGTGAAGACAATGTTGAAGTAAGGGACAGACTTTGGCCGAAAGCCTCATGAAGAGTAGCCAGTCTTCCTGCCCACCCAGAAGAGCCCGGTCTGGATGCTGACTGCCTCATGGGGTTCTCCAATCATCAACGTATATGGAAGGCACCGGTACCAGCTTGTAGTCCAGCATTTTTCAAAATGGGTTCTTCAGTAGCCAATTCTGCTGGATATTAATACACGTTATAGGGAGAGAACCTCCCAGAATCAGATGCTTTTGAGAAATATTTTGTCAAGTACATTCTTGCTAAATGCAGGGCTTCTCAGAGCCTTAAGTTTGCTCATGTAATACTGTTCAAGAAAGGGTGATGCAGTGTTACTGAACCAACATTTTATTTTAGTTTTGTTAATATTATTTGTGATGGTGAGGATCGTCCAGTAGCAATACTGTTTTAGGCGGCTCAGGGTTGCCAAGTGATATGGTTTGGATCTGTGTCTCCATCCAAATCTCATGTTCAGTTGTAATCTCCAGTGTTGGAGGTGGGACTTGATGTGAGGTGATTGTGATTGGATCGTGAGGGTGTATCCTTCATGAATGGTTTAGCATTATCTCATCATAGAATTATCTATGTGCTCTGGTGATGGTCTTATCATAGAATTATGATGATATCTGACAGTTTTAAAGTGTGTAGCACCTTTTCCCTATCTCTCGGACCTGCTCCTGCCACATAAGATGGCTGCTCCCACTTTGCCCTCCGCCATGAGGAAAATCTCCCTGAGGCCTCCCCAGAAGCAGATGCTTCCATGCTTCTTGTACAGCCTGCGGAACCATGAGCCAATTAAACATCTTTTCTTTATAAATTACCCAATCTCAGGTATTTTTCTATAGCAGTGCAAGGACGGACTAATACACCAAGAATACATTGCCTTTAAAATTGCCCTTAGGATCCTGCACCCAATGGGTAGAAGGAACAAAGGAAGGAAAGGAAGAAGGGAGAGAGAAAGAGAAGCTGAGTTTTCTTCAGTCTGGTTCAAAACTCATTCCAATCCAGTCTTTGGAACACTTGGCATTAACTCCTTCACTTCATTTGCCCTTCCGTTGCCCAGCATTCCCTACTCCTCTTAAGGAGGAGAGGCTTATGCAACCTCATAGCACAAAGGGTGTAGGCAGTGGCCTGGAGCCAGGCCTTTTGCAGGTGGGCTTCCTGGCACCCACTGAGTTCCTGGAGTCCTCCTGATGGCCACTGTTGACCTTTACAGCCAATGACCTTGTGGTCAGGGCATCATTTAACATTCTCCTTAAATCAACCCACTGTTTGTTAACATATTTATATTTCTTTATCTGTTTGGACTTTGCCCTAAGCAATAATATCTATA
Source organism: Homo sapiens (assembly GCF_000001405.40). NCBI lineage: Eukaryota > Metazoa > Chordata > Mammalia > Primates > Hominidae > Homo > Homo sapiens. Next base: position 44,383,245 of record NC_000011.10, on the reverse strand, counting down.
AAATTGCAGGTTTGGTGAATGAGTTATTTTCTCCCAAGACCCATTTAAATAGAGGCATCACAATTTTCCTACATTCACCTGTGTGCCACCCAAAATCACCTACCAAATCGCTGGTGATTCATCCCTAACACCTCCATCAGCACTGGTCTGGACCAGTCCCAGCATTCTGGAGACACCAGTCAAATAGAAGTGGACCTTCCAGTTCTTTCCACCAGGTCTGCTTCTGCATGGGCGCTCGCACCAAATAACTATTCATCTGACTCCAGAACTCTGGGGTGGCCAGTCAACCTTAACTGAAGCTTCCTCCAGAGGACTTGGTGGAGGGGGATAACACTGTGCAACACACAGCCAAGAGTATTTGAAATCCTCTTTCTCCACCTCTCCCTCCCCCTAGTCCCACATCCTAGCAGGTGTCAAATCTCTTCCCCAAGTTCACTCCCACGCCACCCTCAAATAAGCCTTAGCTTTTAAAATTAGAGTTTCTGAAATCTCTCAACCACACAGCTGCCCCGGAAAGCTCCACAGCTTCCCTGGGCAGCACATTTCTACCCAGTTATCCATTCGCCCACCTCTGTCAGCCCCTCACATGCCGGGGAGCCCACAGAGAGGGTACCCTGCTTGGAGGATAAGAGAAGAAGGAAAGACATCAAAACTCTTCTTTTTAATTTTCAAATCCTTGTCGTGCAGGAGACAGAGGCCCAGAGGAGGTCGGGGCGGCCCCCAGGTCGCCTGTGAATTGATGGTACAACTGGGACTGGAGCTCTGGTGGCCAGACTCCAAGTCCAGGGCCCTTTCCTGCCCCCTCCGTTTTCCCCAGTGGGGACAGTGAGCCCCATCCCAGGCGTCACAGTGGAGGAGAGCCTGGCTTTCCTCTCCAGGAAATGAAATGACCTCCTTTCTTTCCCCCACCCTAGTCTCTTCCTGAGCCCTGCTCTAAGCCCCCCACCGTAAGAAACAGGATTTACAAGCCAGCTGCTGTAATCCCTTTAAAATGAGGTTTGGGGACTATAGGGACTCGCTGGGCGTTTCATTTTTTCAAAGCAATATTCTTGGCTCAAAAGCTAAGATTTCACCATTCTCAGGGGAAGTCAAGACAAAGGCTGGTCAAGGCGGCCCAGGGGCCCAGGGTCTCCCTTAGGGGTAGAAGATACCCCCTGAGTGTCCCTCAGAGCTCCTGGGGCCGTCTTTGCAGGAATAGGTGTTACTGCTCAGCATCGGTCCAGACATCTCTTTCCTGAGCCTGCGACTTCATTGCATAAATATCACCCCCCCACTAAAAAAAGTTATTTCTTCCACTCTCAAGAAGGAAATTTCAAATACAAAGACCCCCAGGAAAAGCAACACACTTGCTGAAATTAATTCTAAGGTGTTAATAACTGGTAAGTCATCCTTTCCTGCCAGCCAGGCTTGATGGGGGCAAGGGAAGCATGAGACCCAAAAATGATGGAAGTCTGCATATCAGAGATGGGGAGACCTGCTGGGGTGGGAGTACATCAGAGGAAGAAGGGTCAGGACCCCCCAGGCAAATACTGTGTAGTGTTCCCTCTCCAGAGTAGGGAGGGCCTGGAGCGATGCTTCAACTGAGCAGAGCTCTGGCCAGGCCATCCCACTGGACAGTTATTTGAAGGAGCCACATCAGGGTGACCAACTCATCCCAGTTTGACCGGACTTTTCCCTTAGTCCCAAGCAAACAGGGATGGGTGTTCACCCTAAGCCACATCCATCTCCATGCTGGCCTTACCCTCCTGTCCCCGATGGCCCGATGAGGTCTCCTGTCTCACCCACATGCACTGCAAAGCTCATTCAGCAGGTTTGGGGTGAGCCTCAGGGGTCTGTGTTTCTATCAAACACTCCCTCCCTCCACGCCCCCTCCACCACAAATGGACACGTAGGGATTCTTATTACCAGGCACCTGCAGAATCACTGATTTAGGCTGGGCGTGGTGGCTCATGCATGTAATCCCAAGCACTTTGGGAGGCTGGGGCAGGAGGATCACCTGAGCCCAGGAGTTTGAGAGCAGCCTGGGCAATATGGCAAGACCCTGTCTCAAAAAAATAAAAATCAATTTAAGGGAGCCTCAAGGAAAATGTTGAATAAACCCTGCCATTTACTGATCACATGCCGGGCACTGGGCTGAGTGTTATAAGTCTCTGAGCAACCCCGTGAGGCAGGTGCAGTTATCTCTATTTTATAGACGGGAAAACCGAGGCTCAGAGAGGTTAAGTGACCTGCCCAAGGTCACACAGCTAGGAAGTAGTGTTCGATCCCAGGTCTTTCTCATTCTTGAGCCCATGTTCTCAACTTTCAGAAAACAAAGGAAAGCAGGAATCAGCAAACATTTTCTGTAAAAGGCCAGAGCGTAGAGATTCGGCTTTGTGATTCCTCAGGTCTCTGTGGCAACTACTCCACTCTGCAGCAGGAAAGCAGCCATAGGCAATATATAATCGAGTGGGCCTGGCTGTGTTCCAATAAAGCTTTATTTACAGGAATGGGCAGTAGGTGGGAGCTGCTGGCCCCTGGAGTAAAGCACACTCACATGCTTGTTCACACGCTATCATCTCCACCTATACCACCAAAAGACCAAGATCAAGGACACAGATAACTCTAGGTTGTCTGGCAGACCTGCCCAACGTGCCCACAGCTGCTGGCTCCCACCCCTCACCCTCTCTAGCCCCTGTCCCATGGCACTGAAGATTCCCCTCTCCCTTTACCTTGCACAGGTATGTGGGTATGTGGGTCTCTAAAGTGCTCAGACCCAGCCCCTGGGGCAGACCACAGATCTGCCTGTCTTTCTGCTGGGGCCCCTTTACCAGAAGAGCCAGGCTGTCCTCGGGCCACAGATAGGTCTCTCAGCCTCCTGGGAGTACCCCACACTCTGTCCCTAGCACATCCCAAACCCAGAGGGCCCAAATTCTGGGACAACTCAACCCAAAGAGGCAGAAACCCAAGAAAACAGTAAACCCCTCCAAAGCCGCAGTCACTGCCTGCAGGAGAGTCTGTGGTGGCTCGCTGGGCCATCACCATCTCAGAGGTAGAAGGCTGAGCTGCAGAACCTGGCTGCCTCCCTGATCTGTGCCCTGGGTGGCACCTGCTGGTGGCTGATGGCCAAGAAGCTGCAGCATAGCCCATGTGCTTTGGGAAGCCTGGGGTTTTTCACCATCACGGTCACTTGAAACCAAGCACCAGGTAGGGGATGGCTGGGTCTGGGGAGCACCAATGAGCCTGCTTTGTTTGGGGCTTGGGCCTCCTTCCCAGAGGACAGAGCAGGCATGGGAGCTGGCAGCTGGGGCATTCGGCCTTCAGGTGCTGAATCTCAAGCTGGGGAGGACCACAGCTCCTCCTATTTTGTATCAACAGAGCACCCTGTGACCTTCCCATTGGCACTAATGCCAACCCAGTTCTGCTGTTTCCCAGACCCCGTCAGCACAGGAGCCAGACAGAAACGCCTGTCCCACCTGCCAGCCTCCCTCCCCCCACTCCTCTCCTCACCCCTTTGAAGAGCCCTTGCCAAAAGGGCACAGAGCAGACACAGCGTGGACAGAGGTTGGGAGTTGAAGTGGCCAGGACTGCTGGGCGCCAGCTGGCAGACTCCAACCTAAGTCTGTGTGGGAGTGAAGTGTGTGTTTGCTGCCCGTCTGTGTATACAGGTATGTGTGAGCACGTGTGCCTGTGCATGGGGTGTATACATTGTGTGTGGACATCAGCTGGGCATGTCAACTGCCCTATGTCTGTGTGAGGACATATGTCACATATATGGTAGATGGAGGGTGATGCCCGGTATCTGTGTGTTGTTGGCTGCATGTGAGGAAAGGTGCCCAGCATCTGTGTGTTGTGAGGTACACATGGGGAGGGGCGCATGGCACAGTGTGCATATGTCCTTATGTGTGTCTGGATACACAGGGACACCTGGCTGTGCTTGTGTGTGTCTGAGTATGCAGGGACGCCTCGCTGCCTGTGTGTGTCTGGGTATGAGGAACACCCATCAGTGCCTGTGTGTGTCTGGGTACACAGGGACACCTGGCTGTGCTTGTGTGTGTCTGGGTATGCAGGGACACCTCACTGCCTGTGTGTGTCTGGGTATTCAGGGACACCTCTCTGTGCCTGTGTGTGTCTGGGTATGCAGGGACACCTCACTGCCTGTGTGTGTCTGGGTATTCAGGGACACCTCTCTGTGCCTGTGTGTGTCTGGGTACACAGGGACATCTCACTGCCTGTGTGTGTCTGGGTGTGAGGAACACCCACCCGTGCCTGTGTGTGTCTGTGTCTGTGTGATGTGCACCCCTGTGTTCGCCCTGTCAAGGGAAAGTTTGAGCAAACACAAGCTATGGCTTTAAAATGATTGGATTCTGACTCATGACCCATGAGTCCGACATAGCCTGAGGACTTCCTAACTCATTTGTAAAGACCACAGGGGATACCCTTTCAACCACTGGGAGAAGAGGGACAGCAGGATCCCACCAGCCTGCTGGGAGGAAAAGGAGCCCACCTTAGTGAGTACTCACTCCATGTCAGGCACAGTGATAAATAAGCAGCACGCAAATTCACAGGTTGCCCCAGCACTTGAGGACCTCATTTCGTCCGCCAAATGCCCTGTGAGGAGAGTGATGGCATCAGGGCCTCAATCCATGGCCTCTCTGAATCTACTTCCTTTGCAATATGACTTTGCAGCAACTCCCATGCAGAGGTGGCATCTCTTTCACCTCCCCTTGAATCTGGGCTGGGCTGTGACCCTAGATTTGGCCAATAGAATGTAGCAGAAGCGATGTAGTGTCCATTTGAACCCTAGACCTCCAGTGGCCTTGTAGCTCCCACTTGCTGCCTTGAACCTCAGCTGCCCATGAAGGAGCCCAGACCAGCCTGCTAGAGAAAGAGAGCCCTTACTCTGCATGTATAGTGTGCCTGGGGGAATGAACAGCACCTTGTATGTCTGTGCCTGCAGCCCCAGCTGAGCCCCAGCAGACCAGCTCATTGTCAGCTGACCACCAAATTTGTGAGAGATCCCTACCCAGATCAGCTGAGCTCCTACCCAACCCACAGCTGACTACAGATACACGCAGATGAGACAGAACCACAGGCTGAAGTGCTTATCTTTCTCAGCCGCTGAGTTGTGGGTGGGTTGTTACATCAGCGATAGCTTACTGATAGAGGCCAGTGTCATTATTCTCCCCATTTTACAGATGAGGAAATTGAGAATAAGTAAAAACTTCTCCAAGATCCCATGGCTTATGTGTAAACAGAAGTAGGATTCAAACCCACATAGTCTGGTTCCAGGGTTCAGGAGTATCTTCGTCAGTTTGGGCTGCCAGAATAAAATACCATAGACTTGGTGACTTAAAGAACAGGCATTTATTCTCACAGTTCTGGAGGCCAGAAGTCCAAGATTGTGGTCCCATCAGGGTTGATTCCCAGTGAGGCCTCTCTTCCTGGCTTGTGGACAGCTGCCTTCTTGCTGTGCCCTCATATGGCCTTTCCTTGGTGCATGCAAGAAGAAAGAAAGTGGGAGCTCCCTGGTGTCTCTTCTTATAAGGACACCAATCCTGTTGGATTAGGGCCCCATCCACAAAACTTTATTTAACCTGAAGGCCTCATCTCCAAATATTGGAGGCTAAGACTTCAACATATGAACTGGGGAGATACAGCAAAATTTAGTCTGTAAAAATGAGTTAACCTCTATGCCAAGCCACCTTTACAGCCACAGCAGGGTTTTTGAGTAGCAATGAGTGCCTCCATTTGAGACTCAGGCTTGGAAAATTGATCTCTGGGCCCATGTGGCTACAAGGAAGGAGCACAACGAGGTTGGCCCCCAGCCCTGTGCACTCCCAGTGGCCATGCCAGCCTCCTGTGCAGAACTTCCCTTCCCCTTTCTTATCAGCTGTCTCTCAGCTTCTATTTCTCCATGTGCAGGAAAGTTCTTGAGGACTAGAACTGCAACCTCTCCATCTTTGTAGTCTCTGTGCTTGACAGGCCTGGCCCAGAGTAGAGGAGGAGGGATGGAAGGAGGGTAAGCTTTGACCCCAAAGCCTTGGCTTTTCCCTAGGGTTTGTTCTACACTGTCTCCCAGAGTTTCCCAGAAGAGTTAGGCCCCAGTTGCCCACAACGGTAACCTACTCAATAATTTACCCATCCCTGTCTCATTTCCCCCACTCCCATGCTACGTTTCCCGAGATCAACTCCCAGATAAATGACTTGCACTAGACTCCTCCTCTCTGGATCTGATCCTGGGGAAACCTACACTGCAATGGAACCCCTCCAACCTCTCTGGAAATAACACCTTTTCTCTCCTGATGGCCTGGCAGGAGCTGGTCCAGACCCTGATCTCCAGGCTGATTCAGCAGAATCCCAGGGAAGGGGGCCACAGGCACAGCATCTGGAAGGCTCCAGAGAAATTTACCTCTGCTCATCTGCTTGGCCAAGGCTGTAGACCTACAGGCTGGGGATGGCTTCATCTTGAGCCTGGGTTGTTCCTGAGGTTGGGCCATCCCCCGTGTGGTCACACTGGTGGCCAGAGCATGGCCAGGAACAAGCAGGACCCAGCTGATGGGGCCAGAGGTCTCACTTCCTAAGATTTTGCTTTGCATGTTGAGCCACGCCTTCAGAGGATCATAAACAAGACCACATCCAGGGGAGCACCTCTCTTGACTCACTGGGTTCTGCTAGACTACAGAGCCCACAGTTTCTCTCCTTGAGGGCGAAAGGAGAGTCCCAAGGCTCACTTGCTCTTCTCTCCCCTTGGGCTCCCCCAGGGCCTCTCCAACCATCACCCGACAAACAAGGACCTTCTTACCCCCAGGAAAACCCTCCAGGTCAGCAAACTGCTCAAATGTGCTGACCCCAGGCCCACCAATTCTGGGGCTGGGGACATCTCCTCCTTCCGGTGGCTGGATTTCCCAGCCCTGCCAGGGACAACTCTTGGGTTTCTCGTAACTCAATTTCTCAGCCCATGTCCCTTTTTAACATCATAAATTTTAAAATGTTCTTTTATTACAAAGAGTGGGGGAGGGGAGGAATAAGAGGAGGAAATGAAACGAGCAACTATAAACAAAACATAATGGACGGCATAATGAGGCTGCGAGGAAACAGCCTGGCATTGATTTTCACTGACATTTCACCTATTAAATTATGAGCTTCGTAAGGAAGAGCTGGATTTTTTTCTTCTTCTTCTTCAGTCAGTTAAGATCCTTTAATAAAGAACAAAGCAGCTATTGTCTGGGCACCACGTGGGCCCAAGTTCCTTGACAGCCAAATAGTGGTGCTTGATCCTGGAGGTACAAGATACCTGATGGTGAGATCCAGGCCAAGACCTAACCCCGCAAGTCCCTCCTTAGGGGTCTGATGGGCTGCCTGGCTCTGTCTCTAAAGTTAGGGCTGTGGCCCAGGAATGATGGGGGAATCCCTGGGATGGGGCTGCCATGAAAACAGAAAGATCTAGAGCAACTTAACTGTTTTGGGGGAAATTTCGGCTGGTCAGCCAAACTGTGGGGTCTTAAAATATAATCCATAAGTTCTGGTACTGACCCCATCAGGTAGGCAGGAAGATCTCCATTTAACAGATGAGGGCATTGAGTTGCTGAGAGGTGAAGTCACTTGCTTGGGGCCACTCACTGTGTTTAAGTAGCAAAGTCAAGATTCTCGCCAAGTTCTGGTTTCCAAATCCTTTTTCCATCACACTCGCTGCCTCCATCGTCAGGGTCCCAGGCAACAGGGAGCCGGGCAGTGTGAGTGGCTCTCTGGGGGCAGAGCTAGGATGGAGGAGGCAGCCACGGCCTCCCTGTCCCAACAACTGTCCCTACCGGTAGGGCCTGAACCCACCCCTTTCCATACCCAAGGCCCCCTTCTCTCCCTTTCTCATTTCCCTTATAAATCTTGTTTTAGTTCCTTCACTCCCAGAGAGGTGTTAACAGTTATTAACCACTTAAAGTCGAAGCCATTCCAGAGGTATTTATATCTTGAAAAGGATGAAACTCTAAAACTGAGGGCACAGAGCCATGATAAGGCATTTCCAGCATATTGGTAAAGTTGAAAAAAGAAAACCAACCACCATAGATCTCCTATATAGGTCAGTCCGGGAGCGTGAGCCAAGGAGGGTTGAAGATCCCAAAGAGAGCAACCTAAATTACATCTCCTGAACCGTTCTGGTCCATGTACCTCTTGGCATGACTTAAGACACATGACTGAGCGTTGGGACAGGGCAGTGCCACCCAGGCTCAAGATCTCTGAGAGATCTGCTTACCCTGTCCCTAATAAATCACCTCAATGGCAGGTATCTTGTACCTCCAGGCTCCCCCACCCTTCAAGCACCACTATTTGCCTGTCAAGGAACTTGGGCCCATACAGAGCCCAGACAATAGCAGTTTTGCTCTTCATTAAAGAATCTTAATTGTCTAAATAATTGCTCGGTGGGCCAGGACTGTTCAAACGTTTTACCCACCCAAAGACGGTGCCCTCCTACATATAATCCAAGAACCAAAGTTTTGTCACTTCTCCATTACAAGGACCTCACTTGGAATGACGGCATCCAAAAAGATAAGAGCTGCTAGGCATTTGGTGCCTGCCACATGTCAGCCTCCGAGCCAGGCATTCTACTATGCTGTTGCTGTTTATTCTCAACTTACACATGAGGAAACTGAGCCACGAAGAGGTAGAAGAACTGGCCCAAAGTCACAGGGGCAGAGCTAGGATTCATTCTAGTCCTGTATGGTTCCAGAGCCCCACGCTGTTACCCCCAGAACATATGACCTCATCTCTCCAAGGACAGTGAGAGCTCAGATGTTCACTTCTTCGGATGCCATGGGGGCTTAGCTGACTTTGCCCCTTGCCACAAGGGACTGGCTGGGACGATGTGAATCCCCATTGTGGGCACCTGCTATTTCAACAGCCCCCTTTCTTTTCCCCTTGTGGTGACAGCACTCCAATTTTCCTTTGGGAAGCTCCCCAGCTTTTGGTCCAGGTGAAGTAAGCAGAACAGATATCACTCTTCAGCACCAGTGGTGTGGGCACATGACCCAGGCCTGGACAATCAGGAGACTTCACCTTCTGGGACACAATGATTGGTTCAGGAAAGGGCACATGACCCAATTTGGGCCAGTGAAAGTCTGACCTGAAACTTTTGCTGGACTGCCTGAGAAAAAGGCATGCTCTTCCCCCTGGGTTTGCTAATCTGATAGGAAGGAGACCCTGGTGCTGCTGGTGGCCACTGTTGTACTATTTGGGAAGGAAGCAGAGCAGAAAAATGCAGAGCCAAGAGACAGAGAGAGAAATTCCTGGTGGTATAATTAGAGCTTCTGGATCCAACACGCCTGAAGTGAGTTTACTGCCTTTTGCTACATAAACTCCTACAACATAAATTCCTTTACTTTCTTCCTTTATATTGTCCTTCTCTGATTTTGTTAAGTTTATGTCACTTGCAACTGAAGAGTCTTGAGTAATACATGCATTCAGTGGGTCACTCAGGTTGCCCATCTTGTCTGTGGTCAGCCAGGCCATGAAGTGCTCCAGCGATATCTCCCTCCCCACGACCCTTTTACTCCCTTCCAAACAAGCTCGCCTGAAATGGCCCAGCCCGCAGCTTTCTATCCAGGAAGCAGTGATTTAGGACACAGGCAGCTACTCAGAGACCACAGAACAAGGTATAAGTAAGAGACCACAGAACAAGATCTCAAGGTATAAGTAAGAGACCACAGAACAAGGACACAGGCAGCTACAAGAGACCACAAAACAAGGATCTCAGCGTTCAAGAGACTGACTGCCAGTCTCTCAGCTCCCAATCTACCCTTTCCATTACACCAGGTTAGATCAAGGACTGTTTCCTCTTTGCCTCCGCAGATTCTTGCAAAAGGTTTGGCATTTAATCCATGCTCAGTAAACATCAATTCAGCAAACTAAAGTGCCGAGTGAGAAAACTGCTGACATCTGTGGCAGGGACTGCCAGAGTCTCTTAAAATCCATTCTCTCTTTCTTCTGTAATATTAGAACTCCTGATTTTTAGCGAAGTAGCCACCCAAAAAGAAAGACTACATTTCCCAGCCTCCTTTGCAGCTGGCTTTGGCTATGTGACTATGATGTGGCCAATAGGAGGCAAGTAGAGGTGATTTAGCTACATCACTCAGGCCATGCCTTTAATGAAAAGGAGCACACACAACCCCTCCACTTCCCTCTAGCTGGAATGTGGACATGGTGGTGAGCCCCTCTAAACCACGTGAGTGAGGCCAGTTCCCAAGCAGATGGAGCAACAAGATGGAAGGGGACTGGTGCCCCACAGATCTCTCACTGCAGTCCTAGTTTCTTACATCACAACTCTTCTGCTGGAGTTACTAGTGACAAAATCTACACCATCAATAATATATACCACAAGTGTGTATTCCTGGGGGGAAAAAAGGGAGAGGATGTTCTGGGAGGGAACAGTGTGCACTCCTCCAAGGAGCATCTTAACTCCTCTCATTGTTTTGTTCTTATCATGGGTAAGGCACTTTCATCTACCATATCTGCCTATGAGGTGGGAAGGTCAAGTTGGATTAGCCCCATTTTTCCAGATGGGAAACTGAGGCTCAGAGAGGTGGAGCTGCGGCTAGGAAGGGGCAGAGCTGGGGCTCTCACTTCAGGCCTATGTTCTCACCACAACCCAAGCTGAGCTGGGCTGGAAGGAAGCACTGATCTGAGCTGAGGGAGGCTACTGGCCTGCCTTCTACACATCCTTCAAAGCTTCAGGTCTACAGAGAGAAGAGCTTTGGGCTGGCCAGGGCCCATCCCAGGAGGCAGGGCCTGTGGTTCAGACAGCTAGATCATCTTTCTTCCAAGCACCAAAGCCCCTTAACTCTGGGGACTCTCTTCCTGTTCATCTCTGCAGGAATGAAAGAGTTGAGTACATCTCAGAGGTGAGGGAGGCTGAGGCCTGGGCACAGGACCGGAGTTGATTTTAGAAGTCAGGGGCTCAGTAAGGAAGGAGATTAATCTTTGAGCTATCATCTAATCTTCCCCAAGACCTTTCCTCTCCAATACAACTATAATTCCTGTTCTGGTCACCTGGCCTATCCCAAGCCTAGTAGGTCCAGGAAGTGCAGGGACACCAAACCCTGTGGTCTACAGGGCCCTAGGGTGCTGAGGCCATGGCTCTTCTCCCCTTTGGTGCCCACTCACCTTTCTTCTCAAGGTCTCCTGCTGTTGCACATCCACAAAGAAACCTCTGACCAAAGAAACAAGTTTCCAGTATGTCCTTTGGCCTGTAACAGCCCTGAAAAAGTCTCCTGGAACACCAGGGTGGGGCTAGTCCTTAAAAATATTTTTAGAAGAGCAAGCTAACCTCTGAGGAGCTTGGGAGGCATGGAGGGGGCCAGGAGACTGGTAGCACCTTTGGGATCGGGGTCATCGGCCTGAATCAGTTGGACCCCCACATGCTCCTTCCCCTTACCTGGTGTTGCCAGATAAAGTACAAGAAGTTTGAATTACAGCTGAATAACAAGTAAGTTTTTACTATAAGCGTGTCCCACATATTGTGTGAGACATAGTTATCCAGTACCGAAAAATTATTGATTATCTGAAATTCAAATTTAATTGGGCATCCTGTATTTTTATTTGCTAAATCTCACAACCCTACCCTGACCCCCATAGGTAACAGTCAATTCTGAGAGGCCCCACACAGACCACCTCCTGCCAACACCACTCCAGAGGCCAGGGAACATCTCTGCCCTCTGTCCCTGGGGCAACCCTCCATGAGCAAAGCTCCTGGAGCTCATCTCCCGTCCCCCTTTGTCTATCCATGCAAGGATTATCAATAATTCACTCAGTCCCAGGACATGGGCATTTATTATCCCCCTTGTATTTGTCTGTTTTCATGCTGCTATTAAAAATACCCAAGACTGGGTAATTTATAAAGAAAAGAGGTTTAATTGACTCACAGTTCCACATGGCTTGGGAGGCCTCAGGAAACTTACAGTCATGGCAGAAGGCACCTCTTCACAGGGAAGCAGGAGAAAGAATGAGTGGTGAGCGAAGGGGGAAGTCCCTTACAAAACCATCAGATCTTGTGAGAACTCACTCAGTATTATGAGAACAGCCTGGGGAGACCACCCCTATGATGTAATCACCTCCCACCAGGTCCCTCCCCCAACATGTGGGAATTACAATTCAGATTACAATTCAAGATGAGATTTGGGTGGGGACACAGAGCTGGGCCATATCACCCCTTTTATAGATGAGAAAACTGAGGGTCTACAAAGTTAACTAAGTTGTCCCAATTACAAAGGAAAAGGCAGAGTCAGAATCCTCTCAGGGACACTGAGCCCAGACCTGCCCATTACATCACGGCTGCCTGAGATCATGGCTAAGACCTTGGCCACACCCACCCTAACCCCATCATAATCATCATAGACACTTCAGCCCCAACAAGAGACTCCCAGTGTCCTCTGCAGGCCTGTGGCATGATGGGAAGCACACTGGACCATGGCTAAGGACACTGGGCTGAAGCAGACTTTGCCTCTTAGCACTAGGGTGATACTGAACCAGTCACTTCCTAAGGTGGGCAGCTGTGGTTCATTCTGCAGGATCCATGTCTATTAGGGCATCTGCCACTCCATCCCACAGCTCCTAGGGAACAATCTCAGTGCCCTGCTTGTCCCCTGATGACAGAGGTAGGCACACAATCCATGCCTACAAATTGTGGAACCCCACCCCACCCCACCCCCATCCATAGTAAATGGACTACGAATTGGAGATGCAACCCAGGCAGGGAAGGTCAGTGTGCTTTCACGCCTTTGCTATATGGATGCTGGAAGAGATAGAGTGTCTCCTCCTTAGGATCCCAAGATGGCAGCACCACGTATGTCTTAGGCTTCCAGTGGGTGTCTTTCCCACTGTGGAGAAAGAAAGACTGCCTGAAAGAAAGCCACAGAGAAAAGCAGAGTCAGAGGTAGAGAGAGACAAAGACACAGAACCGCTGGATCTAGCCATGCCTGAAGCCATTGACACTTGGAATTCTCAATTACAGGAGCCAATATATTTTCCTTTTTGCTTAAGCCAGTTTTCATTAGGTTTCTGCCACTTGCAACCAAGAGGGAATACCTCCCTGCTCTCAGCCAAACAAGGGGTCTGGACTCTGGTATGGCCCAAGTTCTCTCCTTCCTAGCAGCTGCCACCTCCTCATCCCCTGCAGAAGAATCTCCAACGATTGACTGTCTGAGCCTTCTGAGCCTCCAATCCTCCAGGCTCCCTTCCAGCTCAGACCTCAGACTGCATAGCTCTTGTACAGAGTCCCAGCCTCCCAGATTTCTAGACTCCTTCCCATGCACCTCCTGGTCATGGCGATGATGGGGCAAGGTAAGCAGGGCAATGGCTGTGTGGGTTTCTGTCAAGCCCAGGCCTTAGAAAATCTAAACCAGGGGCAAGATATTCCTCCAACTGCTTTAAGGGACACTTTCTTTTAAATAGACTTGTGAAACCTTCGTTTTCAAAATACCAGCACGTCATTTAATTTTTTACTTCTCCAAATGTGAATATTGTCAAAAGATGGGCTTTTTAGTTCATTGTTTTAGTTCAGCTGCTTCTTTTCCCCAGCATGGAGTTATTCTGAAAGCCAAGTGTTGAGGTAGATTGGGGGATGGGGGATGAAGGCGAAGAAGAGAGGTGCTCCAGGAAGAAAGGGGGAGCAGGCCCACAGGCCCACTTGATACAGTAATCAGGGGCATAGCCACATGGAAATGCTTTCATCAGCCAGAACTCAGCTCCTGCCATGCCAGACACAGTGGTTGCCTGCCTGGCAGCCTTTTCTCCTCCTCCTTCCTGGCAGGGCCCCATTTTTTGGGGGGGAATATCTACCTCCTCTCCCCTACCAGTCAAAGGATGGTCCCATTGCCAGTTCCAAGGGTGTCTCCCTTACTAAGCCAACCACCGTAGGTCCCATTCCCCTGTCTGGGACTGGTTTAGACATGGGTCTGTGATATAATTCTGTCCAAGAAGATTAATGAGAAACCTGCTGGGGCTCTCAGGAAGAGTTTCTTCATTGATTTACAAAAGGCATGATATACAGGGAAGAGACCCCCCTCTTATTCACTGGCCAGCGTCATGTCTGCCTATGGTGCCTGGAACTGCTATGGTCACTTGGCCACCATGAGGGGGACTCATCTGCACGAGAACCTGACCCTCAGAGCATGCACAACTCACACATTCCACTGCAAGCACCACCCTACCCCAGGGCCTTTGCACCTGCAATTCCCTCTGCCAAGAACACTTTCCCTCAGCTCTCACCTGGCTCACCCCTTCACTTCATTAAGGTCTCTGCTCAAATATCAGCTCCTCAGATAGACTCCTCTGACTTCTCTCCCCTCTGCCATTCTATTCTCTTGCTTTGTTATTCATAGCTTTTAATTGACATTGTGTTATATATTTAAATTACATACACATGCATTGTGTATAATATACACATACACTGTGTCTATATAATATATCATAAACACTTATATATGAGTACATATTAAACAGACTGAGTATCCCCTATCTGAAATAGTTGAGACCAGAGGTGTTGCAGATTTCAGGGTTTTTTGTTTTTTTTTTTTTTTTTCAGATTTTGGAATATTCACATTACATAATGAGATATCTGAAGGATGGGACCCAAGTCTAAAGACAAAATTTATTTATGATTTATGTGCACCTCATGTACACAGCCTGAATGTAATTTCATTTTTGCTTTGGGGACCCAGAATAAACCGTGTTCTGCACCTGCGTTTTCACTGTGACCCATCAAGTGAGACTGTGTGTAAAATTTACCGTTTGTGGCATCATGTTGGCGCTCAAAAAGTTTCAGAATTTGAAGCATTTTGGATTTTCATATTAGGCATTCTCGCCCTATGTATCATGTATATATGCCATACATATAATATACATGATATATATACAGCGTGTGTGTATGCGTCTATTTAATCATCTTTCACACAATAATGTAAGCGCCACCAAGGCAAGGACTTGGTTTTTTTCCCCACTGTAACCCCAGAGCCTAAGAGCATGCTTGGTACAGAGAAAGGTGCCTAGCAATATCTGATGGAAGGGAGGCAGAAAGGCAGGAGGCCTGTGTACTTGAGGACAGCATGAAGCCTCTAAATTAGGCAGTCCTCAGGACTTCTTGTTTCTGGTGATAATACATATTCCTTATTAAATAAGTTTAAGCAGGTCAGTGTGGGGTTTTGGTCTCTAGCCACCGAAAACTCCCTATTTTGTGTATCTGTGCCATTCCCTGTGCCTCGGATGCCCTTCCCTGACAAGTCTCCCTGCTGTTCCCCTCTCCATCCAAGCTTGGCTGCAATTCTGCTCCCTCTCCAGGGTGCTTGAGAACGAAGGTTTTGCATCAGCAAAATCAGGGTCAAATCCCAGTTCTGCCATTCGCCAGGTGACAGGGACCTTTGGCAAGTTCCTTAGTTCCTCTGAGCTTTAGTCCCCTAGACTGTAAGATGGGAATTGCAGTGAAAGTGCCCACCTTGTGATATGCATTCAGCAAGATAATAGAAGGGTTTCAGAGACAGGAGGAGTTGGGTAACAGGCCTGGCTTTGTCACTTTCAGACAATCTGTCTGCATCCAAGCTCCTCCTCCGTCATATGGAGACAACAATTGGTGCTGACTTAAATGAATTAATGAGATGACATGTATGAATTGCTTAGTACAGTGCTGAATAAGATATTAGGTGTGTGGGCCTGATGCAGTGGCTCATGCCTGTAATCCCAACACTCTGGGAGGCTGAAGCAGGCAGATCATTTGAGCCCAGGAGTTTGGGACCAGCCTGGGCAATATAGGGTAACCCCCATCTCTACAAAAAAAATTTTTTTAATTAGCCAGGCATGGTGGCATGTGCCTCTAGTCCCAGCTACCAGAGAGCTGAGGTGGGAGGATTACCTGAGCTGGGAATATGAGGCTACAGTGACCGTGATCACGCCACTGCACTCCAGCCTAGGCAACAGAGAAACTCTGTCTCAAAAAAACAAAAAAAAAAAAGATATTAGGTGTGTGTAGGTATACCCATAAACATTCCCTTTCAAGGATGCAGGGGCCTCAAGACCCAGCCTCTGTACTGAAGAGGCCACAGGGGATGGGGCTAAAGAGACAGGAAAGACCCAGTTTCTGTGGGGCAGGCAAAGGTGTCTGGGTATGCTTGAACAGGTTGACTTCTGACTCTCCCCAGGCAGGGTCAGCCTCTTCCACCCTGGAAGCAGTTTGCACTGGGCCAGTGTCTTACCTAGGTGGGAGGCCCACAAGCCCCCGTGGCACTGACCTTGTGAATTTCAGTCCCAGGTCAGTCCCCTCCACTGCTCACCGGAAGCAGCAGAGGCCACTCGCTCATCTCTCCGCTAGGCTGTTTTTAAACTGAAGCCATTAGGCTTGCTAATCGCCTGTAATCACCTTGTTTGAATTAGCATGGCAAGTGCTTCCGACTAAACGGTCTGTTATTCCAAATAACCCTCATTGGTTTTAATTATGTACCCTGGAATGCACGGCCTCCCAGCCCTCTGCTTTATTAGGGAGGGGTCCTGTAAACCACAGGATGGGGCGTGGTTCCTGACCTCCCCTCTACAGGCCCCATAATAAGGAGAAGCAGGAGAAGGTCTTTTGCCCGTCCAGACCCTCCCTTAGGTCTATTTTTAAACCCAACACAGGATGGAAGAGATGACCCCAGTGCCCCTCTGCTGCCCCCATTCTTGGGTTCCATCTGCTTCCAGCAACCAACAGAGCTGTGGCCCAGAGACTGGCAGAAAGCCCCCAGTCCCTTTCTGTTTGACTTTGGAATATGCCATCCCATTCTTTTGATCCAGACTGGATTTCCTCATTCTGTTTGGCTTTGGAATATGCTATCCCATTCTTTTGATCCAGACTGGATTTCCTCATTCTGTTTGGCTTATCCAGTTATTATTTTTAACATCACCCGAATTTACAGTTGAAGAAACAGACGTAGAGAGGTGGTGGCTAGCTCCAGGGCATGTCAGAGAGCAGAGTTTCTCGAACTCAATGTGCACACCAAGCCTGGGGATCTTGGCAAAATGCAGATTTAGATTCGCTGGGGCTGGGGTGGAGCCTGGGAGTCCTTGTTTCTAACCAGCTCCCAGGTCTGAGGACTGACCACACTTTGAGTAACAGGTTGCTATGGCACTGGCTGCAGGGAAGGAGGCTAACATGATCACCTCCTCCCCTGGCCAGGCGCCGTGCTAGGCTCTTTACAATTCTTATTCCTGTTTCATACCTGGCCAATACCACACACCATCCTGGAAGTAGGAATATTTATCCCCACTCCCTTACCTGAGAGGTGCACGGGGAGGTTTTCAGACTCAGCCAGTGACAGGGGAAGGTCGGGAGCTCATGGCTCACCCAGCAGCCCCTGAGGTTGGGAGTGTGGGCATGGATGGGGTAGGGGACAAGGAAGAAAGCCCCGTTTCCTAAGAGACGCCGGCTGCTGAGGGCAGACCTGAACCCAGAATCCAGAGCTTTCCTGGCCTCCCGACCCTATGTCCTATGCCCCATCCACACTGTGAATTCTTGGCCGAGGTCCCTGTTTTACCCAGGGCTCAGCCCTGAAGAAGCAGGTACGGGAAGAAGAAAGCATTTATTTATTTATTTATTAAACAGATATGTCTTGAGCCCAGGGCCTGGCACACGGGAGGCCTTCAGCAAATGCTTGTTGATTAAAGAAAGGAGTAGGGAAGCTCCTCCTATGTCCAGGATCCATGGAAGATGCTGGAAATGCAATGGTGAGCGAAGCAGACACTGTGCCTACCCCCGTGGGGTCTATAGTCTGGGGAAAGTTGAGCAGAGTACAGGGGCTTGAACTGAGGGCAGACTCTGTCCAGGCTCTGGGACCTTGCCTTACAGGCCTTATCCCATTAAATCCTCATAACCACCAAGTAAAGTGGATGTTGGTCCTTATAATGAAAAATACTGAGAGTCAGAGACGGTGAGTCACTTGCTCAAGATCACACAGGTGCTGGTTAAATGACAGAGCCAGAGTTTGCAGCTGGGCTCTGAATCCACAGCCTACCCCTCGATGCAGCCATCAGAACCAGGCTGGGGATGGGGGAAAGAATTCCAAAGTCTTCCAGGTGGAGCCGCCACAAAGGAATGGTTTTATTTAATGGCATGGGAGTGGGAGGGAGGGGGCGTTTTCCCTGTCCCCACCCTGACACCACGGTGAACCTTGAACTGCTAAATTGAGTGAGATGGAGCAGGGCAAAAGGTGAAGGGAGCCTGCTTGCAGCCCACGGGGCTGGGGAAATGAGCTAATTAGGACCTTTCAGCGGTGCCGGCCCACAGCTGGGCAGCCCAGCTGGTTCTGGGTGGACAGAGTCCTCCCTGGCCCTGAGTTCAGAGGGTGAGCCCTGCCTTACAAGCAGGATGGTTTCATCCCTGCTTGTCTGCTCCACTAAGCCCTCAGGTGCCACAGCCAGGAAAAGGAGCCAGACCCATACAACCCTGTGGAGAGACAGCTCACTGTTACCTTGGGGATGGTGGCTTCCAGGCCGTGTCTGGCAGGGAGACTTATGTCTTCCAACTTCCTGGTTTTATTTTGGCCTTGGCCTTGTGGTGTCCATGAATTCACTGGCCTGGACTGTGAGTGCCAGGACTCAGGAATGAGTCTGCCCAGTTCACCACTGACTCCCCAGTACTCAGCACCCAGCACCCAGGATAGGGCCTGGTACCACACTGGTGCTCCATAAATATTTTTTGAATGAATTAAGAAAGAAACCAGCTGTGTAAATTACAAAGGTGTATACTGGCCTTTTCTGGCCAGTGTGGGAGTGATTTGGGCTTGATTTTATTTTGCTTTGACAGGATTCATTCAAGTCACACTTGCTGATCACTAACTCTGTACTGGGCACTGGGAATTCGGAGCTTCAGTGAGCTGCCAGGGAGCTGAGTCCAATGAACAAGATTCATAATTATTTCTAGATATCTAAGTCTATGATACAGCCTGTGCTCACAATTATTTTTAGATATCTAAGCCTGTAATAGTCAAAAAAAATGTTTCTCAGAGGAGGTGGCATTGGAGCACATCCTGAAAGGAGGAGCGAGGGTAATTGAGTGGGGAAGAGGGGTTGGCCACCAAATGCCAAGTCATCTGCAGGAGTGGGAACATAGGATTCTGTACGTTGCAGTCATGAGAAGCCATCCCTGCATGGCTCAAACATTCATAAGTTGAGCATAAAATCCCTGCCCCACGGCCTCTGTTGCCAATCCTAGATACAGGGCTCTCAGGGAGGCAAGGAGAGCTCTAATCTAATTCAGAAGAGGGACCCAGGGGAAATGGAAGCTAAAGTTTATTGAGTACCTAGGCAGGCCCTGGATAAGTAGTGGGAGTGAAAACAGACAAGGTCTTGGCTCTCTGGGAGTTTCTAATGGGGAAGAGTGATGTCAAACACTCACACAAGACACAATAGACATAAACAGGGTGGGAGCTGTGAGGACAAGACACAAACTATATCACAGTGGAGCTCACTCAATCGGCAAAGTGGGTGTAAAGAGCAGGAAAGATTTGTAGAATAGCTGATGCCTAAGCTTTTCACATTTACTTCCTTGTCAAGCACTCAGCATAGTGCCTAGCCTAGTAAAGCTCAACGAATGGTAGCAAATACAATGTTACTATGAATTCACTTCATCTAAACCATCACGCTGCAAGGAAGGTACCAAGATGATCCCCATTTTACAGATGAGGAAACTAAAGACCAGAGGTGCCAAGTCACTTGCCCAGGGTTCCAATGTGGCTGTGGGAAGAAGCTGGGATTTGAACCCAGGCAGGTCTGGCCAGCTCTTCACAACCCACACTGCCTCCTGTTTCCCCAAACCTAATTTGGGAAGATGGGGGTGGGAGTCTTCAGTCTCCCTTATGGAAAACTGAATCCATTTATCAACAAATCCCTCAATTCTTTAAACAAAGTAATGCATGAGAAAGCATCTGGCACAGGCCAAGCTCATGGTGCCCAACAAATTCCACTGTCAAAACTCTCAGGACCAGAGCGGCCTTAAAGAGAAAGTGACTCAATAAAGATTAATCTGGTCATCTCTTGAAACACTTTTTATTTTTCTAAGGGAGTTTCTATTAAACAGACGGATAAGAACACAGGTTAAAGTCAAAATATGTGTTCATAGTCGTTTTAATCATTACTGCTATTGTTTGCAAACCCATGTAAGTCTCTGTGTGATAAAGACCTGGGGACACAGACATGGAGAAGAGTCAGGTTCTCAAGGAAGTCACACCCTCAGCTAAGGAGACAAAACAGAAACGTCTGGATGGCTGGAAAGTTAAGTAATAATATCAAGCAAGAAGGGACAATTTGATCAAAAGACATCACTCCCTTAATTGTAAAGGGACTGGTTCAGACCAGTGAATTTAAGGCTGTAGCCATCATGGCGGGGCAGAGGGTAGAGAAAGGTTTCCCATGGAAGGAGGAACATTGCTAGGTCTTGAAACATGGGGAAAATCTGATTAGACAGGGATGGGGGCTGGGTTGGAGCAACCATCCTGTTGGTTTCCGTCGTTCTTGAAATAAATATCTTTGGCATGTAGAGCAGCCCGCATCGGCTCTCTGAAGAACAAGACAGCATTTTATTAAGGAAAAAAAAATCCAATTTGGGGTCAGTGGACAGAAGAGAAGAGAAGGGTAGGAAGAGAACACACTCTGTCATCCCTAGTGAAGGCTGAAACTGCTTGCCCACGCAGAAAATGACATGTCCGGACACTGGAGAAAGTGGCCCCACCAGCAGGAAGCATGAGTGGCCCCTTGCCTGACCATGGGAAGATTTTTCAATTTTCCTAATGTTCTCCAGGAGGCCTGGTCTTACAGAGAAGAAATGCCAAAACTGGCCAAGAAAATAGAAAGTAGGAGTTTTCTGCTTAGAACAGCTCGAAAAACCTAGAAGTGGAGGAGTGGTGCGGCTCCTCGTGGGACGTGTTGATCACGCTCTGTCTTGTAGGAATGGCTCAGAGTGTGGCGGTGATCGTGGCTGGAGCCCCCTGCCTTCTGTGGCCCACCCCATCCCCCAACCCCCAGGTCCAGGTCGCCAGGTCCCCCACTTCAAGGTCGTTAGCTCAAGCTCTTGTCTCAACCTCCCGCATCAGGTGAGAAGCTAGCCAGGTTGAAAGAGCCCTGCCTGGCAGGCTCCCCTGCCGCTCTGAGACCCACCGCTGACGTGGGACAGGGAGCTGAGAGCTGGCCATCTGCCCTGCCTGTCCCATCTCTGTAGCAATCAGCCCCAACAAGGCAGCGAGCCGGCCGACAGGGCGGCATTTAAGTCAAACTCTCGCATATCAGTTTTGATTTCAACTGGAATCGCCTCCCTCGGCTGGATTTCAAAAGGCAGCGTTACTAATGAGAAACACACAAGTTCTTGAAATGAAGTTAACGTCTTTTAAAAAAGAAGGGGCGGGGGTTGCTTTTCTTTGCTTTGGCTCTGTTGATATATATTAGAACCACATTGTCCAAGGGCAAAAAAAAAAAACAAAAAAAAAAACAGACGTTCTGCTTCTGAACAGAAGTACTACGGGAGTCCTTGTACTTTGGAAGATGCAGAGAGGCTGGTGTCCTGGCCTGTCGTATCTCTCGACTTGGAGAGAATTTTTGTTTGTGTTTTTGTTTTTTTAGGGTGCTGGGAATTTGCAACTTCAATTTAAAACAGGAAAAAGGAGAGGAGGATATAGAGTATCTAAAGTGGGCAAAAATGAACGCCAATGAACAGTTAGTATTTTTTTTTAAGAGCTTGTTTGTTTTGGAGAGAAGTGGGACATAGAGACCCAAGGACGGGCTTAGGTTTATAGTCTGCTCCATCCCCTTCCACTTCCCAGCTCTGTGTGCCTGAGCAAGTCGCTTCGCCCTACATGACTCTGTCGCCTCTGTTTTTCTGCTGAGAAAACCATGAAACACCTCCCCACTACGGGGCCGCTGGGAGGACTGGAGGTTCCCATGAAGATGTGCCAAGTGTGCGTGACACTCAGTCCCTGCTCAGAAAATGGCACTTGGATTGGGGCATCCTTGCCATCTGGGAGCTGTTAGATCCAGAGAGCTCTGCAGGGCCTGGTTCTTTCAGGACACTTCTTTCTGGTGTTCCCTGAAGCCCACTAGAGATGTGTTCGCTCCTATAAGAATGTTCTCATTTCAGAGCTGACAGGAGGAAAGGACAGGGGCACTTCATGCTCTGCTCCATCATAACCGGAGCTGGACAAGATTTGAGAGGGAGAGGGATCTCTTGCCTCTTGAGAAGCCTGAAGCAGGGAGGCTATCCCTGAATATTCCAGAGGTGGTTCCTCCCAGGGCCTCTGCCTGTGGCTACCCCCTGTCCATCCACTAACTGCCTCATCCTCAGGTTTCTTCCAGAAAGGACCATGGACCCCTGGAACACTCTCCAGGTCTTGCTTGGGCAGTACCTTTCCTCTCCAGGCTTTGGTTTACCCATCTGTGCCAAAAGGCGATTGGATAAGGTCACTCCCGAAGCTCCCTTTCAGAGCTGATGGTTCACCAGTCTGTGAAGGGCTGAGACTCCCTCCAGCCTGGGAAAGGCTTTCAAATGCCCAAGATGGGGATTTTCCGAGGCTGGACATCCCCATTCAAGGCCCTGCAGCCTTTAGCATCTTCAACAACTTTCCAAACCCCTAGAAACACTGATGTAGGCAGGAGATGGGTGACTTGGTCCCCATCCTGGTGGGGATGAAAGATGCATTTGCCTGCATAGCCAACCATCGCTTCACTCCTGAGGAAAACCAAGCTTCCCAAGGGATGATGTATGTTCCATGTATCCCAAAACACACGGCAGGGGCCCCATTCCCCTTTGGAGGGATGAAAGTCAATCATGATGGAATCCGGCTTGGAAGAGGAAACAGGGGTCCCAGCATGATCAGGGCCTGTTCTTGGATCCACATGTCTTTGATCTATTCCCTTAGCTTCCCTGCAGCCTTAGTTCTAAGAAATAAGACCTTTGCCTTTTGCAAAAGCTTCCTGAGGACAAATCACCATTGTGCTTCATCCCTGTCCTCTGCCTCTCCATGCTCCAGGCTAGGGCTCTCTCCCGAGGTATCTGGGCCTTTTGGGGTTTTCCTGGCATCTAGAAGGAAGTAGTGAGGGACATCAAAAATTACATAGGATTTCCTCCCCTAGGAGCAAAAATCTGGTTCCAACCCTGATTCTTTCTCAGCCAAGTAGCTTCAGGCCTTAACCTTTCTGAGCCTCAGTTTCCCCAGCTGTGAAGTGGGGATGCCTACCTGACAGGGCTGTGGTGGGGACAGGCTCTGTGCTTAGCTT
Organism: Homo sapiens; assembly: GCF_000001405.40. Lineage (NCBI taxonomy): Eukaryota > Metazoa > Chordata > Mammalia > Primates > Hominidae > Homo > Homo sapiens. The sequence goes on along the minus strand of NC_000011.10, from coordinate 44,359,995 downwards.
TCTCTGATTAGAAGGGGCCCTTATTCCGACGCCTGTCAGATATTGTGCACTCTTTGCAAGTCTAGAAATTGTCTAGTGGCAAAGTCAGGAGGCAAGTGAGGAGTTGCCCCCAGAAACCCATCCGAGCCTTCCCACCTTGGCAGTTCCTCCATTTCAGAGGCTGGGCGCAGCATGTGCCATCTCTGAGTCAAGCTGGAATCCTGTGCCCAAATGCAGCCTGGAGGAAGCAGGAGGGAGGGGGCGAGATCTCTGCAAAGCACGGACAGGGCAGCCCAGCCCGTCAAGAGTTTCTGGCCCCAGGACATCACAGTTGCCCCATCCCAGGTGTCTCTTCAGAGTTGGGGGGTTTCTGGGGTTCAGCAGCCCCAAAGAGAGTGAAGTCAGCTGGGGCCGACAAAGTGCCTTCTCAGCAGGCCTGGCCCCTCTGCATCTGGGGGACTTGTTTTCAGCCAAAGCCAGACCCTGACCCAACAAGCCCCAAACCCTTTCAGTCACCTTGAACGAGGAATGTTTTTTTCATTAACATCCTACTCCTCTGCTCCCCTTCTCCGCCCCCCAAAGAGGCCCCCAAGCTTGAGCTTCCTCTCCCTGTCTCTGCAACCTCCTAATATCCCCAGGCAGCTGGAAGGCGAAGGCAGTGATCTCAGCTGACAGCCATGTGCGCAGCCCCCGCCGCCCACCCCGACCCCTCAGCTAGCAAGCTGTTTTCCTTCCCTTTGCCCACGATGGAGAGAGCTCCGCGCCCAGGACTTCTCCCTTGTGAGGTCTCCGGGAGCTTCCAGCCCAGAGACAAGGCCCGACTCAAAAAAAGGTAACAACTCTTTTACTTGCCAGATGTGCTCTAGGACACTGTCTCCTTTAATCATCCTTGTCCCTATTTGACAGATGAGAAAACTGAGGCATCTTGTTGGGACTCTTCTCCCTGAATGCAGCCCTTTCCCAGTGGAGGCGGGGCTGGCAGTGGGCTCTCTGAGCAGGCCCTTGGCTACTCCTACGGGGTCCAGGTGCCTTCGCTGCACTGCACGCAGGCCCCTCTCCCCAGCTCTTCCGAGGCTGTGCTGATCCAGCACTTCACCCGCCTCTGCTCACCACCTGTGTCTTCCCCATTCTTTCCTTTAAAAACGCTGACTGTAGTTGACAAGAGAAACTTTACTCTGGAGGAAACTGATAGGCCTGCAGCCTAAGGAGTCATAAGAGGAGCACATTTTACATTAAAAAGTAAAAAGAAAGATGGAGATACTTTGGCTTTAGAGTCATTTATACCTTGGTTCAAATTCCAGCTCTACCACTTACCGGCTGTGCAACCCTCAATAAGTCACCCCTCTGAATGCTGATTTCCTCTCCTGTGAAGCAGGAATATTAGAAAAAGTATCTACATCCAAGGTTTGGGGGAGAGTTAATGGAGAATCGTAAGTGCTCAGGAATTGTCAGCTATGATGATGAAGGAGAAGGAAAAGGATGGAGACGAAGAGCAGGAAGTTTTTAAGGCTCTTGATACTTGTTGCAATGTGCAATCGACTACACTAAGTTGCCCCAAATTGCCTTCCCACCAATAGGAATGAGAGAAGTAGCAAGGCATGATGGCTACACTAGCCCCTAGCCACACATAGCTATTTACATTACAATTAAATAAAATTGTAAATTCAGTTTCTCAGTTGTACTAGCCACATCTCAAGTGCTCACCAGCCACGTGTGGCTGGTGGCTTCACTATTGGACAGCATAGCTAAGTCCTAAAGCTCCGGACAAGAGCCTGGGTTCCAGAGACAGGCTGCCTACATTCAGATCTTGCTTTGCCACTTTCTAGCCATGTGACTCTGGGCAAATTAGTTTCCACCTGCCCCAGTTTCTCCATCTGCAAAATGGGGATAATAGTAGTAATACATACCTCCTAGAGTTGTTATAAAGATTAAATGAACTAATATTTGTAAAGCATTCACACAGCACTTTGCATATCATAAGAACTATTAAATAAATGAAAACAGCTTATAAATTATGGAAGTTGGCATTCCATGTCCCCGTGTATAAATGTCAGGAAAGGTCACCCCTCCCCACCACACACACCTCAGTACCTATCGTATTCCAGATTCCATACCAAGTGAGTCACCATGTGTAATAGCTTCTTTAATTTTAATGCTTGTACATCATTTAAATGAAAAATTGACTCAAGGAAAAGAACAGAGAAATGTATCAGAAGCCAGAGACCTGAAAAATACGGCAACTGAACATTAGATCTTACCCAGAGCTTCCTGGTGGCCAAGGTAAAAAAGGGAAAACATGGCAGATGGTTTTATTCTTGTCTGATGATCAAATCAGCTCCTGTGCTTTCTGTTACCCACAATCTGATCAAAAAAGGAAATCTTGAGATATAGGTACATCGATGTAGATTTTTTTTAGTCTATGATTAGCCCTCTATTCAGGGAAATTCCTAAGTTTCTAAACTCCTAAACACTTGTTGCAAATTGCAATCAACTACATGAAGTTGCCCCAAATTGCCTTCCTGCTATTAGGAATGGAGAGAAAAGTAGCAGAACATGGTGATTAGAGCTACACCACCCAAGACAGTATAGCTAGACCTGGGCCCAGCCACTCCCTGCAGGGTCTCTTTAACTGAAAGATGCAAATCTCACTGGCGTGAGGTTCTGTATCCCCATATCCTCTGCCCTAAAGAGTGTTGGTCTGTTCTAATGCCTCAAAGAGTCCCAGTAACTTCTGAAGTATTTCCATCTGACCCTGACCCTAATCTCCCAAGCAACTCCCCACCCTTTATTTTTTTAAGACAAGAGTCTTGCTCTGTCACTCAGGCTGGAGTGCAATGGTGTGATCTCCACTCACTGCAACCTCTGCCTCCCAAGTTCAAGCAATTCTTTTGCCTCAGCCTCCTGAGTAGCTGGGACTGCAGGCACATGCCAGCAAGCCTGGCTAATTTTTTTTTTTTTTTTAAGTAGAGACAGGAGTTTCACCACATTGGCCAGCCTAGTTTTGAACTCCTGACCTCAGGTGATCCGCCCACCTTGCCCTCCCAAAGTGCTAGGATTATAGGAATGAGCCACCACACCCGGCCCCAGCCAAGCCTCTCTTTGATGAAACAAGTGCTGTGTACCTCAGCCACATCATAACCAGGCACACATCTGTTCCTAGCACAAAAATCACCATAGAGGCTCATAGAATTTCTTTGTCATGGGATCCCACAGTATGGCCCACTTCATAGCCAGAAAAAAAAAGGGTGGCCAATGCTCAAGTGTCTTACCTCAGCACAGAGCAAGTCAGTTGCTCAGCCAGTGGGAGAAGGCAGGGATGCTCAGGGCAGCGTCTCTGAGGTCCAGAGATAGGAGGCAACCCTGGGCCTTGCTCATGCTTAATCTGCCTTCTGCCTGGGAATGGGCATCAGGCTGAGGGCAAGGCGGGGGAACAGAGCCCTGGTAGACTCAGGATGTGGCTGCTAATGAGATTAGCCTCCAGCTAATGCCATCCCACCCGGCTCCACGGGGACATCTGCCAGTCTGCCTGTCTCACCAAAACAGCGTCTTCTCCCCAATGGTCCACACTCCCCAGGCTGGCAGCCCTAATGGACTGGGAACAGGAATGGCATCTGGGTGCATGTGACATGGCAAAGTCAGGGTTGAAGAGACCCTGAGGGAGGGGTTGGGCACAGGAGCAGCCAAGGTGCCATTATAACACAGAAGGCGTGCAGATCACTCTGCCCTGGCCAGACATCCGCGCTGGCCAGTGAGCTTCCCTCCTGGCCCCAGTTTTCCTCCCTGGGGCCCATCCCAATCGCTACAGCTGATCTCTGCTGTTACTTAGAGCCAGCAGGAGGAGGCACTATCCTAGAGACAGGCCCATTTGAAAAGGGAACTCTTGAAGTTCAAAGACCCTTCAAGGCCCAAAGCAAGGAAATAATAATGATGGCCAAGGGAGTTGATTTGGCTCAATGCCCCTATTATAGGCTGAATCGTATCTCCCCTAGTCCCCCTGCCACAACTCACATGTTGAAGTCCTGATATCCAGTTCACAGAATGTGACTGCATTTGGCGATAGGTCTTTAAAGAGGTAATTACGGGAACATGAGGTTATATGGGTGGGACCTAAACCAATGTGACCGGTGTCCTTCCAAGTAGAGATTGGGAGCCAGACACACACAGAGAAGGCCACATAAGGACACAATGAGAAGGTGGCATCTACGAGGGGAGAGGTCTCAGAAGAAACCAACCCTGCTGACACCCTGATCTCAGATGTCCAGGCTCCAGAAATGTGAGAAGATAAATCTGTGTTGTTTCAGCCCCCAGTCTGTGGGACTTTGCTATGGCAGCCCAATTAGTAATCTAGGCCCTGATTAGTCTCCCAATAAATTGAACAACATACCCCAAACAAGGCTACCAAGTAAATCTTATCACTCAAGTAGAAGAGAAAGAGAATGAGTGAGTGCTGAAGGCCTACTATGTGCCAGGCACATACACGTTACTTTGCTGGCCGGGTGCGGTGGTTCATGCCTGTAATCCAAGCACTTTGGGAGGCCAAGGCAGGTGGATGGCTTGAGCCCAGGAGTTTGAGACCAGCCTAGACAATGTAGGGAGACCTCATCTCTACAAAAAAAAAAAAATATATTAGTTGGGAATGGTGGTACATGCCTGTAGTCCCAGCTGCCCAGGAGGCTGAGGTGGGAGGATCACCTGAACCCAAGGAGGCTGAAGCTGCAGTGAGCCAAGATCATGCCACCGCACTCCAGCCTGAGTGACAGAGTAAGACCCTGTCTTTAAAATAAATAAATAAATAACCTCACTGAATCCTCCCAGCCCTGCCAGGAACAGCATGGGTCACACTGTGCAACTGAGCTAACCGAGAGCCTCTCAGAAGATGAGCTCCTCCAAGCTGTGTTTGAACTCAAGTGTCAGATTTTAAAGCCTGGGCCCATTTCACCAGTTACACAGGTTCAGGGTTTGCTTAGCCAGAAGATCACAAATAGAAACTGGGTGGCCATCAAGCCAAGGGTGGCAGAGGGGATTCCTGGGCATCTATCCACAGGCACCCATGAGCTCTGAGCACCACGCCTGGGGCAGCCACCTGCAGTCTCCCAGAAAACAGCCCAGAGTGTTCCATTTCTTGCAAAGGAGAGAGGCCCTGAGAAGAAAGAAAAAAAGGAGAGGATGTCATACAAAAGGGATTAAAGATGAGGATACGGGGGTGGGTCCAAGAACTAGAAGAATGCTCTGTCCACAGTGAAGAATGTTCCCTAAAACTTCTCCTGCACTCCCAAAGCCTGACAGTCCCCCCACCCTACAGTGCAGACCCACGCAAAGTTCTTACCACATGGCAGGCGCCCTGCTCAATGCCTAGCAGGGCCTGGCTCATTGAATCCTCTCTTCTCCCGAACATAGAGGAGGAAGTGAGGCACTGAGAGGTAAAAATTTGGCCAGGGACCCACAGTTGGTCAACAGAGAGGCAGGACTTCAGTCTGAGGTCTGAAGCTGGAGCCCCACTCTCAACCATTCCCCTGCACTTAGGGAGAGACCATTTTAGAAGTTTCCTTGTTTTTGCTATCAAGAAAACATAATATGTGTCCCACCACAGGAAAAGGAATACTGCAGGCTCCTAGTCATTAACGACCTAGCATGAGTAAGAATATATTCTGTTTTGTAGGGCATATTTTGACAGGGGCAGAGTAAGAGAGAGCTGAAAGCCTAATTGAGGAGGTGAGGGCTCCCAGAGAAGAGAAGCGGGCCCAGAGCTCTGAGGCTGAGCCAGTTTGCACAACAAGGTCTGAGGTCCTCAACCACACAAACGTCAATCGTCTGCAGGCAACTGGTCACTCAAGGGAGCTGGGCCCCAGCATGCTTCTGGAGTGCCCCTTCCTGCAGGGAGCACTGAGGAGACACAGCTCGTTTGCCTGATTAAAGCATGCTTCCAAAATTAATCTATGCCATAAAGCCATGGATTTCATGAACAAATGCCCAGGAGTTATGAAGCAAAAAAGTATTACATAAGAGGGTGCATTGTAATGCCCACCACATGTTAAAACTGTATCTGTATGATACATGTATGCATATATGACTGTACTATAATGAACATTCATTCACCCTTGTCTTAGTCACAGTATCTTAATTTTTCTCTGGAAATACTTCTTCCCCACTCTTGGGCCGGGTGCTTTTTATTATTTATTATTACTATTGTTTTGAGTCAGAATCTTACTCTATGGCCTAGGCTGGAGGGCAGTGGTGGGATCATTGCTCACAGCAGCCTTGAACTCCTGGGCTCAAGCAATCCTCCCACCTTAGCCTCCCAAGTAGCTGGGACTACAGGAACAGGCTGCCATACCCAGCTAAGTTTTTCTATTTTGTTTTTTTGTAGGGACAGGGTCTCACTATGTTGCCCAGGTTGGTCTCCAAGTTCTGGGCTCAAGAAATCCTCCTGCCTCAGCCTCCCAAAGTGCTGGGATTACAGGTGTGAGCCACCGCACTTGGTTTCTTTGTTTGTTTGTTTTGAGACGGAGTCTCACTCTGTCACCCAGGCTGGAGTGCAGTGGCGTGATCTTGGCTCACTGCAACCTCCACCTCCCAGGTTCAAGTGATTCTCCTGCCTCAGCCTCCCAAGTAGCTGGGACTACAGACACCCGCCACCACACTCGGCTAATTTTTGTATTTATGTGGAGATGCGGTTTTGCCATGTTGGCCAGGCTGGTCTCGAACTCCTGACCTCAGGTGATCCTCCCGCCTCACCTTCCAAAGTGTTGGGATTACAGGTGTTAGTCATGGCTCCTGGACTAAATCTTGGTTTCTATTGCACACAGCAAAGTTGGTACATTTTTACATACACATCTGCCTGCATAGCCAGCCCCAGATCACAATATGAAACGTTTCCAATCCTCCCAAACCCCCAGGTTCCCTCCTAGTTAATTCTGCCCCCACTCCCATAACAGAGTTGACCACTATTCTGACTTTTACCACTTAGATTTACTTTTTATCAGGCCATGTGCTTCCGGTCCACTGGAGTTGATTTCATGCCTCATTCCCGAGCATGTGACTTGCTCCTGGCCGATCAGAGCACCACATCCCCCTAACCTCAGTGCCGGGTTCAAGGGGTGACATGTGGCTGAATTGGGCTGAAACTGGCCTGCTGGCAGTGACAGGCACTCTTCTCCACTGCGATGAGGGTAGAAAGATGAGATGGTGTCTTTACCCCTGGAGCTGTGGGAGGCCCCATGTGGAGCCAGGAAATAGAGTCAGAAGACCCGATGCCAAGGCTGAGAGATAGAGAGAAACCAAGTCCTGGGGATAATGTTGGAGCCCTTCGATCAAGCTGCAGTCACATGAGCCAATAAAAATCTGTTTTGCTTAGGCTGTTCTGCTAAAGAATGAATTTATATATATTATATATATAAATTTTTGTATTTATGTGGAGATGGGGTTTTGCCATAGATAGATAGATAGATAGATAGATAGATAGATAGATAGATAGATGCACCAAAAAAAAAAACTGAAAGAATAGGTATCAAATAAACATTTAATCATAATCCACCCCCTTATTTACAACAACTTATGGTTTCCTTTGCTTTTAACATCAATCTTGCCATGTTCTTCGCAGCCCTACCCCAGCTGCCTCCTGCTGCCTCACTGTGAACCAGCTCCTCCTGCTACACCCGTCTGCTCCCTTCTGCCACAGGGCCATTACATATGCTGTCTCTTCTTTCCTGAACACTCTTCCCTCCATTTTCACATACTTAACAGATCCCAACTCCAGCTTCACTCCCTCCACAAAGCTCTCCCAGACCTCCCTGTCAAGGCCTTTTTCTCTAGTTTTATGTCTTTATATCTCTCCTTTTTAGTGATTTTATATTTCTTCCCTTTTCAACTATGCGCTCCGTGAAGGCACACACAACATCTGTGTTTGCTCACTATTGCCCCCGAGTGTCTAGGACAGAACCTGGCACTCATTCGGTAGGTTTGAAAAAAAGTACTATTAACCGTGGTTGTGGGGTGGGGGGGATACAATATGGAAACACTTTTACTTTCTAAGTCATGTATATTTCTGTAATGTTCTACTTTTTTCAGAAGTACTTGTTTCTTTTGTAATCAGAAAACAAAGATTTATTTTTAAAACAATGAAAAATAATGTTTTTTTCTTCCCCCATGGAGATCCCTTTGGCCAGAGGTATTTGTTCCACCATCAAAATATATGAGAAATGGCCTCATTTAAGTTTTGCTCCCACAGATTTTCCTGAAACCTTTGGTGCTTTTTACTGTGTCTCCTCTAAGGAGCACCTCCAGACAATTGTATAAATGAACAAGCAGCCAAAGAATATGAACAGAAAGACTCAGAAGAGAGTTAGTCTTCCATATTGGGATTTCCCCCCTTCAGTGTAATACTCAACGTTGTGATTTTTACTGTATGCATCCAGGAAGTCATGTCTTCTGCTAGGAAAATGATTCCTGATTCACATGATGGGATTAAAGTGCCAGTGATCCCTGGAGCTTCTCTGTGAGCTCCAGGACATCCAGGTGCTCAGCCACCTGGTCACAGCTGAGAATAATGGTGCTCTGCCAAAGTCAGGCAGAGGGGGCTGGATGTCCCCTGTGTCCCAGTGTGCATGTCCCAGCCCTGTGGCTCACTCCCTCTGTGATCTTAGGCAGGTACCTCTGCTCTCTGGGCCTCAGTTTCCCCATCCATAAAATAGGGAGGAGGGATTTGGTCAGTTTCCAAATTTCATTTCGGCTGGAAGTCCTATTTCTCTTCAAACAAAATCGGAAGCAGACGTTCAATATAGAAACAGATAAAGCAGAACTTCTTTGTGTTTGAAGTGGAAATGGGGAACTGAGATGTTTTCATTTGCCACCTCTTTTGCCTGCCTGACGGCCCCACCCCCTGCAACACTTGTATGTGTGTGCACACATGTATACATACACACGCGCACATGCACATACACATGTGCACACATGCAGCAGCAGATTTGGGGACACCTCTACAGAGGCACGAGGGAGCAGAGCGCATTCTGCAACTTGCAGACTAGACCATCTCTAAACCTTCTCCCATCTCTGACATGCCATGGATTCTGATTTTGTTTATTTGGATAATATTTGTGCCTGATTCCTGTCTTGCCTCGAGTGTGTTTTAATTCACTCATTTCCTCAGCGGATATTTACTGGTCAATGAAAAGGCCTAAGTGCCGGGGATTATGCTGGGGTTACCGCAGCACCCCAGCTGAGCACGGCCTACCCTCATGGAGCTTTTACAGTCCTTAGGAGGAAATGAATTACCAAACCACCAATGGCAGAGACTGTGCATGACAGTGAGAGCAAGCACTGTAAAGACAGACTCCGAGGTCCTGGAGAGCACATAACCCCAGGGCTGGGCTGAGCCCAGGCAAGCAGGTGACATTCCAGTAGAGATCTAAGGAATAAGGAGGGGAAGGGGAAAGGAAGAACATCCAGAGAAAAGAAACAGCGTGTTCCAAGGGCCTGAGTCCGCAGCTTAGCACATCTGGGAGCAGAAAGAGGGCAAGATGGCTGGATCCCAGTGTACGAGACAATAGGGAAGCTGAAGGATGGGGGTGTTAAGGAGTCTGAAAGGGAAACCCTTGAAAGAAATGTGAGCCTGGGAATGACATACATTCAGCAGATTTATTGAGCTCCTACTGTGTACAGTCACTGTTCTGGACCCTGGGGATAAAACAGTTAAAAAAAAGGCTGGGTATAGTGGCTCATACCTATAATCCCAGCGCTTTGGGAGGCCGAGGTGGATGCATCACCTGAGGTCAGGAGTTCGAGACCAGCCTGGCCAACATGGTGAAACCCCGTCTCTACTAAAAATACAAAAATTAGCCAGGTGTGGTGGCATGCTTCTGTAGTTCCAGCTACTTGGGAGGCTGAGGCAGGAGGATCTTGAACTCGGGAGGTAGAGGCTGCAGTGAGCCAAGATCATGCCACTGCACTCCAGCCTGGGCGACAGAGCGAGACTCCATCTCAAAAAAAAAAAAGACAAAAACTTCTGCCCTCGTGGAGTTTACATTTTAATGGTAGAGGGAAAGACACAATAAACAAAATAAAAACAGATGAGTTGTCAGAGGCAGAGGCAGGCAAATCCAGGCTTTCACAGAGCCTGAAGTGATCTCATATAATGTCAGGGTAAGGAACTCTTTAAGATTAAAAAAGAATAAAAAATTGTAAATATCAGTTGAGGTGCAAAGCCTTGGAAGCTACCAGTGAGGGGTCCTGAAACTTAGGAATCATCAGCTTGCTGGAGACTCCACCTCTGGTCAGAAGGTGATCAATGAGATGAAGAAAAATCAAGCACTGGGGGCAGCCGGCCTTGGGAGAATTGGGGGAGGGGCAGCACTTGAAATGGGGTAGACAGACAAGGCTTCTTCATTGAGAAGGTGACCTCGGGGAAACCTAGAGGAGGTGAGGGAGCCACATGGATATTTGGGAGAAAAGCATTCCAGGCAGAGGTGTTGAGCTGGAAGCCTGCCTGGAGGAGGCCAGAATGGTGAGGAAGAGAGGGGAGGAGACAGTCCAAGACGTGGCCTGGGCCAGTGGGATCAGACTAGCATTCTTGCTTGCAAGGTCATCCTGACCACCATAAGGATCCCAGGCAGCAGAAGTGGAAGCCCAGAGACCAGGTACCAGCCAGGCTCATTCCAGGGAGGGATGCTGAGCCTGAAACCCTGCACAGGCCACAGAAACAGAGATAAGGCAGCTTTCCAGAGCTACTAGAGGGTGCATTCAGGGCAACTTCTCAGCACAGCTAAGGAGTGGCTGGCAGAAAACAGGAAAGAGGGAAATGGGAGAAAAAATATCAGAGCATGCAAATCTCCTGCATCATTTTATTCTCACCCAAAGGAAAACAAATTGCCAAAGGAAATAAAAATGCTTTTGGACAAGTTAAGTGGTGGTCTTCTGTGTGCAAACGTGACTCTCTCCTCAAAGGCTGTTTGTCATCCTCAAAGATGGCAGGGCCTTGGGGGAATAGCCACAAAGAGGCCATGTGTGCTCCCAGCCCGGTGAACCCGCAGGCCTGTGAAGCCTCCATGGGGATGGCAGAGGGGAAGGAAGGCAGATCCTTTTTGAAGACAGCAAAGTAACCCCGAGGCTGGTGATGCCAGGAACACTGGGGCATTGACCGACTCGGGGCCTGGATTTCTCCCTTGCCAGGGAAGGAGGAAAGCGAGGGGTGGATGGGAGGGGGCCTGTGGCTGTCATCCCGAGGCTCGTGGTTTGGGTGGCAGAACAGACCTAGGGATTGAGCGGGGCCATGGCAAGTGAAGCAGCAGAGTTTCAGGCAGGCGCCTCTGACACAGCCCCAGGCAGTTCTGCTCCCAACAGTTCACCTTTCATGGCCAGTTGCACCTTCTGAACAGTTTGTGACAGCCAGCCTGGTGCAGCAGCCAGCCATTGGTGTCTTCCAAGGCTGGGACGGGTTTCTGGCTGGGAAGTTCTTCACCCTCCCCGTTCCAGATGGGGAACACCTCCCAAGAGATTCAGTGTCACTGAGCAAGTTAGAGGCTGAGGGGTCTTGGGGACGCCAGTTGCCCTTCTTTTTAATCAGTGCACCATATTTGGAAGCAGAACAAATGGTGTTCTGGCTTTGTGTTGGAACACAAATGGCTTTGTGTTCCAACTCTGCCACTCCATGCTCTGTGAACATGGGCATGTTACGTAACCTTCTGAGCCTCAGCTTCCTCATCTGTAAAGTGGGCATTGTACTAATACTGCCACCTCCCAGGGCAGCTGTGAGGATTAAGTAAGTGCCTAGAAAAGACAAGTGCTCAGTTTATGGTCAAATAAAATAACAGTATTATTTGCAGACTAAAATTCAAGGATCCTAGGCTGACACTCAACAGGGACAATGGCACTGAGGGTTTGAAACTATAGCTGGAAATCTGAGACATATGGGCAGTCCAAAGGGCCTCGGGCTCCAACACACTGATCCAAAAATTGAAAACCCAAAGACTGTGGGAATTCTCTGTGGCTGGAGAAGTCAGGCTCCTCCAGCCCTGGGAAGACGGAAATGAATCCAGTCAGTTCAGAGGCAGAAGGCGACCAGCCTTGGCAGGCCCGGGAACAACCCTGGGAGGTGACCAAAGGTTGGTGATCATTGCAGGAAAACTGCTGTGTCCAGAGAGAAAAGCTTCTTCCAGAGCAAGGTACGGCAGTTCAGGACTGCAACTTAGACCTCCAATGGGGCAAAAGAGGCTGGACACTAAAACTGACACGAATAACCAGGGGGCCAGTCCCATGTGGCATTCAAGAAGATTTCCTTGAATGGGAACTGGGGCCAAGCGTGCGAACTTGGGAAGAATAGGATTAATGAGGCATAGACCTGTCTTTGTAGAGCTCAGGAAAACTAATATATTCTGACTTCCTCTGTGAGTTTCCACAAATGCTCTCCCCTCTAATCCTCAGAACTGCCTTAGGAAGAGGCAAGAGGAAGCCGGAGCTCAGAGAAGTTAAGGGGCTGCTCAAATCACCCAGCAGGTGCGAGGTGGGTGCAGGTCCCCAAGCAGATACCTGGCTGCTCACTCCACCCCAGTGTCTGGAGCCATCCTTCTTTCAGCCCTGACTCTCTCACCCTGCTCTCCCCGAAAATCACCTCTCTGGCTGTCCATGAAAATTACATCCAGGCATGCTCTGTGATAAGCAGTTTGAGAGCAGAGCAAATTCCCCATCTCTATGTCCCCAAACCAGCTTCGTGCCCCTGCCTTGGATGCTTGCCCAAGGGCTTGGCCCAGGACCAGCCCCACCCAGAGGTGCACACCCCGGTACCTCTCACTCAGAACCCCCAGGGCTGAGCAGAGGCCTAGCTCAGAGCCACCCAGCCGCCACTGCCATCAAGCACGCAAATCAAACCCAACCATGACCCCAAACCACAATGATTTTCTGAACCTTGAAATGAACACAAACCTTCCCGATTTACAGAACCTCAAACCCAGTCAGAGGCTCACACCTCCCGAAGGCAAAGCCAGCCAACAAACAAAAACATCCAGATGGATCCAAGCATTTGCTCCCAAAACAGTGTCAGGCCAAACCCAACGCCCCCAAACTTCTGGTCATGGTTTCGAGCCTTTGAATATGAAAAGGAGAGCAAGCCCTGAGGAGCCTGACCGAATGGGGACAGGGCATGAGGGCAGAGGGAGGGAGGCACTGATGTGTAAAGGTGCCAGGTACTTGCAGCTATGAGGACAGCTCCAGGAATCCTGTGACAGAAATCCCCCAGGTGGAAACAGATAACGTTTGTTCCTCCCCCAAGGAGGCTGCCAGTTACCACTGTAGCCCCTGAGAGGGGAGAGAGACAGCAGAGGAGGGGGCTGTGACTGAGGATCTTCCTGGCCAGGCATGGAGTCACAGCAGAGGAGGGGGCTGTGACTGAGGATCTTCCTGGCCAGGCATGGAGTCACCTTCCCCAGAAGCTCAGTGTGCAGGGTAGGGTGGGACAGCACAGGATGGGGTCTGGCCACCATCTTACAACCCCTGTTCCATGTCCTCCCAGACAGCAAAGTGCTCTCCCCTGGGAGTGGAGGTAGAGTTGCAGGGGCTGGGAGCTTGATCCCAGGTAGCATGGAGGCCCCTGCCTCAAGGACTCCTGACACGTTTGGTCTAACTTTGACAAGAGGTGAAATAGACATCTGAGAACCAGAAGAAATTATGGACTCAGGAAATGGGGAGGATGGCCAGTTAGTACTACCAGCGCCCCCGCCGTCTTGTGATGGTAAATTTAAAGCAAGACCACTCAGCTTGGTGTGGTGTGTGTTTTCCAGCCATGTTCAGCCATGCAGAGGCAGGTGCAGAGAGTGGACAAGAGACTGGAGCAGGGAGACCAGCAATTGAAGTCAAGTAGAGATTGGCCCTTGCATCTCAAAGGCCAGGAGGTGGGGAGATGAGGCCTGGGGCACACAGAAGTTGCCAGGTGCATTAGACACCAAGCCTTTCCCAAAAATGAGGTGCCTGCCTGATTCAGCCAGCACTCTGGGTTCGTAGCTAAAAGCTGTGTGCACCTCCGCCCCGGGCAGGGTGCCTTCCCAGGGCTGGCCTCTCCTACAGGGGACCAGGCAGCTTCCCTGCTAGGACATGGTGGGAGGCTGGAGCTGGGTGAGAGGAATAGGCACTGAGGCTCATTGGGCCATGGAGTGGGAGTAGGGGGCAAAACCCACTTTACAGGCTCCCATGGTGGCAAGAGGGTAAAGTGTGGGAGGTGGAGAGGTGATTAAATCCACAGGTTTCCAGAAATGGATGGAGCTGGCAGTCTCTACAACCGAGTACTATGCCAACAACAGTTACTTCAGTCCAGGATCAGCCCTCTCTCTGGAACAATGAGCCATTCTCTTGCTGAGAAAACCTTCCAGAAAGTTCCTGACATGAAGTAGGTGGTGTACGGCAAGCCATGGAGCTCCAGAGAGGGCTAAGTTTAAGTCCTTGCTTTTCTCCTGGGTGGCTTTGGCATGTCATTGAAACCCTCAGTTCCTCAGTGTCCCAATCTGTGAAGTGGGAATAGTCACACGATACTCTCTAGCCCTGGTGCAAGGACTATGTGAGATAGTGCGGATAAGGTGCCAGGCATGTAGTAGGCGTTCTAAGTAGTTCAGGTCATGCTGGACACTTGGTTGCCCCCACATTGCCCAGAGGGGCTCGGCATCCTGAAATGCTCAACCCCTCCCCACACCACCAAAGAGCACAGTCGGCCTCCGCTGGTGCAGTCTCCAAGCCGTGAAGCCCTCAGCCTTTTCCAGTGCCCACGTTGGCAGTAAGAGGACATTCACCCAGTCACCGGCTTAAGTCTGCTGAGCTCCTCCATGGAAAAACTTGGATGGGCTGGAAAATCCCAACTACAGTTACATTTTCAAACCTTCTCGCAATCCAAATGTCAACACCAATCGAAACAATATGTTTATTTTCAGACCTCCTGCCAGACTGGGTTAATTTCTACAGGCTCAAAGCCCATTTTGGAACTGTAATGTCTCAATTTTACAGATGAGAGGAGGGAGAGGGAAAAAAATGCCAAACTCTTCTTTGCCTTCTTGATTTGGGAAGTTGAGGGTGAAGAATAGCACCAGAGCAGGTTTTGTGGCTGGCCTTGTTACCCAGGAGGCCCCATCACCCAGAAATAGCATCTGGGGTCCCCATCTCTCCTACAACCCTCCTCTGCAAACACAGCTCTTCTCCTCCCTTCACCTCACAGCCTCCTTCTCCTTAGCTCTTGCAGGTTACCAATTTATCTGCCTGATGGGGGTCTGCAGGGGCAGCAGGTGGGGAGGTAGGCATTCAGCCAGGGTTGGGAAGACGAAAGCCAAGTAAAGGGATGAAATTCGTCTGCAGCCCCAGGGTTCACGTGGGACCCAGATGGGCTAGGACCTGGCTGTGCGGCTTATAATAAGGAGTACGATGTCTTGAGTCCAGACACTGGGCCCCGCTGGCAGAGGACCCAGCTCTGCCTCAGACATCCTGGCATATGCTAGGCATTAAGTGGGTGCTTTGCACCATCTGCAATCCTCACAGCAGCTTGGCAAGGTGGGTTTTTGCCACAATACCCATTTTCCTGATGAGGAAAATGAGGCTTGCCCAAGATCACCAGCATGCGTGTGGCAGAGTCCAAGTTGGAGGCTGGTTCGCCCAGAGATCTTGTCCTTTCCAGCCCTGGGCACCCCAGCAGTAGAAAAGTGGAAAGGGAGGTATCTCTAGGGAAACTTTCCTTGAGTTGACCTTCAAGACCTACCTACTCAAAGCTGAAGGGGCAGCTAGTTATCCCTAGATGAGAGCAGAAGGAGCAGGACAGACTGGACTCTGAGTATCGTCTAGTACTGCCTGGTGTATTCCCCTCTACTTACAATCCAACCCAGTCTGGCTAAAAAACAAACTCAACCTAACCTCCCCTCAGCAAAAATCAAATTATACGACTATTGTGAGAAACATGTGAAGTTATATATGTGGAAGGGCTGTGAAAACTCCTAAGCTCCTTCCCAATTGCAAGCCCCAAGGTATCAGAGCTCCTATCAGTCCTTCAAGGTGCAACTATAATGCCACCTCCTCTGAGAAGCCTTCCCTGCTTTCCATGTGTTTTCACCACTGGAGAACACTTCCTTTTCTCTACCTGGTGTCCTACAAGAGGTTTATATGTCAGGAGGTCCAGTAAAGAGCTTCGCACACAGGAGGTGCCCAGATAAATCCGTACTGAAGGAATGAGATGAGAATGAAGATAACATTAGCACCCCCTGGTTGCCCCATTTTAGAAATGAAGAAATTGAAGCTTAGAAAGATGAATTGGCCTGCCCCAGTCCCATAGTAGAACCTGCTTCATAGCCCAGGTCTATTTGACTTCAGATCATCATCAGGAATCAGAAGCAGTCAGCTGTGCCCACTGGGGACCCTCACCCAGGACCCCTGCTGCCCTGGCTGCTGCAGGAATCAGACTGAGCTTCAAGAAAAGCAGGCCAGGAAGCTGGAGAGCCAGGGCTGGCCTGCCACCTCTCATCTCTAAGCACACCCAGAGATGACCATCTGATAGCTCCAAAGGACCCAGGCCATGGAACATGGGGGTCTCAGGAAGGACACATAAGTGGATTTGCTTCAAACAGGTCTCACTCTTATCCCCTGATGGGGAGATCAGGCCCAGCCAGGCAGGCCCTCCAGGTCTGGGCAGGTAGAGGAAGTGGGGGTCTCTTTCCCACTACAGCCTCAATAAACAACAGCAAAACTCATGTCCTGGCTGGATGTAGTGGCTCATGCGTGTAACCCCAGCACTTTGGGAGGCTGAGGCAGGCAGATCACGTGAGGTCAGGAGTTCAAAACCAGCCTGGCCAGCAGGGTGAAACACCGTCTCTACTAAAAATACAAAAATTAGCCTGGCGTGATGGCACACACCTGTAGTCCCAGCTACTCAGGAGGCTGAGGCACAAGAATTGCTTGAACCTGGGAGGCAGAGGTTGCAGTGAGCTGAGATCGCGCCACTGCACTCCAGCCTGGGTGACAGAGTGAGACTCTATCACACACACACACACACACACACACACCAAAAAAAAAAAGCTTAAAAAAAAGTCGCGTCCTGAGCAAAGTGTGTAAGACAGTCCTGGGGAATGTATCCTAGTGTTGGTCATCAGTCCTTGGGCCCAAGGGGAGTCCTGGAGCCACTGGGGAAAGTCAGATTCAGACCAGCATTTGTGCCACAGCAGAGTGGCAGGTCCCAGGGAGCCCACAGGAAGTGGTCCAGGCGCACATGCCACAAGGGGGGCCTTGGGCTTCCAGCTGGGATGTTAGCCCTCTTAGAACATGTTCATCTGAGAAGACCCAGGTCCATGTATTCCCCCACTCATTCATTTATCTATACTCACTTCTCCTTCGTTAGTTTTAGAATTACAAAAAGAATGAGCAAAAGGAGACAAGAAGTAAAAAAAAATCCACCCCAGATCCCACTTTTTAGAGATAATCCCTGTTACTACTTAGATACACATGATTCTGGATTATCTTCTATGAGTATTTTTTGTTTGTTTTAAAAGCAGAATCAAGACCAGGCATGACGGCTCATGCCTATAATCCCAGCACTTTGGGAGGCCAAGGCAGGCGGATCACTTGAGCCCAGGAGTTCGAGACCAGCATGGGCAACATGAGACCCCATCTCTGAAAAAATTAACAGAGTTAGCCAGCCTTTGGCCCCAGCTACTTGGGAGGCTGAGGTGGGAGGATCACTTGAGCCCAGGAGGTCAAAGCTGCAGTGAGCCATGATCACGCCAGTACACTCCAGCCTGGGCAACAGGGCAAGATGCAGACTCTAAATAAATAAATAAATAAGCAAACAAACACAAATGGGATCTTACTCTTTGAAACTGTTTTGTAACCTACTCTTTTCACTTTACAATGTGAAATTATTGTGTGCCCACACACACTTATGTAAGCTCACAAAATTGCTGGAAGAATATGCAAGAAATTATTGATGT
This sequence comes from Homo sapiens, assembly GCF_000001405.40. NCBI lineage: Eukaryota > Metazoa > Chordata > Mammalia > Primates > Hominidae > Homo > Homo sapiens. The sequence continues at coordinate 44,342,083 of NC_000011.10, read as the reverse complement.
GGTTGCTCTTGAAAGGAAGACTGCAGGTCTAACGTGGGAGAAAATCGTACTTCTAATTTCATATATTTTTATTTAAAAAACACTTCTAGAGAGCCAGGCCCTATTCTTCTAAGCATTGTACAAATGTTAACTCATTTCATTTACTTTAAAAGTACTTCTGTAGAGTTTTACTTTCTTACCAGGTGTATGTGTTGCTTTTATAATTTAAAATGAGTTTAAATTCACACATGGAGGAGCCAGGCGCGGTGGCTTATGCCTGTAATCCCAGCACTTTGGGAGGCTGAGGAGGACGGATCAGTTAAGGTCAGGAGCTCAAGACCAGCCTGGCCAACATGGCGAAACCCCTTCTCTACTAAAAACACAAAAATTAGCCAAACGTGGTGGCACATGTCTGTAATCTCAGCTACTCCGGAGGCTAAGGCAGGAGAATTGCTTGAACCCGGGAGGTGGAGGTTGCAGTGAGCCGAGATTGCATCACTGCACTCCAGCCTGGGTGACAGAGCAAGACTCCATCTCAAATAAATAAATTAATTAATTAATTAATTAATTAACACATGGAGGGAAAGTCTCTCCATGTCAAATAATGTCCACTTACATGTCGCTTTTACTAGCTGCCTGGAGTTTTCCATTGCTCAGCATCCTGGTCTAGGCCTATTTAAAGGACCGGTCCAGGGTGTATAAGGGCAGACTCCTCCGCTCCCTTGAAAAGGGGCAGAAGCAGAGAGAGATGACACCTCCACATGGCAGCCATGTCTGTGCCTGTTTTATAGGTGGAAACTCTTCTCTGTCCTTGAACCAAACCAGGTCACAGACAAAACGCCAGACAAGCCACATCAACTTGTTAAACCTCATACCAAAATGACCCAAATCCTAATTTCAAAAAACCAAAAATGTCAGTGGAACCAGAGCTATTTCCCTAAAACCCCTAGTGAGCTGCTCAAAGCAGGACTGGTCCTCTGTATTTTTGTAAGCAGTTCAATTAGACCACCCCTCAAATTTTTGTCTGAGACGACCTATTCCAGTATCTCGAGGCCCTGCATTTTATTCAGCGCAAGGGCTTTCTGGGGCATCATTCACGGAGGTGAGGTTCAAGGTTCAGAATCCAAAAAGCTTGGGTTCTTAGTGACCTTGAACAGAGTATAAACTGCTCTGAGTCCCAGAGTCCCACTTCCCAGGGCTGCTGTGGGATTAAACAGCCCTAAGAAGCAGGTTCAGAAAGCTGTGGCCGCAGAGTGGACTCCAGTGCTTTGGTGAAGTCCCAGGTGGTTCGGAGGGTAAGCCACAGACCCTCTAAAGTAGCTGAAGGCCTCAGACAAGAGCATTCCCAAAGCCTTGTCTCCCAGGCCTCTTCCAAGCCATTGAGAAGCCTGGGCTCAGAGCCTGGATGTTACTGCCTTGTTCCGGGCCCTAAAGGTCATGGGGGTGGTCGGGGGGGCGGGGACAGCAGCGATGCCCCAGCTGCTCACCCCTCTGAGGCCATACCTGCCTCAAGATGCCCATTCCAGATTCCAGGCTCAGCCTAGCTGGCAGCAGTACCAGGGTCACTGCCCCACTGGGAAAGAGGACCCAAGGGAACAAAAACAGAGCCTGAGCCTTGGCCTAGAGGGTATTGACAACAGCCCCCCACTCCCATCACACACCCACACACTCCCCCATCCATGTGCAGAGGGCCACATCTTGCCACTGAATTTAACTGCTGGCTGCTGCCTCCAGGCTCAGCGCTTTGGCCACCTGCAGATAGCTGCTTCTGAGCCAATGGTGGCACCATCACTCTTCTCCAACCAGGAGAAGAAGGTCAGGAAGAGGGTCTGAGGCCGGGTGCGGTGGCTCATGCCTGTAATCCCAGCACTTTGAGAGGCCAAGGCAGAAGAATTACTTGAGCTCAGGAGTCTGAGACCAGCCTGGGCAACATGGCAAAACCTCGTCTCTACAAAAAAAAAATACAAAAACTAGCCGGGCATGGTGATGTGTGCCTGTGATAGCAGCTACTCAGGAGGCTGAGATGGGAGGATCACTTGAGCCCGGGAGGTCAAGTCTGCAGTGAGCTGTTGATTGTGCCACTGCACTCCAGCCTGGGCAACAGAACGAGACCCTGTCTCAAAAAAAAGGGGGATGGGGGCTGAAAATCTGTGCTCTTGTGCCCCTGAACCCCTCCAAGGGAAAGCAGCCCAGACCTTCCAAGAAGGAACAGAGGCTCCAAGGGAGAAGAGTTCCCAAAATGTGCCCAGGAGCGCACACAGGTGACCCCAGAACCCCAGCACCCCAGCACCAAGCTCACAGAGCAGCCCAGGACTCTCAATCTCTCCTGGAGCCTCCCAAACCACAGGCTAAGGCGGGCTGTGAGCAGCATCTTCTAAAAAGGTGTTTATTTTTAGCAGGCTTCAGCCATATCATAATCCAGGCCCAGCTATCTGCTTGCAGGGAACAAAACAGTGCCACGAAATAAACCAGCACCATAGCCTCTCCTCACTCTTCCGGACCAACCTCTTCTGGCATTGCTGACAATTAGACATCAAAATGTGAGCTGACCCCAGGCCAGATCTGTCTCTCCAGCCTAACTGTGAGAGAGGAGTCAGGCCCAGGGCCCTCCTGTCTCAGGCACCAGGCCCCGTCTCCTGGAACTGTTGTGATAGTTCAGCAAAGGGTTTTTACCTGAAACACGGTCCCGTCCTCAGGAAAGACTTTGATCACTGGCAACGCCCAATGAAAACCCTCTTTATACACCCAGGAGACTTCATGTCCCCATCAGCTGACGGAGACAGGCCCTCCAAGGAAGGTTCCGGAACTCAGATGCTCCCACAGAGCACCAATTGGCAAATGAGCTCACAGTTCCAAAGCAAAGCGTAGTGCAGTAACACCGTCATGGCCCCCACCCCCTCCCATCCGAGCTCAGCCTGCAAATACTTCACATTCTTCCAAATTAGAAGGCCAGTCCCTATTTCACCCAAAATGCAACTTAAGACTAAAATCCCCCCAGTCTAAAGAAGGCACCCACCCCCCACCCCCGGCCTCTGGGAAGCCGGGGCTGAGCTCTCCACTAGCTTTGTTTGGCCTCTCTCACACCAGCTTCAGTTAGCTGGGGGTGCTTTTGTTGGCACATAAGTGCTCACAATAATTATCCAGAAAAACGAATGCTACCTGAGCATTGCTTACCAACCTGTCATTTAGAGTTGTTGATTTCTGGGCTAGGCAAACACAGAGAATGCCACTTTGGCCTTGCCATTCATCTTCACAGCAGACGTGAATTTTGTTGCTGAACATGAACGCAAAAAAGTACTTTTCTCTCGAGCCGGGGCTCAGGTCTACTCTAAAATGCATACACAATTCATAATGATGCATTTGATTAATGGTGAGTGAGCATGGAATTCTTAGAGCCAACACATGTGACAGCCACATTAGCACCAGATGAAACTGTCATGTGGGGTGATGTGACAAAAAAACCAAGAGCAAGTGACTGTATTTGTGGAACCCTGGCCACATGGCAGATGAAAACCAACTTTTCTGTAATTTCTTTTTTTTTTCCTTGTAAGGGAGGAAGGCAGAAGAATAATCCACAAATGAAGATAAAGGTGGAAAAAATGAATCCAATTTTGCCTTTCAAAACAGAAATATGAGATTCCACTGTAAATGATCGATTTCTTTTTCTCTCCTATCCACGGCTCAACTTGTAAATCCAAAGCCATCATACTGGGAAAACGGTCTCTTGTGGCTCTCTGATAAGCTCAGCTGTTACTGATGGTCAGGAAAACCATTTGAAAAAGGACAGAGTTCTTAAAACCAGTTGGGCAATTCAAATAGTGCTGGAAATGGAGGCACGGTGACCACGGAGCGACGGGCAGCTGCCTGGCCTGTGGCTGTCAGACCCAGCGCTGGCAGCACCACAGCCAGAGGGTCGGCGTCTGTTTTAAACGCCTGCACTTTGCTGGGTGTGGAATGTCTCGAACCTCAGCCCCTGCAAGTCTTATTGAAAACATTATCTTTTCCATCAATAATACCTCAAAGTTCTTTATTAGCAAACTCCCTGGCAAAAGCTGACATATTTACAGCACGCAGTAAACTTTACGTATCTGCAACAATATTAAAGGAGAGCAGCAGTAAGCCCTCACTCAGTGACCACAACAAATCATTCCATCTTAAAATGATCAAGTAGGGGGCTAATTGTCCTGAAGAGAGGGGCTCCTGACAACTCCTATCCCATCCACCAGCCAGAAGGAGCATTAACAAAGATGAGAAAAGTATGTTTCAGGCTTGGAAACATAAGCATACATATTAAAAAAAAAAAAAACAGAAAAAGAAAAGAAAATCCAACTGATATCACCGTAGGCTGAAGGAGAAACCTGATCTTGAGATGGAATGGTTAACATTTGGGGTTGTTTGGAGAGAATTGCTCCAAGCTGTTTTTGTTCAAAACGTATAGATTTAAGGTAAGAAGCACTGTGTAGCCTGTACAGGTCACAACCACTTTGGAAGCAAGTTCCCCATTACTTTTCAACTGACTAAGGTAGGGATGAATTTTGTTTTATCTTTCTCTAACTGGGTAGTAGTTTCGTGGATTTTCACTTGGAAGCGCACTAGAAAAATGTTTACTTGTCTTGTTCTTTTTATCACTCTGCCAGCGTTTTCTCCTTTCAGATTATATCTTTCTGGAAGCTCCTTTCTCCCACTTCACTCTTGCCTTCAGGCCAATAAAGCGTTGACCCAGAGCCCCAAGTCTCTCCTAGCCCACTGCTCTCCTAAAGAAAGAACTCGGAGTTTGTGGGAATTCCCCTGTTTTCCTCTTCATGGAAAGGACAATTTTATACACATATATTATATACCTATTGTAATCTGAAGGTTCCCCATGGCGAGCACTTAGGATGTGAGGGACCCCAGTCTGCAAAACTTCTAGCCACAGACAAAATTGTTTGTTTGGATAAAAGTGGAAATAGATGCCTATTTATCTGGGAGGAATTGCATCCATCGTCTTATGGGAAGTATTTGATTTTTAGTAATTATTTGGCAAATCCAAAGAGGGAATTGGGTATCCATTTGAAACTTCTGTTTTCTATCCATTTTGTTAAATGAGTTTCTCTTCCCCTTAAACTCCACATTAAATTGTTTCCCTCAAGGGAAAAAAAAGAAGAAAAAAACAGCATTTTCAACTCTAAAAAGCATAAATACTTCTTTAGAAGAAAATATCAAAGGTATCTTAGGGAGGAAATGAAAATAAATGTGTTATAGAAGGACAGTTTTAAAAAGCTTTTGGGGCTCTGCATTTGAACGGAAAGACTATGGAAACTCGTACTAATAACCAGTTTCCCTGGGGCTGTTCATTTGCAGGGATCGGCTCCTCCAGTCAGCATTTTAAAACCCTTCTTCAAAATATCTGTATTTGTTTCCAACTTCACAAATGGATTGTCACATGCCTTCACCATTTACCAAAAATAAAAAAGAAAGAAAAATTAAAAAGGAGAATGGAGTGTATTTAAACCGGAAAATTTATCTTCAGGTGAAAACTTTGAGGAAAGGAATCTATATTAAGAGTTCTATTTTTAAAGGCAGTGGTCAGGGCAGATTAAAACAGGAATCGGTGACAATAAAATGTCATCAGATTCTTATACTTTTGCTGTACAGAACATCATCAAAGTCACCCCATATGTTAACATGCTTTTTATATATCTTTTGTATGCGGCATCAATTTAATTTTTATCAACAATGACAGTCCCAATCTCCAAATATTTGTGTCAGGGGCAGGAAAGGGATACATACCCCAAAAATACCCTCAAAATTATATACTGATGTCAACACCACTCTTTAGAGCTGTTATGTTTTTGTGGCTTTTCTTTTGTAAAAACATCTTTTCCACAGGCTTTTTGTCCATACCATATCTGTATGATTTTTTTTTTTCTCGCAGTAATGGGGACCACAGCTTTTGGCTACGCCATCAGCAATATCGTTTAATTTATTCTTTCAACCTCAGTGAAGCCATGCTCTTTCTTTTTTGGTTGATCCGTGCTGGAAATGAATTCCACAATTTGCAGTCCCAGGCATCCCTTACCCCATAACAACACAAGATGTGGAAAATGTGCTTAAGATTGAAAATCACATTTTGGAAATCCAAGCGTTTCTCTTTCCAGACTTTTGCTAAGCCGCTTATTGTACAAATCCAGGTATTACTTAACTATCTCTAGGGGTAAAAAATAATAATAATAATAATAATAATGATAAAATAAAGCACGATGTACTATTTATTGTATTTCATTAGATAAACCTCAAAAAAGTAAACATTTTCTCCCCGCGATTCACCCGCTGCCTGTTTCGGATTTTAATGCAATGGGTATGTTTTTTCAGGATCTCGAATATTTATATTTCAAAACTTAAATATCTTTATTTAAACCATACAGCCTCAATCTCCAAAACCCTGGATTTTTAATATTTTGGCGATTGAAATCTGGCATGTTTGAAGGTTTGTCTCTCTGCAGAAGTCTCTTGTTATCCAAAGCAGAAAAAACAAACTAGGGACGGATTACGAACTGCCCAACGCTGGCTGCCAGCACAGCGAAAACACTGCCTCCGACTCCCTCAACGCCCTGCCCTGGGGATAACTACTTTCTTAATAATAAATAGGGAAAATGTAAAATGTTTTCTTTAAATTAAAAATCGAAACGAATTGTTTTAATGAATATTTCTGGTTATGAGGGTAAAGCCTGCCTTCGTGTGTACACTTTCTGAAGAAAAATTTCCTGTGTGGTTTTCCCTGTGAGATCAAAAGGAACTAATTAACTTTTCTATAAGGTAAACAAAACTTTAACTTGAAATATCCCCATGAAGTATGTGGGAAGTGAGCTTTTGTGTGAGTGAAAGCAGGAGGGAGAGAGAGAGGGAGGAAGGGAGAAAAGGGAGGAGAGAGTTGGGTTTAATTTTATATTCAAAATCGTCTCATGCTCAGAAGGTATTGGAAACTCCTTACCAAGAGTCAGCCTTCTTTATCCTTCCCCATTACCAAAATGATATTTAAATCAAAGGCTGAAATGTTGCCAAGTTCAAATCCCTTGTAAGATTAATAGGGCATTGTTCTGTTCATAGAAAATGTGTTCTTCTTAGAGCCCCTTTAAGAAGAACTGGGTGTGTGAAGGACCATTCGGGAAAGAGTGTGGGAAAGGGAAAAATCTGGAAAAGCGGCCCTGGATGGGGGTGGAAGGAAGAGAGAAGCTTCAAGAGGACGGACAACCACTGCCCCACCCCCAGCCAGAAGTAATTGGGGTCAGGGGACCAGGCCTCCAGCTGGAGCCCCATTTCCCCAGGACCTGGCTCATTTACAGAAGAATGAGGAACAGGAGGAGCAGCTCTGAGGGGTCCCTGAAGGTCTTTGAGGTCATGCCCTTCTGGGTACTGACCCCAAGCTGTGCTGAGAGACTGTGGGGAGCTCCTGCCTGCCCCTCCCAGGAGGAGCAGCTGCAGCCGAGGGCTGGTCCCCCTCCCAGGACAGCGAGTCCTTGGCCTGTTTCGGGTGAGCTGCCTGGGTCCAGGGGGCCCCTGGCTGGGCCTCTTTGCCCTTGCCAGGGTACAGACAGGCAGCCAGCCCAAAGGACAGAGACTGGAGGAAGCAGTGTGTGTGTGCATGAGAAGAAGTCTCTGCTGCAGGGCTCAGCAAGGCAGACACTGGGCCGATACCTCCCCTGGGCCTGGTATTTCCAGAGCAGAGGCATAGGTGGCACACACCACTCAGACACACTGCTCCCCACACCTCCGTCACCCCAGAAAGGCTGCCCTGTTAAAGATGGCAATTGTTGCTGTACCAGCTGACATTTATTTCATGCTTCCCAAGCCCGGCTCTGCACACAGTGCTTCATAGGCTTTGTCTAAAGCATTACAGCAACTATATTAGGGACTGCTACTACCAGCAGAAGAGGAAACTGAGGCAGAGAGGGCCAACGTACCTTGCCCAAGGATACCCAGCTACTTACAAGGTCGCTAAGCTACTAAGAAGCAGGCTAGCTGCATAGAGCCCCAGTCACTAAGCTAGGATGGGGGGACTGGGGAGACACATCAGTGGGAACTCCCTGGGGGCAGCCCCGCCCCGCCCCAGGGGCGCAGGCTCAGTCCACTTATATGTCCTGTCTGGGTCTGTTCTGAGCTGTGTGTCAATTATGTTAGTAGTGATGAGGGACCCACCTTAAGCTTGTTAATTCATGTATCTGGCACCTAAGTTTGCAAATAATTTGCTTTCATGCCAACTGAAGTCACCCCTACAAACCATCCCTCTTACTCACAACAGCATCCAGGGAGCTCTCTTTGAGAGGACAAGGAAGAGTGAGTCAGGGGACGCACATCACCCGAAGCCCATGTTGTCTCTGATGTGGCCCTTAGAAGCGTCCAGAACACATGCCATCCTTCCTAGATGGTGTGCCGACAGTAGGGGGACGGGGGATATATTTTTGAATGCCCCCAACTTATCCTTTTTGCTTGAAGAAGAACTAAATTCTTACAGAAAAAAAATAAGGAGCAGGGAGACAATAACTATTACACCAGTTTCAGTAGCAAGACCAGCAGCAATTTTCCCTAAGGTCACTGATAAGAGTTGAGTCACACCAGCGTTGCCTCATCCTGGCTGTGTAACCTTGAGCAAATTGCTTTACCACTGTGAACTTCGGTTTCCTCATCTGTTAAGTAGAGATAATTCTAGCTGTCTAAAATGGGATCAAGTATGTCCAGGACCTAGTGATCAGTCTTCATAGAGGCTTAAAGAAAAATTGTTCCAGTGAGAGCACATGGACACGGGGAGGGGAACAACACATACTGGGGCCTGTTGGGGGAGGGTTGGGGCGGAGAGCATTAGGAAAAATAGCTAATGCATGCTGGGCTTAATACCTAGGTGATGGGTTGATAGGTGCAGCAAACCACCATGGCACACATTTACCTGTGTAACAAACCTGCACATCCTACACAAGGACCCTGAAACTTAAAAAATAAAATTTTTTTAAAAAAAGAAAAATTGTTCCCTTTCCTTTTCATCCCCAAACCTTAGCAGCCCTTCCATACTTAAAATCAATTGCTGCGTTTAGGCTTTCATCCTTTTTAAAATGTGTGGTTATTATCAGGGGTGTCTTTCTTTGTCATAGCCAAATCCCACTCATTTTTAGTTTACCAACCACAGCAGACTCTTGCTGATTTCAGACCTTCCTTCTCCCTGGAGACCCCTCTTTGGTTCCGGTGCCTTAGCGTGAGGATTCTCCATTTCCCAGGGCAAAAATCCTGTTGCTCTGAGCCCCTGCAGTCCCAACACCCAGAGCTCTGTACTCAGGCCCCTAAGTCATTAGCAACAAACACTGGCTGACTTAGCAACAATTTAGCAGCAAACGCTGGCTGAGTGCCTACTGTGTGTGGTTACTGCACTGATTTTTGGGAATCCAGGTGTGGAACTGAGAGACGGGGCGGGCTCTGGATCCCATGTTCTGGTGGGCACATGGGATGTAAGGCAACGGGAGCTGCTTTATTTCTTCAATAGTGAGTCTGCTCTGAATAGGGGGTGTGTGCACACAAACCCCACTCCACCGCCTGGCTAACCTTGGACAAGTCCTTTCACCTGTCTAAGCCTCTGTATTCCAATAGTCTATTAAGAGCGTCCTATGGGGCTGGCTCTGTGCTGGGTTCCGGGGTTAGAAAAGCCAACAAGACCCAACAGCCCCCCTTTGGAGTCTAGTGTGAAAGTCAGGGGATGTATACATTACTTTAGTTGTGAGGGAAAGAATAAAGTCCAGCCCCTCCCACCCTCCAGGGTGCCCTGACTGCCTTAGCTAGCCCGGTCTGGCCCCATCCTGAACAGAAGAGACATGAAGGAGGAGGTGGGAGTAGAAGGAATAGTGGGAGGCCTCAAGGCATTCGGTCTACCTGTCCAGGAGGTGCTTCTGAGTGTGGGAGGCAGGGACAGTGGCAGAGGAGCCCAGATGCTACTCTTCCTGAAAGCCATTTCATTTGATATCCCCATAAAGATGGAGACAGTGACAGTCTGGGTACAACTGACTTGAAGAGATGGTAGCCCCAAGCCTGACCCCATTCCCATGGTATAGACCCAAGGCCAGCCAGGCGTGGTGGCTCACTCCTGTAATCCCAGTACCTTGGGAGGCCGAGGCAGGTGGATCGATTGAGCTCACAGGTTCAAGACCAGCCTGGGCAACATAACAAAACCTCAACTCTACAAAAAAAAACAAAAATAGTAGCTGGGTTTGTTGTTGCATGCCTGGAGTCCCAGCTACTTGGGAGGCTGAGGTGAGAGGATGGGTTGAGCCTGGGAGGCCGAGGTTTCAGTGAGCACTCTAGCCTGGGTGATAGAGTGATATCTTGTCTCAAAAGAAAAGAAAAGAAAAGAAAAGAAAGTCGCAAGGCCTTCCTCCTGTGCCCCCAAATCTGCCCCATGCTGCCTCGTCTCTCATTTGGGAGCTGTGTTAACTTCCAGGCCTTGGCCCATTTCCCAACCAGGACATGTGGAGTATACTGTTTTCCAACAGCAATGCTCACATCCCTACCTCTAGACTTTGGTTGGCTTCTGGTGTAATCAGCTAGGTGCATATATTATTTATGGACAAACTCATAATCCTCTGTATCTGTACACGCACGTGTACACACACATGCCCCAGATAGAGTGAATGCTGAATAAATATTTTCTGGATGGAACTGCTGAAGAGATATATACTTATGCATCTGTTGTGAATATATCAGGATGCAATGTGCACAGAGAGACACATATGGTTTTATATACAAGGTTAGAGATCAGTTTATATGAGTGTATACACATATATAACTTTATTTCCAGTTGGCATCAGGCAGTCAGCTGGCATCTGGTATAAACTAACTGTTCATTCAGTTGGTACAAGCATGTAATCTGTGTGTGCACAGAGTGAAATATATGACTGGTATTTTTTTCCTTTTCGTGAAAGTGCTGAATACAAAACTTGTGATACTTTTAATAAAGTATCACATAGATTAAATAATTATGATCAACTTTTAACCAAACCACAAACTTAGAATTTCCAAAATCAACCATAAAAAAATAATAGGGGAGCTGTCAGTCTCTCCGTAAGCAACGGTGAGCCCATCTCTAAAGAATGACTGTAGTTAAACAGTGGAGTCAAATTCCACTGCCATTTACTGAACCGCTTCATGTTTGTATACATCGTTTCATTTAATCTTCACAATACCCTGTGAACCAGGTTTTATCATCCTTACTGCAAGACAAGGAACTGAGGCTTGGAGAAGCTAGCGACCTACCCACGGGAAATCAGCACATAGGGAAGGGAGCCTGTTTACTCATTGCCCAGGTCTGCCATAACAACGTACTCAACTGGGTGGCTTGAAACAACAGAACTTGTTCTCCCACAGTTCTGGAGGCCAGGAGTCCAAATCAAGGGGTCAATGTTCTCTCTCCAAAGACTCGAAGGGAAGAATCCTTCCCTGCTCCTTCTAGCTTCTGGTGTTTGCCAGCAGACCTTGACGTGCCTCGGCTTGTTGATCTACCACCCCAGGCTCTCATCTCCCCCGCACGTCTGTGTCCACGTTCTCCCCTTCTTATAAGGAGACCAGTCGCTGGATTACAGCCCACTCTAATCCAGCAGGACCTCGTCTTAATGAGTTACATCTGCAGCAAAGACTCTATTTCCAAATAAGGCCACCTTTGAAAGTTCCAGGTAGACATGAGTTTGGGGGAACATTATTCAACCCCGTACAGCTGGGAGCTGAACTCACATAATAATATAATATAATCCCACACTCCTGTGCTTCCCAGTGGGTCCTGGGCCCAAGTCCTCTGTTTCAAGGTTAGGGGCAGCAGCAGTGCCCTCTACCTGTCCCTCCCTCTAGGTCAGGGTTATGCATAGTCTAGAGGAGCACAAGCCACAGGCTACCCTTCCTTGGAGCTGTGTCCCCGCTGCACAGGGGGATACTTACACACACCAAAGCTCTGGCAGCGGGGCAGAGAGGAGGCATAGGACCCTTGGTGGTAGCTGACCTGGAGGCATCCTCTGAGACTTCTGCCCCTGCACCAGCCTCAGCCTGTGGTCCCTGCAGGTCCCCTGAAGCCAGCTCCCTCTTCACACACACCTGCTCCCCTCTCCCTAGGGCCACACCCAGGAAGCTGCAGGGAAAACCTCACAGATCTAGGAGCTGGAGTCACAGCTGGCACTTGGCCTGACGCCCCAAGTGGGCTTGGGCTCACCTAGGGAAAGCTTACAGCTCTGGCCACTGCTGCTGCCTAGGAAAAGCCAAGGAGAGAAAGCCAGGCAGGCTTCATCCCCTGGGTAGCCCCCAAAGGACTTTCCTGGGGGTCCCCCACAGGTGCCTCACAGCCCTTGGCCCCTGGAGGTGCCTGTTCCACTCCTTTTGCTCTAATTACCCATGGTCTGGTCGAATTTGTTATCAGTGTCACTACCACAGCAATGAAGGGTGGGTGTCCGGAGCTGACTGCTAACGCCTGCCTCCTGAGCCTGGCACTTACTAGCTTGGGTGACTTTGACTTCTCTTAGCCTCAGTTTCCTCTTTTGTTAAATGGGCACAACAACAGTACCAGCCTCACACTGTGGTGAGAATTTGGCAAGTTTCTGCACATATAATGCCTGGCACCTAACGGTTACGTGGTAACATCCCTCATGTGTGAGGCTTCATCATCATCACCTTCACTATCCTACAACAGTGGTTATTACGGTGAACTGACTTGCAACCTGCCTGGGGAATGAGACACATATTCTGGTTCACAGAGTTACTGTGGTTGCCGTATGTGGAATTGTTTTTGCAGAATTAGATTTTTTAAGTTAGTTAATTGAGCCACCAGCTCTCCACACCAGAGGTTCCCAGCTCTGGCCCTTGGGAGCTGTGTGACTTGGGCTTCCGTTTTCTCATCTATATAGTGGTCCCTCCCTTTCTTCCCAGATTGTGGCCAGGAAGAAAGGAGAAGGTAGCTATTATCACCATCTGCCCGGGAGCCTCAATCATGTCTGATCACTCACCTGGGCCTCCATTTCCATGTCTGTGAGATGGGTGATGACTCCTATCCAGAGCTTTTGGAATAATTTGAGGCAGTGAGCAAATGTGTGCCTGGCACAATAAATGGTGTCAGATATTACTGTGTTTTTAAATGATTTATTTAACTTTTATTTTCAGTTCAGGGGTACATGTGCATGTTTGTTATACAGGTAAACTTGTGTCATGGGGGTTTGTTGTACAGATTATGTGGCCACCCAGGTATTAAGCCTAGTGCCCATTAGTTATTTTGATATTACCATTCAGGATCAGTTTACCTGTGGAGGTAAATGCACAGAAGCTCCAGGTAATGGCCTCTGGAGAGGGGAATATTGGCTAGCTGAGTTAAGAGGTGACTTAACTCTGACCCTGCCCCTCCCCTAAAGCCCCTCTGCCTTCTAGTTAGTGTCTATAACAGGGGGTCCCACATAGAGTGCCAAACGGGGAGTCTCTGGCTGGAACCAGGCACTGCCAAGAGCACGGGCTTGATCTCTGGAAGCCCAGAAGGAGAGTGAGAGGAGGATGCAAAAGCATGCCCCTAAGGAGTAAGTGCTCATAAATTCATTGGCGAGTAATTTATGGCAGCCAAGTATAACACCTAATGCCTGCCAGTGTGAGAGGTTAATAGGGAAGGTTAAGGAGCACCTGCCGGCTGATTTATGGGCCTGGCCAGCGGCTTTCATCCTGGCCGAGGCTCTGGCTCTGGGCCTGGGGGAGAGGAGGGGAAGGGGCCAGGCCAGGGTGAAGGGGCAGGGAGGGAAAGTGGGGGAGAGGGAGGGTCCAGAGAGAAGTGCAATAAGAGAGTGGGGAGGGAACCGTGTAGAAAAAAAGACAGGAGGGAGCAAGGCAGGCAATAGCAGTAACATCCTCCACACCCCCGCAAGGAGGCGGTGATGGGAATCGTCCACTCGGAGGCCCAGGGGCTTGTCTTGTCTGTGACCCTCATAGGGTCAAAAGGGTTTGCATCCATCAGCGTCACCAGAAAAACAAAATTGAACAAGTACATTCAGTGATGTGAACTGGGGCACGACTTATGTTTGCAAAGAATGAGACAAGTCATCAATTTCCTCATCAACATAAAATTATTATCTGGGGCCAGGACCATACGGGAGACAGAAGGCATTGAGTCCAGCCACATGGCGGCACCATTACTGCTCAGTGCCCTCATCTGTAGGTGGCGATGGATGCCTGCTTTCAGGAGTGGTTTTGCGCATTCAATGAGATTCCAAGGGTGAGGACACTGGCCATGGTGTCTGGCCTGAAGAGGACGAGATGCAAGAGAGTTGGGTCTGACGTTACTGCTACTGCCTTCCTTGCTCCTTCCTATCTCTTTTTTTCTACGCCATTCTCTCCCGACTCTCTTATAGCACTTCCCTGGACACCAAGGCCAGGCTTTTAAAGTTGACATCAAAAACAGCAACTAGCAGCTGGCATAGCCTTCAGTCACTCCGGGGATCTGGAGGAGCCATCACAGTGTGTCTGGACATACATCCAGGCTGGACATTTGGGCTGGCACCCCGACTGGCCTCCTAAAAGAGTCAAGCTGACTTTGTCAAAATCGGAAAGATTAAATACAAGGAATGTTGCAAGGATTTTTTAGATGATCTTACAGGTATATATTCACACATAACTGGCCACCCCATTGTCCTCAACACCAGATCCAGAATTCCCTGAGATCCCAGGGCAGCGTCATAGGGATGATGGTTACAGCAAGAAACCCAGGCCCCCACACACTCAGCACTTTCCCACCCACCAGCCCACCCTGTCCTCCTGGCTTCCCGAAGGGCAGTGTCACTATGAGGAACCTGGGCTCAGAGGGGCCGAGCAACTTGCCCAAGGTCGCACAGCCAGTGAGTGTGTGCAGAGCCAGGAGGCGACGCCAGTTTCTCGGCCCCAGGCTCAGGGCTTTCCCCATGTGCATTGCTGTATTTTCCCAGAGGTCCTCGGCAACACACATTCCAGGGAGGTGGGGAGGGGCAGGGACAGCCCCACTGGGCACACTTCCAGGGTGCTCCCACCCTCACCCCAAGAACTAGCCAAGAACTAGCACTCCCTGGCCTGGCTCCTTCCCGCTCTGTTCTCTGTGTCTCTCCCTCACCCCTTTGCGTTTTCTGCCCCTGGGAGTGTCGCCCCACATCCTGTTCTGCCCATACAAACACCCATTCCCCAAAAGTGGAGGTTGGGGAAGCTTTTCCTGATTCATAGCTTCTGGTTCCCCTGAGACCATCCCACTCACCTCCTGAGGGAGGAGCCATGCTCACAGTCTTGGGCTGGGCTGTGAGTATTCCCTCCCTCCCTCCACACACACGCCTTCATGAACACAACCTCCCACGTGCACGTGAACACACACATGCAGACATGTGCACACAGGTAGAGAACACACATGCACACAAGTTAATCCTTGAAAGTCAAGCCAGTGCATAGCCCCTCCAGACATGAGCCACAAACCAAAAAACAACATCCAGAAGTCGCTTGAAATTTCATTCAAATGTTCACTGCAGATTCACAAGAAAAGGACTATTATATTTATCTATTCGTTACATATTATAATTTACATATTCACAGATAACACGGAGAAACACCTTAGAGACTGTCCTCCCTCCCCCCCAGGCACCGAGGATGGCAGGTGCCCTCCCAAGTCTCTTCTTCACTCCCACAACCCCAGCCTGCACCTTCCCCTTGCTGTACTTTTTCCTGCTTCCCATGAGCTCTGCAGCCTTTCCCATATTAAATGAGGCAATTTTTCCAGCTTCTCTGCCCCTCACCCTCCCTTCACAATTACTCTGATCCACAGCGGGGTGGGGTGGAGGTGGAGTAAGAGGACATCAATGCTCAGGCCTTAGTATTTTACACACAAACACACATGCACACACACACACACAGTCTTAGAGGATACCTCCCAGCTTGCCAATCCCTGGCTCTCAAGGCAATCACACCCTGTGTTCAGTCCTAGCCCTCATCCCTTCCTTCTGCCCACCAGGCTTCCAGGCTGCCATGCTGCATTGGCGGGGAGGAAAACTGGATGTGGCATCCTAAGTCCTGGCCCAGTTTCTGCTTTACCACTTCCTAGCCATGTGAGTCCAGAGCGGTCCCTCAGACACCCTGGAAAGCCACGTGTCTGCAAAGCCAGACCTGCATGGGCTTTACAGCCAGATCCAGACTTGAATGCCAGCTCTGCTGTGTTTTTGCTGTGTGTCTTTAGGCAAGTGCTCAACCTCTCTGAGCTTTGATTTCTTCATTATAAAATGGTGTATAATGACAATGACCTGACTGGTTGCTGTAAAAATTACAGAAAATAAGATTGTAGGATCATGAATACAAATATTCAGGAGACGTTTCTTCAAACATAAGAAGGGCAGCAAGTTTTCATCGTTGAAGAGGCCTCTGTTTCCAACAGGATATTCAGCACAAGGGAAGTCAGATGAGTGAGACGAGGTGGTTGTGGAGCAGAAGAACATCACAGATTTTACTCAAACGTTCAGGGTTAGAGTCCCAGCTCTGCTCTTCCTGTGTGCCTTTCGTCAAGGCTCCTGGCCTCTTCTCAGCCTTAGTTGCCTTTTCTGCAAGACGGGGATGATCGTAGTATCCTCCTATAAGACAACTCTGAAGATTTCCGTTCATTCAGGCAAAAAAGTTCATATTCACTGAACACTTGTTCTGTGTTAAGCTCTCCTCCAGGCCCTGGAGACAGAGCAGAGCAAACACATGATTCCTCACATTACAAGAACAGATGAGTAAACAAATACATAAACCAGGTAACTGCAGCTGGTGCCGAGTGCTCTGAAGAATTAAAGCAGGTGGGGAGGGAGCTAACTTGGATTGGGTGGCCCAGAAGAGGGAATCTATGGAACAAGCCCAGAATTGGGTCTGGCTCTTAATGGGTACTAAGTAAATACTACTGACTGTTAATTATTACTAATGGTCAGATATGCAGCTTGATCTGCAAGGGCTTCTGGGAGTAAGCAGGAGTTTGCCTGACAGCCACAGGTCTTGCTGCCCTCAGTTTGACAAGGGAGAGATGTCTGAGGGATGGCGCCACCAGGGTAAAGGCCTGGCTTGCTTCAGCTGCCATGCTGTTTCTGGACATTCCCGCGCCTCCTCCTCCTCCAGCCTCCATCGGGCTTTCATTTCCTCAGGCGGAGGCTGAGCGCCAGCCCCTGCTGCCAGCCTGGACTGAACATCAGAGACCAGAACCATTTGCCGCGGGTTTCACGGGGTGTAAAGTGCTCAGCACCCATTAAAGCTAGAGGGGCAGCAGGGTGGGGGCTGAGATATTGCCTAAAAGGCTCAGAAACACTTCTTTAGAAAGAGCCAAGATCAGCCCTGATCCCTGGCTTTGCCCTGGAACTGTTTATCTCAGCTTTAAAATGCCATGGGCCAGGCTGAGAGCTTGTAAAAAGGGAAAATGCATATTGTCCTCATGGAGGAGGAGTGAGGTGGTCTCCCTGAGAGCTCCCCAGTACAGGCAATGCAGCTTTCTGCCAGTCCATCCATCTAGAGCAGCTATTAGGCACCATCTGTGTGTAGACCCTAAGAGGCACTGCAACATCAGATACAGTATCTGCTTGTTGGATACCCAGGGAAAGAAGGATAAGGAAAAACATTTAGACGTGCCTACTGTGTGCCAGCCTTTCTCATCATTTCCTTCAATCCTCAAATAATGCATCAAGACAACCATTACCTCCTCATTTATCAAATAAAAGAAAACAGAAGCCCAGAGAGGTTAAGTAACTCACCTGAGGTTGCACAGCTAATAAGTGGCAGAAGTGGCAGAGGGAGAATTTGAACCCTTGATGGAGGAACACTTTTCCTCCACAGAGAAAGTGAAGGAAGGGCAAGGGATGGAGGTAAGTGGAGGAAGGACACCCCTGCCCAGCCAGCTGACTATGTCCAGGGATCAAAGAGTGGCAGGTGTACAGCCAGGTACCCTCCTATCCTGGAAAGTGACAGTGGAGCGCTAACCTGAGCCAAGCATTTCCCATGACCTTTCTCAAATAACCCCACCCCCGACCCAATTACTAAAGTCCCCAGTGTACCGATGAGAACACTGAGGCCCTGTGCCAATAAGCGGCAGAGCCCAAATCATTCTGATTCCAGTGTCTGACCCACTCACTACCCATGTGACTCACAACCATTGTGTTAAGTGTCACCCTCCATGTCTGAGGCACTTTGCAGTTTACAAGCTAATAATGTTTTTTCCATTCATTATCTCCACTTATGATTTGAGCAAGCCTTGGGCAAAGAAGAGGGCATCACCCAGAGCTCAGGCTCGCATCAGTGGCCCCACGGAAAGGCAAGCAGGAAGGGCTGGGAGTTGGTAAGAAGGAAGGGTTGATGGTGGGAGGACACAGGGGAGGCTCCACAGCCAAGGGACAGGAAGCTTGGCCGTAAGCAGCCATGAGGCTTTGAGACCCTTAGTCTCAACCTTCCAGGAAGCAGCCCTTACATCTTTGGCAGCCCTCACCTTTCCTTCTGACCTGGTGCCAAAGGAACAGACTACATGACCTAAACAACCTCTCCTCTGGCCTGTGTCCTTGGTATAAGAAATCTGGAATACGAAACCTGTGAACGAGATGGGGCTTGTGAACTGATTTCCATCTGATTTTAAACCATTCAGATCCAAAGGGGAAAATAATGAACCATTCCCATAACAGCTGCCTTCATGGCAGTAACTCAGATATAACGAAAGGGAATTCTCCAACCAGTTCTACTTAATTCATTTGTTCCTTCCTTCCTTTCTTCATTCATTCAACATTCCTTGCTCTGAGTCTGTTCTAGCCAACATCTACATTACAGGTGATGGGTGGAGAGAATGAACACTGTTCAGGGGAGGGGCACATCACTCCAGTAGAGAAGATTAAGAGGAAACTTCCAGAAGATGAGGCTTGAGCTATGCCTCCAAAGCTGCTGGGGAGAAGGGAGAAGGGCATTTTAGGCAGAACATTCCAGAAACCCTCTGGGGACCCATCTTGGCAGGACCCAGCTGGGGCCTAACCCCAGCTACTTCCTGGAGCTGAGGCCACTAGCCCTTCCTGATAAGGTGTCATGATTTCCTTCCTTCCTTTCCAAGTGTTGGCTCCCCAATTTGTAGGGACTTTATTAAAAACACACAGTTAATGGTTAGGAAAGAGGAGGCATTTTTGCTTCTCTCTCCCCACCCCTCCCCACCCTGAGCCCCCACTCTGGCTGGAATGTAGCCATCAAAATAAACATTAAATGCAAAATGCCATAGCTGAGTTATTACTTGTGAGGGTGCTGGGAGAAAAATTTATAGCAACATTACAGTGTTTTGTTAAAAATCTCTTAATGCACCAAAATGGGAAGGTGTGTGTGTTTTTTATTAAAATGTTACACTCTATAAATCCGATCTGCAGGAAGGACACAGGTGGCGACCCAGGGACTCAGCTGAGGAAGCTGTCACTTCTATCTTCGGAGCCGTCCTCATCCTTGGCTCTGGAAGTAGCCTTTCCCCAGCCTCTCCTCCTCCATACCATCTCCCTTTCTTTGAGAAAAAGTTTACTCCTCCCTTACCACCAAGGGAGGAGAAGCCACGAAAGGGTGTGACGATCTTTGTGCAACTTCCCAATACACTCGGGGTCTGGCGAAAAGTTGCAATTTTCTTAAAAAGCCTCTCTGAGCAATAGAGTCCCCCACAGCGCCCTTATGAAGTTTGTCTGACGTGGGGTGAAATTTCCTGTTGGTCCATTTTCACAAATTTAGATTCTGGCTGATGCTGCATTTTCCAAGGGCTTCTTTATAAAAAGGCAACCACTGTCTGTCTCTAGCCTTCTGCTCTGGAATGTCCTTCCTCAAAATGGTAGATGATATCACTGGGGCCAAATGGCAGTTTTCTTTTCTCCTTTTAACCATATGTAGGTGTGTCCTCCCTTAAAAGAAGAGAACTATAGGAATTTGGATTTACAGAACAAGGTTGGTTGTTTTTCTCTCCATCTTTCAAATAGTGATATCAAAGGATTACTTCGTGGCATTAAAACTGCAACTCCTAGATTGGACAGGGGCTTGAAGACCCCCTAAATTTTATGTGAAAATGGGAGTATGCAACAGTAATGGGTTGAATGGTAACCCCCAAAAGATATGTCCAAGTCCTAACCCCCACTACCTTAGAATGTGATGTGACTTTATTTGGAAAAAGGGTATTTGCAGCTTAATTAAATTAAGGCTGTCAAAATGAGATCATTCCAGATTATCCGGGTGGGCCCTACATCCAATGACAAGTATCCTTATCAGAGACTGAAGAGAAGGAGACCGAGAGAAGAAGGCCTTGGGAAGACAAAGGCAGGGATTGGAGTAATGAAGTCACAAGGAAAGCTTGGGGACCCGGGAGCCGGGAAAAGGAAAGGAAGATTCTTTCTTAGAGCCTTTGGAGGAACACGACCCTGCGGGAACTTTGATCTTCCACTTCCCGCTTCCAGAGCTGGGAGGGAAGAAATTTTGGTCCACCACGTTTGCTTCAATTTGTTAAGGAAGCTCTCAGAAACTAATACAGCATCTATCTGCATCTTTCCAGAAAGAGGGTCCTCAACTTTCATCAGATCATCAAAGAAACGTCTCCCCTAGAAAGCCGAAGAGGCATGGATGTAAAATATTTGTGTGAATTGCATGTATTTCTAGAGTCACTGCTCCTGCAGGATGGAAACTGTACCTATAATTTGGAAGGCGGGATCAGCAAACACCCTCAACCTGGGCCTGGAGATGGAGGTCTCTGTCCCATAGTCCTTCTCACTCCCTTCCCTACTCTCTCCCACACTGATTCTGTAGGTTCTGGGTAAGCACCCGACTCCACTTCCTCAGCTCCCAAGTCTTTTGAGATCAACTTCGCAATCATCTGGGAAGCAGCTCTTTCTAAAAGCATTGAAAAGCCCTGGTGTCTACCTTGTCTACCTGCATAGCATCTCAGCTCCAAGGGCAAGCAATCCTTAAAAAAGGAAAATAGGTCCTTTGGTGATGATGCAAATGTTTTGGAACCTCTAAGAATATGCTAAACGCCACAGAATTGTTCACTTTAAAAGGTTAATTTTATGTTATGTGAATTTCACCTTTAAAAAATGAGGAGTGGAGGGGGAGGGAAATCAGCATCAGTTGCTTCCCTAGGTGCGATAATTAACAAAGCTCATTTTGCACCCCACTCCTCGTCTCTAAGAAATTGAAACAGTGCTAGTTAACTTGGCAAGAGAAAGGGCAAGACCAGTGATTTATTTTAGAGGCAAATCCTGAAAGGACTGGATTGGCCACACTTGGGAGCCGAGGGACCATCAAAGAGCAGGTCATGTGGCCCCGGGGCCCCATTGGAAGAGGATCTGGGGAAATCTAGCCACTACTTCATTTGAATTCGACTGGACAGGAGGTCAGGGTGGCTTCTAGAATTGCATCTTCCTCCAAGCTCTGCAAAACCTGCAACCATCCCAAGTGAGAATAAGAACTGAAGTTAAGGGAGCATCTACCCACGTGATCTCTGATCCTCACAGCTTTCCTAGGAGATAGAAATAATCACGTCCATTTCACAGGTGAAGAAACGGAGGCACAGAGAGAAGTGACTTGCCCAAGATGGCACAACCACAGACCACGGATTAGCAACCAGCTCTGCCTGGCTTTACTAGAGCTCGCGCGCGCGTTTTCCACCACCCTTTGAAAAACTCGACCGGGACCTGTAAACGAATTCAATTTAGAGAAAGCAGCGAGGAGTTTCCTCGCTCCTGAGCATGGCAGAGCACCTGAGGGAAAAGGTTTGAGAGAGAGGAAGCTTGGTGTCCAGGCCCTGAAGCACGTCACTGCGCAGACACAGCCAGGACACGGTACCAGGCTCTCCAGCCAAAGCTCATTCCACAGCCAACCCCTGAGGACGAGTAGTTTCCTGGGTGTTTCCAGCGGGCGGCTCCTCCTCGGGGCGCGGCCCAGCCTCCTTCAGGCCCCAAGACCTTGAGTGAGGACCGAGAGAGCACATTGCGCGGGTCGGCTGAGATGCGCGGGGCGGGGGGCGGGGGGTGGAGCAGTGGCGCTCTAGAAGTTCAACGAAGAAGCCACCTCCCAGCGACCTCCGGAGCTAGCGACCTCCGGAGCTTGCTTCCTCCGGGCCTCGCCTCTTTGCTCCGGGAGTGGCCCGAGTGGCACACGAGGCTATGGCTTTGGGTGTCTCTTTTTATCCCATCAGTTGCCCTTGTGGTTTTGCAAGTCGGTTCGCTCCGGTCTTAGCCGACCTGGGAGCGCGCGCCGCCCTAAGTTTCCCCAAGGCCTGGGGGTGGAGAAACAAAGCCGCTGCGCTGCGCTTCCGCCCATAGATCGGTAATCGGGGCCCTTGGACTCAGTTCTGGACCGAGGGGTCGACGCCAGGAGAGGTGTCAGTTCGCCCGCAGTTGCGCGCTCTGGGCCTGCTCTGGGCGGGTAGGGGGAGTATGGAGAGGCCAGCTGTGCGCCCATGGGTCCTGGGGAAGGAAGGACCTCAGGAGGGGTGGGAGAGAGGGTCGAGGTCTGGCCACTGGAGTCCTCAGATACTACCGGCCGGATCGGGGGAGTTGCACAGGCTGGACGCAGCTAATGAGTAGCAGGAGGCAATCGAAATATAATCACCACCACCACTTACTAAGCACCTACTCTGTGCCGCGCACTATGCCAAGCAGCCCCATGTTTGTCCCCCTCCTTCTGTCTCTTTCTGTGGCTAAGGTTACCCTAGTACTTCTCCTGTGCATTCCCCTCGGCTCTGCCCTCCCCGATGTCCGCCTCGCTCCTCTCAGCCCCCCTCCCTGCCAGTCACAAGCCTCGGGATTATGCGATCAGAATGTGCGCTCCGGCTGCCTCCTATGACAGGTGCTAGGGCAGGGACCCCTCCCTCCGGAGGCAGGCGGCAGGAGGGCAGGGTGGAGGAGGTTGCAGGAGGCTGCCGGGATAAAGACAGCAGGCCTGGGAGCCGGCCGCCCTGGGCTGGAGGGTCAACCTGACCTCTTGCTGGCCCAGTGACTTCGGGAAAACGGCAATGCGTGTCTGGGCTCCCCTTTCCCTAACAGTAAAACGGGGACATAGACCCTACTCCACAGGGCAGTAGTAAGCTCACGAAGCGAATCAAGGAAGGTGAAGAAGGTGCTACTTAAAGTGCCAGGTGGGTCAGAGCCGGGAGATGGAGAGCAGCAGAGACCCTACCCCTAAGACCTTCTCCCACTCAACACACGCCCTCCATCTCCCTGCGCACCGACAGGAAGGGCCGGACCGTGGGAGTTATTAATTCCTTTGGCTTTTTCACTCCTGGTGCTTTGAAAGGACCCTGACCCAGGGCAAGCTGTGGGTAGAAGAAGCGGGTGAATATAACCCATTTTCCCAGCTGTTGAAGGTCAGGAACCCCAAATGATCACTTCAGGGGCTTTTCAGCCTGGGCTAGGGTGTCTAAAACAGCAGTCTCCAATATGGAAATGGTGAGAAAATCTGAAGTCAGCATGATCTCATTTAATCTAAGCAGCCATCCTATGAAGTAGGTACTGGGCTATTATTATCCCCATTTCACAGAAGGAGAAACTGAGTTCCCTGAAGGCAGTCACTTACAGGCATTACACAGCCAGTAAGCAGCACAGCTGGGATTCAAAGCTGGGCTCCTCACCACTAATGTAGCCACTGTCCGAGCATTTTGCTGCCTCCTTCCTTCCCACTTTTACCACCCCACAGGCCTCCCCACTATCACAGAGGCCTCACTCCAGCTCTGTCCTGGAGCGAATCCAGAAGCCCCCTCCCAACCCAGAGACCATACTGGGGACGGAGGGAGGGTTGGAATGGGAGTCAACACAGCTGCCACTGACTGCCCACCAACTCTTGGGGTGGGGGGCGGGGCAGGTGGACAGACAAATGAAACCTTAGAGAAGAAGGACTCTTGGAGGCCCAGGGCCATAGTTGTGGGGACGAGACAAGGGAATTATGGACCATGCTCCCTCCTGTGAGTGAAGCCATGGCACAAGGTTGAACAATGGGCTCTGGGGACTGGAGGAGAGTAGGAGTGGGGAAAGGAGGGAGGGAGGTGTGGACGCAGAGCCAAGTTTGAGTATCAGCCAGAGAGAATCAAGAAGCCAGCCCTCTCCCGTCCTCATGGAAGCCTGCCCCTTTGACTCTCTCCAGCTTCAGCTCGGTTTTCTGAATGGTGGGATGGAAGGACCATCCCTTCCTTACCAGACAGAGGTGCTACCCACCCCAGAAGAGCCCTCTTCCCCAAACCCACAGGCTGTCAGTTGGGCAGTGCCAGGCTGGGCATGGAGACCTTTGCATTGCAGAATGAAAGGGAGGAGGGGGAAGGGAGTGAGGTCCAGGCCTGAGGGAACCGAGACAACTCTGGGGAGAGGGATGCTTTGTCCCAAGGGACAGCTCTGCCCAGGACAGTGGAGCTTAACCTTCTGGGGGCCAGGAACTCCTTGGAGATTCTACTGAGAGCATTGAGCCCTCCCCCACTCTCCAGAGCCAGGCACAAGCAGACACAGTTTGAAGGGTCTTCAGATACCCTGGCCATCACACTCCTTTGCCTCCACCTCCCCAGCTGAGAAATGGGTAGAGCATTCCTACTGGCTTCCCTGGAACTACGGCTGAATAAAGGCAGATCCACTTCTCCTGCCAAGCACCTCAAGAAACTGAGGCCTCGCGTCTGCCCAGGAGGTGCCTGAGGACCCTGGATAGGACCCTGGATAGGCGCTGCGTTTGGCCCACCTCTTCCACCACCAATCTTTTGCAGCCACATTTTGAAACCTTAAAGGACCAGCTTCCGGGAGAGAAGGGAAAACAAGTAGGCACACGGGGCTTCCCTCCAAACACCTGGCCTGGGGTTTGGCTAATGACGTGGGAATTATGTGAGGACTTAAAATATCTGTGCTTTCCTCGGCTGTTACCGATCTGCAAAGGGTGGACGGGCTCAGACCCCAGAGGCCGACTTCCGGTTTCAACAACTTCCTCTCGGTTCAACAAGAATTAAGGTGGCCACCGAACACGGTGGAGAGCTCGCCTCCAGGGCTTTCGAGCCAGGTTTTCCGCGGGTCCCCGGAGCTCCTCTCCCCGCCCTGCGCTCTTGGCCTTGCCCTTGCCAGAGAGGGCGGGGCACCAGGTTCCATCGCGCACGCGGACTTCGCCTTCAGGCGAGAACCCCAGCCCCCGCGCGGAAAAGCGGGTGGCCGGCTCCCCAAGAGCAGAGATGCAGAGCCTGGAAGCGAATATGCAGGGCAAAGGTGTGCGTCTCCCTCCAGCGGGCGCGGGCGGCGGGGTTGGTCAGTTTGTAAAACCTCCAATCCGCTCCTGCTTTGTGCTTCATAGACGCGGGGTACCAAACAGCGTGTGAGCAGCTGGAACGCCTGGTTTATCCCGCACCTCTGGGATCCGCGCTGTTCCCAGATAAATGAAGGTGTGCCCCTGAGTGCGGGTTTCCTTTACGACCCCCTCACTCCCTTGCCTCATTCAACACAATATGCTGGGCAGGAGAGACGCAGCTGCGAAGGCCTCTCCCAGCGCCTGATTCCCCAGAGTCCACTAGCCCGAGTTCCGGAAATGGCTAAGCCCCTAAACTCGGGGTGCAAGTCCCAGCGTAAGGTGGGCGAGGAGGAAGGGCGGGCGACGCTGGGGCGCTGCTGGGGCCCTGCTGAGCCGGCACAGATCGGGTCCCACGCCTGCTCCCCCGAGGTCCGCCCGCGGTCTCAAAGCCCCTAGGAGACCCCTGCTCTTTGCAGCGCCTGGAGAGCACTCGTCGTGGGCAGTGCCTCCCTCCCTGCCTCTATCCGACTGGAGGCTCGGGTTGGCGCGGCGGCGTCCGCATTCCGGGGAGATTGGGGCAGGGGCTGCGGCGGCTGGGGACCGGTGCCCAGGGCCGATGCTGACCTCCTCCCGGCGGAGGACGTGGTGAGTCACGCGGTCGGCTGGGTCTGGCGAGCGCGCCGAGGACCCGCGCGGACTCGCTGCTCTCGCGCCCGCCCTGGCGGCTCTGGAGAAGTGGCAGCTTTTCTGCGAGCCCTGGAGGTCCAAAGGAGTTAGGAACCTTTTGGTCCGCCGGTCCCCCGTAGTGTTTGGCTCCAGGGATTTCTGATAACTCGCGCAGCGGTTAAGACCATAGTTTCTGACGTTGGATCGCCTGAGTTCGAATCCCAAGTCCTCTGCTTTGCTGTGTGGCCCCGAGCTATTACTTCACTTGTCTGTGTTTCGATTTCGTAACCATTATAGAATGAGAATAATAGTTCCATCATAAGGCTATTGTTAGGATTGCAAAGATCTCAGTGTGCAAGGGCTGACTTGTAATGTAACAGTTGCCGATAGGCTGTGGCTATTACGTTGTTATTTCTAGAGTGTGAGGTGAGTGCACAGGGTTCCTTAGGACAGGAGGGTTCCCATGCAAGACTTAGAAGCTTCTCGGCTTCATATCTTGACTCTTCCCGTCTTTTCTGCCGGTGTCCAAAGTGTCCTTTCCACCCCACACTTCAGTTATTGTAGCCTTCTGCCATTTGCAGAGCTGGCAACTTCCAGCCAAGTGCTGCACAGGGCTTGCTGATGTGGGCGTAGTCCCCATTTGACTCACATGGAAGTCAAGGCTTGGGTCAGTCAGGCAAGGTTACATAGAAGGTAGGTGCCAGGCTGTGGAGCCGGGGTGCCCCTCATCACACGTCCACAGTGCTCAGCCAGGGTGGCAGTGCAGTAGATAATTGGGGAGTAGAGGGCAGCTCAGACTGAAGGTGGTGGCTCTGCTGGGTGCAGTGACTCACACTTGTAATCCCAGCACTTTGAGAGGCCAAGGTGGGTGGATCACGAGGTCAGGAGATTGAGACCATCCTGGCTAACACGGTGAAACCCCATCTCTACTAAAAATACAAAAAATTAGCCGGGCATGGTGGCACACACCTGTAGTCCTAGCTACTCGGGAGTCTGAGACAGGAGAATCACTTGAACCTGGGAGATGGAGGTTGCAGTGTGCCAAGATCGTGCCACTGCACTCCAACCTGGGCGACAGAGTAAGACTCCATCTCAAGGGAAAGAAAGAAAGAAAAAAAGAGAGAGAGAGAGGGAGGGAGGAAGGAAGGAAGGGAAAAAAAGGAGGGAGGGAGGTAAGGAAGGAAAGAAGGAAGGAAAGGAAGGAAGAGAGAGAGAAGGAAGGAAGGGGAGAAGGAGAGACAAGGAAGGAAGGAAGGAAGGAAAAAAGGACAGAGGGAGGGAAGGAAGGAAAGAAGGAAGGAAGGAAGGAAAAGAGAGAGAAGGAAGGAAGGAGAGAGAGGGAAGGAAGGAAGGAAAAAGAACGAAAAAAGAAAGAAAGAAAAGAAAGAAAAAGAAAGAGTCTGCTGTGCTCTCTCCCCACTGGGCACCCTCTAACCAACTCAATCCCCCACCCTTGGGCTCTACCGGAGCCACCAGGACTGGGCAGCTACCCCCCCAGCCAGGGGCAGTCCTCTGGGCTATTCATTCAATCATCTATTCAATATATTTTCTGAGCAGCACTGTGTGCCAAGTACTGCACTCAGTACTGGGGAGACAGTGGCCAGGGACTTGCATTCTAGGAAGAACACAGACAATAAACCAAGTACATTAACAAATGTGGGAGATAATATCAGATCACGGTAGACGCTATGGAGGAAAAAGACGATGTGACGGGGTAGCTAGGGTGGCGAAGGAAGGCCTCAGCGAGGAGGTGACACCCAGCACTAGGGTTGAGGAAGAAAGGCTTTTCTTCACCATGTTCCCACACCCTTCCCAAGTGTGGAGCCTGGAGCCTGAGGCCACAGAATGTGGAAGCTGCCTCCTGGAGGGCTGACTGGGAGAAGCAAAAGGGAGGGAGAAGGGGGCAGCCAGCGGAGCATTTGCCAGGGGTGGGAGTGCAGGACTAGAAGCAGTTATCATAGCCTTCCACCATTTGCAGAGCTGGCAACTTCCAGCCAAGTGGTGCACATGACTTCATGACTTGCTGAGGTGGGTGTAGTCCCCTGGGTCTCCCAGTACACAGTGAAGTAACTGGGCATGCAGAAACTGCCTGGCGTGTGAAGGAACCTGACAGGAATCAGGCAGCAAGCCAGGGAGAGCCTCAGCTGCGGGAGAAATAACGCACCTGGAGAGCAGCAGTCAGGCCCAGACTCAGGCTCCAGCACTCTCCCTGTGGCCAGAAAGCTGGAAGGATGCCCTACATCCTTGCTTAAGAACCAGATGGGAGTGGTTCCACTTTCAACTACGGAAGGACCAATAGAGGAACAAATGATTGAACACAAACAGAAATAACCAGCTGCTCTTATTACCACAGTCCCTGGAATGTTTTGGAAGGGACCTAGGAGAGGGAGTCGGTGGAGGTTTGCATGAGGGCTTCAGGTCACACATTCAAAGGACTTGCCCGGAACGTTGTCCCCAAGGCACTTTCTCACTTGTTGGCACTCGCTCATTCTTCCTGGATGCATCTATAAGATAAAATGCGGAGGACTAAAGGCGCTCGTTCCAAGGACACAGGGTCTCAGGCAAGACAGGAAAGATTCTGGCTTAGGGCATGAAATCCTTGGGTTTGAATATCCAGGTGGTCAGGGAAAGGTTGAATAGCGAGGCAGTAATTAAACAGGTAATACAAGCTCAGAGTGTTTAGGTGGTAAGAGGCGAGGTGATGCTCAAAAAATGCTTCATGAAACACAGCAAATTTTTGCATTGGGTGCGCCTGGTTCAGAGGTTCTAGGAAGAGTGTACAATTGCAATTGTTCCTGTCTCGGGGTTGTCATCCCCACCCCAACCCTCTCCACCACAATTTGCCTCTCATAGTCCTTCCCTCATTTTTTAGACAGGAATGGAGGTGGAGAAAGAAGCGGGGGTATTGCCACCACCTTCTGGGTGCCTACAGGCAGCTGCTGGGCACAGGAGACTGGAGTAGGCGGCTGGCTTGGAACTCCTTGACAAAAAAATGCATCTCTAAGCCCCTGGGAACCATAGGACACTTTCATTCATTCACTCAACAAGCATTTTATGAGTGCCAAGCCCTACAGCGAACAAGACAGACCTGGCCCCTGCTGTGAGAAAACTCACTGCTCTCAAGGCACAGGCTCAGGAAGGTCCAGCACGCTGTTAATTCCGCTACTTGATTTTTGAAGAGGGGGTGGGTGGGTGACCAGCTGTCCTTGACTAAGGGAAACCAAAGAAAGAGTCTCAGAACTTGGTGCTGCACTGAGCAGTTGGAATACACTGAGGTGATAGAGTCCTACAGCCCCAGGTTTAATCTTTATTTTATTTTATTTTTATTTATTTATTTTTTTTTTTGAGACGGAGTCTCACCCTGTCGCCCTGTCGCCCATGCTGGAGTGCAGTGGCACAAACTCGGCTCACTGCAAGCTCTGCCTCCCTGGTTCACGCCATTCTCCTGCCTCAGCCTCCCAAGTAGCTGGGACTACATGCGTCTGCCATCACGTCTGGCTAATTTTTGTATTTTTAGTAGAGACAGGGTTTCACCGTGTTAGCCAGGATGGTGTCGATCTCCTGACCTTGTGATCCATCCTCCTTGGCCTCCTAAAGTGCTGGGATTACAGGTGTGAGCCACCGCGCCTGGTCCAGGTTTAATCTTTTATTCCACAAATATTTGTGGGGTGCCAGGCACGTAGGAGGCTGCCCTGGGGCAACTAGTGGGGTTGAGATACACTCATAGCCAGGCAACCAGACAACCACGAGATCTGGGACGGAGATGAGGCAAACGGAAGCGTCAACTTAAACTAGGAGAGACGGGAAGTCTTCCTAGAGGAAGATGCTCTAGGCTGAACTCTGAATCATTAGCCAGACAAAAGTGCAGGAATGAGTTTAGGGAATTCCAGGTAGGGGAAACCACCTATGCTACAGTGCACAGGCTAGAGACCTTGGCAGGTTCTAGGAACTTGAAGAAACCGCTGGACAGGAGCATTTAGGATGATGGCAGGAGCACTCCGCTTTTTGCTAACTGGAAAATTATTTTGGTTGAGTCTCAGTCTACCCATATGCAAAATGGGTATGATAAGCCTTGTATTGCCAGATTGTTGGCACAACAGGAGCTCAATAAATAAAGGACTCTCAAGTGGCTTAGGTCTGCGGGCCAGTGAGGCGCGGTTCCCATTGGGCATGGAGTGGGGGGCGGCTGGAGCCTGCGCGCTCCTGGCTTGGTTTGCGGAATATCTTTATTAACGAGCACTTCAAGGTAAGCCGGCGATGGAAACCAGATGTGGGATCGCGCGGTCGGCGGCGGAGCAAGGACCAGAGATACTAAGGGGGTAGGGTGGGGGTAAGAATTAGCCCAGATGAGATTGGGAGCAGAAGCGCGACCCCCCAGGTATATTTTTTCTTTGGGAGACCTTAGATGCAGAAAGTTGACATCTGACCCACATTCCTTGGTTCACGGTGCTCAGGCCCTCTTTAATTTTACCTTGCACTTTTACCTCTCACCCTACTCCCAGACTCCCTAGAGGTACGTTCTCGCTTAACGATTTTCTCAGCGGTTTAAGGAAGGCTGCTCTCGCTGGTCTCCTTCAACTTGAACCATTCCACAGCCGGGGGCCAGTTTCCCCTCTGCATCTACGCTGTCCGCACGGCCTTCCAGGTCGGTGGAGGGACTAGCCTGAGCAGAGGTTCCAGGGCGCGACGGCTATTTCCCAGCTGTGTGACCTGGACCAGGTGGCCGCCCCTCTCTGAGCCTCCGTTAGCTCATCAGAAAATTGGGGGCGCCAATCTCTAGCACGGTTGTCATGAAGCGAAATCGAGGGGCTGCACGCGCAAAGTTTTTTCCCTTGCTGTGGCGGTGCCAGGGGCCTTGAGGCTCGCAGTGGTGGTGAAACCACAACCTATCAAAACCAAGCAGTTCGTTTTACAGTCGGGGGCAGTGAGGCCAGAAAGGGAAGAGACGGTCTCACCCCTCTCCCCGACCCCTGACCCCAAGGAGTGAACAGGTGACAGCGCGACTATCGGGCAAGGTCAGGGGGTCTCCAGAGTCCGCTCTCTGTACTTCGCCTGGCAGGAAATCCCCTCGCCTGGGCGCAGACGTGGGGCGTGAACGGTGCGGCCTCTAGACGGGAGCGCAGAGGGCAGCGCTCTAAAGCTTCTGAAGCCGGGCCCAGCCCAGGGCTTCTCCAGGGCTTGAGGGAGCACAGATTCCGCTACATCCCAGCCCAGCGCCCTTACAGCAGAGGGAAATAGTTAACAAGACGTGCAAGTGACCATGCACTGGACGACGAAGGCTTGTGTGTGTGTTAATCTCCCGTAGGAACGGGAATGGGGAGGAAGGTTGGAAACCTAGGAAAAGGTGCCAGCGGGAAGGCCCGCAGCGGCGCCCGCGAGCTCGCGCGCAGGAGTCCGTAGGACTCGCTTGCATCCGCAGGCCCGTGGTCCCCCTGGCTTCGAATGTCAAAACCTGTTAGGTTTATTTTGGGGGGCTTTTTTTTAACCTGTCATTAAAATTTGCATTTCCCTTTGCCCTAAGGCAAAGCTCCGACACCCCGCCAATTCTCAGCCTAGCCTCGGGAGCCCTGGGGATCCTGGCATCTCCCCAGCCCCGCCTAGAATCGGAAAAGCCCTCGGGCGCCTCCGGGTTGAATCCCCGCTAGCGAGTTAGTAGCATCTCCTTAAGAGTGGAGAGGAGGGGGCAGGGGCCAGTGGAAGGAGAGAGGAGGAGGGGACGAGAGAGGGGGAAAGGAAGAAGCAAGGCAGGGAAAAAAATTTACTTATTTTTTTTTTCCGCTGCAAAACCTTAAGAGGGTTTGGGAGATCTGGTCAACTTTCCGAAACATCTGAATCTTTTTACTGCCCTCCGTTCTTTCCCTCGGCTAGCTGTGGGGAGGGAGGAAAGAGAGAGAGGGAGAGAGAGAGGAAGGGGGGGGGAGGGAGGGGAAGAGAGAGAGAGGAGGGAGAGAGAGGAGAGAGACAGAGAAAGAAGAGGGGGAGAGAGAGAGAGGCCGGCGTGGAGGGGAGGAGGGAGAGCGAGCAGGCCGGGCAAGGAGTGCACAGCCACAGCCTCCTCGCCTCCCCAAACTCCCAGCCAAGGCGCGCGGTGGCGTCCTCGCGCCCTCGCTCGCGTCCCCGCCCGCCGCCTGCGCAAGCCAGGCATGAATGCTGAGACTTGCGTCTCTTACTGCGAGTCGCCGGCCGCTGCCATGGACGCCTACTACAGCCCGGTGTCGCAGAGTCGGGAGGGCTCGTCGCCTTTTAGGGCATTTCCCGGAGGCGACAAGTTCGGCACAACTTTCCTGTCGGCCGCCGCCAAAGCACAGGGATTCGGGGACGCCAAGAGCCGGGCCCGTTACGGCGCTGGGCAGCAGGACCTGGCGACACCCCTGGAGAGTGGAGCTGGGGCGCGGGGCTCCTTTAACAAGTTCCAGCCCCAGCCGTCGACCCCGCAGCCCCAGCCGCCGCCGCAGCCGCAGCCGCAGCAGCAGCAGCCGCAGCCCCAGCCGCCCGCGCAACCGCATCTTTACTTGCAGCGAGGCGCCTGCAAGACGCCCCCGGACGGCAGCCTCAAACTCCAGGAAGGCAGCAGCGGCCACAGCGCGGCCTTGCAGGTTCCCTGCTACGGTGAGTGCACGTGCGGGTCACCTGGTGCTGGGGACCACGGGGTGCTTGGCTTCCGCATCCCTTGAAACTGGTGGCTTGCGGGAGGTATGAGTTGGCGGGCTGGGGGCGGGGTGGTGACTCTGGTCGGTAAACGGGATCGATCGCTGCGAGGGAGCCAAGGGATCTGTTCTGTCTCCTTCTTGTCCGCCGGCCTAGGCACGGAGCGTTTCGGCTGTTAAACTCGACTTGGAGTTTGTTTTTCCCGGTCCCTTCGGCATTTCCCCAAACCGCTCGCTTTGCGCTGCCCGCTGGGCGGGATTTGAAGCGGATGCTTCTTACCGGCCCAGGGCGTGCGGCGGCAAGGAGTCTCCGCGCAGCGCTCTGGCGCTGGGCTGCGGGGCTGCGGGGCTGCGGGGCTGCGGGGCTGCGGGGCTGCGAGGCTGCGGGGCTGCGGGGCTGCGGGACAGCAGGACTGCAGAAGCCTCGCTCCTCGCCGGCTGGGAGGCTCCTCGGGCGGCGCCGCCGCAGGTGAGAGCGCCGCAGGTGCGGAGCCAGGCGGGAAGCCCGGAGCGTGGTTGGCCGAAAGCTCACGGGAAATCCAGGCGCACTGGCGCAACACAGTGCGGAGCCAGAGACCCTAGGGTCCCAGGGGACACTGTGGTCTGGCAAGACCCGAGTCCTGGGACCCTGAGCGCTACTGGCAGTGGGGATGCGGGCAGGCCAGTTCCCCTGGAGCTTCTCCCTCGGCGATTCTTGGAGGCGGCAGGCCTCTGAACAATGGTTTAGGACAGAGTAGGAAGGGAGACAGGAAGTCCCGAGTCCCAGGTGGCCCAGAGCTGTGGCAAGAGAGAAGGGTCTGGGTCCTGATTTGAGCCCACGGGGAACCCGGGGGAGCTGGCCTAAATGACCTCCAAGCTGCCTTGAACGCAGCCACAGGAGGCAGGCCTGGGCCCCCCAGAGCACAGCCACCATTGCCCGGGAGAGAGAGACACTCAAGGACGTCTCTAGCCAGAGCAGCTCAGTAGCCTAGGCCTTCTCTTCTTCCAGAGAATCGGGGTTCCTGAACCCCAAAGCGGAAGGGGAAGCAAAGACGCAGAAAGGGAAAAACCTTCTCTGGGCCAGGAGTCCTGAGCACATACCCGGAGGCCTTGGCCTTCAGGTCCGGCCCTGGTGGGAAGAGTTGGGGGCAGGGAATTTGCCCTGATCCAGGCTGATGGAGAGGCACTAGGCCTGGGGACAGAGGCTGGGACACGGCGGAGGCCTTGGTGGCTAGAATAACTTTGGGAAAACAGCCGATGGCAGATATTTTCTCGTATTCAGGTTCCTTCTTTCACAGGCGCAGAACTAGTTCATAGATGGCTGCTGACAAACATTCACAGTCATATGCTTGTCTACAATTGCACTCTACACACACACACGCAGAGAGCATCTTCTTTAGGAGCCGATGTGGTCATACCCCAAGAACACATGCCCATGTGGCCTCGAATGAGCCACATACTCCCAAACCCATAGGACAGAACTGAGAGAAGATTTAGAAAGATTCAGTGGCCCTTCCCCACTTCCTCCACCTTCCTCTTCACCTCCAGTTGGAATGAGATCAGGCATTCAGATCACAGACCCCCAAGGCTCCACACACAGACACCCACAGCTCCACATGCAGGCACACACAGTTCCACACACAGACACCCACTGCTCCACACACAGACACCCACAGCTCCACA
The DNA here is from genome assembly GCF_000001405.40 of Homo sapiens. Lineage (NCBI taxonomy): Eukaryota > Metazoa > Chordata > Mammalia > Primates > Hominidae > Homo > Homo sapiens. The sequence continues at coordinate 44,307,896 of NC_000011.10, read as the reverse complement.
CACGGACACCCACAGCTCCACACACGGACACACACAGCTCCACACATGGACACACACAGCTCCACACACAGACACACACAGCTCCGCACATGGACACACACAGCTCTCATACAGGCACTCTTTCCGTGCTAAGCCAGCAGAGACTCTCAGCCCTGTCCGTACTGGCTGTCCTTCCCAGCCCAGGGATGCAGGCCCCAGCTCGTCCCTGTCATTCAGGACTATTAGGTGAGGGCAGGTCGCAGACTAGGGGACCCATGGAGGTTCATCCTGCATAGCCAGAGAGCTCATGCTCTCTCTCCACTGCATTGAATTTTCATATTTTAATGAAAATTACCAGTGAGACCTCTGAAGAGGCTGATACATTAGGCAAGAAGAGAGCCTAAGGAGCTCCCCACCTCTTGGTTAAATGCCTTCAGGTCCAGAGGGAAGGCGGAGAGGCCTGGCCTCCCCTGAGCCCTCTCTCTGTGTCCTGCTGGGCCCCCACAGCCAGCCTGGCCCTTCCTCTACTTGCACTAGCCTTTGGAGCTGACGGAAAGGGCCAGCCACTTGACCCGCTACTGCCCCTAACCCGTGGCAGTGTGACCTGACAGCAAACACCTTCCCAAACCCCGGTTTCCTCATCTGCATCCTGGGGTGATAACAGAAAGGCCTTACTGGGTCATAAATGTGCCTCTGCAGAGACAGCAAGAGGCAAGAGCAAGAGCCCCCGCTACCCCTGCCCCTCCCAACCCCCACCCACATTTCCATCCCTATCTATCTCCGAGCCGCTGGGAACTCGAGAGCACCCAATTCTGAGGACAGGGCAAGTCCCTGCCACTGCTCTGGGTCATAAACTGCAGGCTGGGACCAAAGGCAGCCTGTAACTACCGGCAGGACGCCACTCCATGCTGCCTAAGATGGAGGCACTGCTCGGGGCAAAGCCACAAACAATAAACAGCAAGTCAGTGTTTGTTCTTTCCCTCTCTCAGCAGCTGAGTCTCCCCAGCCAGGAGATGTCTGGTCCTTCTAGGAAAGGGATTAGGCGCGTTAGGTCTAAGATGGAGAAACTGAGGATACAAAAGATGAGGCTCTGCCCTTAACAGAAGTAGCCAGGAGGAGGGACTCTGGAGTGGGATCCCTACCCTGCCAGCAAGCAGGAAAACTGAGGCATGCATTGACAACGATTCTCTCCCACAGTTGTGAGAGTGTATATACTCAAAAGCGGAGAAATGGAGTTCAAGGAAAAATCCTTAGACGCTCCCAGGAGCATTGGGAAAGTCGGAGGCAGGGGCGGCCTTGGTGCCAGTACTGGCGCTGGCTGATCTCCGTCTTCAGGCAGGCAGCTGAGACCTGGCAACCATTCCTAGCCCTGGAGGTCGGGGCGAAAGCTGTTCTTTCACGTGTGTAACTACACCTAACAAAAGGGGGAAGCTCGGAGGCCTCTTCCTGGGCCTCAACTTCTGGGCCCACTCCCGGCAGAGTCCAATTGCCTCTCGGCAAGGAAGGTGCCCCGGGCAGCTGAGCCTGGGCCAAGCCGAGGGAGTGCGGGGCGGGGAAGCCGCCTCCAGTCTCTGCTGGCCGGGTCTGGACCGGGTTGCGGAAAGAGTTGGTGAGAGAAACCCTCCCGGGCTGCAAGCGTCCCTACCCCAACTTGGGCCTTCCTTTCCCCAAATGTGCTAAAAGAACGACGATTAAGGCGGCTCCGCAGTGTCCTTTGGGTGCGGAGACCGCGTTTTTACGAAAGAGCCCCCACCGAGCCCTCTTCTGTTGCAACCCAAGACTTCACCATTCTCCCCTCCAGACTCTGGGTCCGCTCTTTGGCCTCCTGAATTCCTTGCCCGAGTCCAGGGCGGGCCGCCTGGGCCACAGGAGACATGTCGGGTTGGAGATCCGACGTTTCTCAGCGACGCAGAGAGCCTCCCTGTACTCAGGGCAGGGACTCCGGCGCCTCGCCCCCAAACTCCGGATCCGACCGCCGGAGCTGCAGCCGGCGCGTACTGGTCCTAGTCTACCTGTCCCGAGACGCGGGGCCGCTGCGGGAAGCTGCCCCTCTTCTCCCTTCCCTTTCGCTTTCGATTCGGTGGCGACAGGTTTTTGTTGAAAGCAGATTGTTACCTCTCCGTCCACCCACCCGCAAAAGCAGCGCTCTCAGCGCCAAGGTCTGGGGAGGCGCGGGCCAGGTTGGAGCCCCTGGGGTGCCGCCTAGGGGCCCAGTCCCGATTTTTCGAATTAGACTCAGTGGTTAAATACCAGAGGGTATTTATTTCCCCTGCACCGACACAATCCATGCACCACGAAATGTGTAAATTCTGCCGGGGTCGTATTTGAATTTAGTTAGAGAACTGGGGTGTGTTTTGTATACAAGAGACGACCCAAAGAAGGCAGAAACGAAAACCCGACAGAAGCAGCAACAGCTGCTGTGGGTGACTGTGGGGTGATCGCAGGAAAACTCGAGCCTGGGACTGAAGCCTGCTCAGGAAGGGGCGACTGTTGTTTAATTTTGGAGGGAGGGATGGCGAAGGAAGATGCTTTTAATTTTTTACTTTGTTAATTTCCATAGCCTGCTTCACCAGTCTGGTCCAAACACAAAAGTTGTTAAATAGAAAAACAGAGGGCCTGGATTAAAACTCAATATTTTAAGTCAATCGACTTGCATGATCTTGCACAATCTTTTCTTTATTATAATTTACATATAGTGAAGTGCTTAGCTCTGAGGAGGAAAGTTGGAAGAATTGTTATGTATGTGTACACTGTTAGTTAGGACGACCATCTCGATAAAGAAACAGACCATTTACATGTTTCCTTAAACGTTGTAAAACGTTAAAGCAAAAACATTTTTTGTAAGTTGTTTTAAGAAAATTTCAGAAGATACTTCGGAGCACCGGGGACCCCATTTTGTTCCTGACAGCAGTGTTTCTTGAATAGGGTGACACTTCAGCCAGGGCATTTGCGCGGTCCCGATTCTAATGCGAAGTTCCAAGCGGCTGCGCCAGGAACCTCGCCGCGACCGCCGGGCTAAGCCGGAGTCACCAAGCCCTGAGCCGCACGCGCTGCGACGCCGGCACGCAGTAGGAAAACAGATTAAAACGCCCTACAGAAAATCTCGGCGAAGTCCCGGAGGACTCTGGTTTCTAAGATCAGCTGGGCGCACTTTCTCCGGGACGTCCCTTCTTCTCGGTCTCAGCGCCTTCCTGCCCTCAGCCGCGCGCAGCTTTGTTTTGGTGGCAAACTGAAATAAGAAATGGAAATATATTGGCCTTTGCTGCTGCCAGGGATGAGAGGTTGTTGACGTCCGGCGCGTTTGTCCGGGCTTCGGGCTTCTCTGCAGACCCCTGGACTGGGGTGCCTGAGGCCAGGAGAGGAGGGGGATAGTTGCCCGGAGCCCCCGCGGCTCAGAGGCCTTGGGATGATTCATGGGGGGGGCGCGCCCTGCCTTGGTGAGCCTCTCGCCCCGAGGGTAGGCGAGGTGGGTGGGTAGGGGAGTGTATGCCGGAGAGAAGAGAGAACGCTTAACCAGAGAGAACTTCCTGCCCCCGGAGCCTCAGCGTCCTTAGCCCCCCAAACCCCTGTTCAGGAAGCCGAAGGACCTAGGCCCAGGCAACGGTTTGGGGTGGGGCGGTAAGAGCGCCGTCCTGCACCCGGACGTCGCCTGCCAGGCGCCACCTGGCCATGTGCGCCCGCAGCGCAGGGTTCTCCGGCCATCAGCACAGGTCCTCACCGAGGTGACAGTCATCGGATTGGGAAACCAACACTGCGAGGACCCGGCTATGTGATGATACCGTCCGGGGGAATTCGAGTGGAAGCCGACCGTCCTGTGGTGCCACTAGACAGGTGAGAAGCAGCCCTTCCAAACAGGGCCCTTTGCTGGAAGGAGGAGGCACCTCTTTCCAGCCAGTGAGCCTTCCCAGCTGCAACCGGGGTCTTCTCTAATATCAGTTACCGCGGCCTCCAGAGGTGCAGCCCGGCACACCTCTTCTCTGCAGATGTATAAACCGGGGACACCCCCATCTCCATTCAAGATGCTCCTTCCTCACCCAGTAGAGGGGTGCGGAGTAAACCCGGGACAACAACTTGCGTGCTGCCTGGAAGCAGGTCCCTCAGAAAGGATGACAAAAATTTGGTGATGCGGAAGAAGCTTCCACTGTGTCCAGGAAAGGGCAGCGGCCCCCTAGTTGCACCGGCCCTGGCCCCGGCCCCCACCCCCAGCACGTTCTGTCACCTTAACAAAGAGCGGCTTCTCCACCTGACCCCAACCCGCACCAGCCAGCGCCGAGGAAAGAGAGGAATGGAAGGGAGTTGTGGCTCAGCGGCGAGGAAGAGCCACGCAGAGGCAAGGCTCTGAGGAGCCAAGGCTGGGGTGTGTAGGGTGGTACTCAGGGCCGCGGACCGGTTCGGATTTGGACTCCAGAGGCAGTTGGAAGGGTCACCGTGGCGCTCCGCGGCTCCCAGGGTGCCGTTTTGGTGAGGAGGGGGTCACTGGGAGATACGGGCGGGGTAAGAGGGGCCACCGGCTGCCAAGTACCTATCTTTCCCGGTGAAGGCGCCGCTTGTACTCGGGACCGCTTGGTCAAGGCTGCTGGGCACTGGCGCCGCTGCACATTGGGGGCAGAGAGGGAGCCAGTGCTTGCTTCATCGGATTCTTAAAGCAGATTCTTTAAGAGTGGATTTTCATTCTGAACTGGAGGCCCAGCATGGATGTTGGCCCCACGCACCTCGTAGAGGGACAGGACCTGGTGACCCAGGTCAGAGCAGAACAACTGGCTCTCCAGGGCTCTGAAGGCCACAACAGAGAAGGCTGGGAAGCTGTGGGAGGTTTGGACCATGACACTGATGTCCAGCGCGGCACACGTGGGGACCGGGGCCCACAGTTGCGGTGTAGATCACCCCAGCCTCCACCTTTGCATTCTCTACTCCTCCATGGCCTTGGAGAAGTATGTTCTGCTCCGGGGTCTGAATTTTAGCTGTATGAAATGCAGGAGTGTTGACAATTTCCAAAGACCCTCTTGGAGTTTCTGTGCTGGTAGCAGTCTGGGCCCACCTTCACCCCCTTTGTCTTCCCTCCTCACCCCCACACGCATTTTTGTCCAGGAGAAACTGGGGTAAGGTGGGTGGAAAAGGCTTCCCTGGAGGCTAACACAGGTCCTGAGTGGGGAGCCATCACAGGACACAAAGCCGGCTAGAGGTCCTACAGGGCCATGGTGGAATGCAGGTTCTGGGCTCAGGACTGGGATGCAAATAGGGAGGGGGTAAGCAAGTGTCTTTGTGACCAGGCTCAAGCTGAGGCCCCGGGCTCATGGCCCCTGTGTCCACTCATCTTCCCTATCCCAGTATTTATGGAGCACCTTCCCTGGGCGGACCTTCTCCTAGGAGGTAGAACATGCCAAGTCCCTGCCTCCTGTGTTACGGCTTATGTCCTTCCAAGTGTTTTGTACAGTTGGGCTTAACAAATGTTCGCTGGCTGGAAGAATGAATGAAGAACTGGTGTCTCCTGCA